>NC_000005.10:173034051-173337081 GCF_000001405.40 Homo sapiens | reverse complement strand
CTCCAGCCTGGGCGACAGAGCGAGACTCCATCTCAAAAAAAAAAAAATTTAAAAAAATGCAACCTTAGCCGGGCGTGGTAGTGCATGCCTGTAATCCCAGCTACTCAGGAGGCTGAGGCAGGAGAATCATTTGAACCCGGGAGGCAGAGGTTGTAGTGAGCCAAGATCACACCACTGCACTCCAGCCTGGGCAACAAGAGCGAAACTCCATCTCAAAAAAAAGAAAGAAAAAAAAAAGGCACCAGAAGGGAATGAGGAAATGAGAGAGTAGGTTCCATGAGATCTGCACACCAGCAGGGCCAGATCTCCCAGGGCCTTCCATGTGGACAGGAGTGGATTTTATTCCAAGGAGGCCTCTGGAGTTAAGCAAGTGAGAGGTATGATTTGGTTTGGGGGCTTTTCGTTTGGTGGTTTGGTTTTTTTTTTTTTTAATCATTATTAATCTGGCTACATATGATGCAGAGAATTTGGATTGGAGAGAGTATTGGCAAGTGAAAGTGGACACAAGAAACCAGCTGGTTAACCCGGCAGTGGTTCAAGACAGAGTTAACTGAGGCTTGGAGGGTGGAAATGGGAAGAGGAAAACAGCAAGAATTGATGGTGAGTTTCATGCCGAGGTGTGAAGGAAAGGAGGATACCAAACATCACTCCTGGGGTCTTTGCTGGAGATGGGGGATGGCGAAGGAGGGGTGGGAAAGGTGTTATAGGACAGGAGGGAGGGAAAGGTGACAAGGGGATAATCAAAGAGAGGCTTTAAACTGCCATCGTTTTTCTCACTTACGCTTTCTGTGCGAAACTTGGTTATCATGCCAGTTTGTCCCTACACGCTCCTCAAAATCACCTCTTCCTTCCCATTTCCAATTTACCACCTGACTTCTCAATGGGTCCCTGACTCAGGGGTCTCCCCTCCAATCCATCTGCAGTTCCCACGTCCTCAGGACTTCCTGGAACAATGCACTCTCCTTTATTGTTTAAGAGGTTTGCGCTGGGCTTTCTGTTACTTGCAGATGAAGCCAGATATACCAAGTCCTGGGGTCTAACCCCAGTCAAGGTTCCAACTGTGGGTCCTCTCCTCCCCGAAACACGGTCCCTCCTAGCCATGCCAAATCACCCAGCTTCTGCAACATGCTGCTTGCTCGCTCCTCTAGGCCTCTGCGTGTGTTGGTCCATCTGCCTGGATTCTTCTTTCTCCTCTTCTCCATCCTCGAAATGCCACCCTCCAATTCTCCAGGATCCAATTTCTACTTTTTTAAGTGAGTATAAAAACTAACATTTTTCATCGTTGACACCTTTCCCATGTCCCTCACCCATTCTCCTGGTTCATCTGTATCGTAACTCCTGCCATGTGATGCTATAAAAATTACTGCTTCCTCCCTCTGGATTGCTACCACAATAAGGGCAGCAACTGTGTCTATCTTTTCCGTTTCCCAGGATGCAACACCTAATCTAGTACACAGACATGCACAAGAGTTTGTTGAATGAATGAATATATGTCAGAGTGGGTTAGATTCTAAAATCTTCAAAGTGAAAAGCTTCTGTGGTCAAAATTAATCTTAAAACGTCTGTAAAATATTCATTAAGATATAATGTCCATGAGATATTCTATCAGTCCTGTATAGTAATTCTTATCACCACCAGAATTTGAGAAGAACTGAGTTACACCAAAGAAAGGAATAAACAGAGAGGCTGTGTGACGATGTCTCACATTCAAACCATCCATCTTTAAAGTAATCATCAATCAATGGTGGGCCTGTGTAAGAAAGGGCTGGGAATGGATGGAGACCTCTACAGTGACTCCCATTTGCTAAAGGAGTTTACTTCATTTTTGTTTTAATATTTTGCCCCTAAACTCTTAGCCCCCGGTGTAGCAGGAAAATGTCATCATCATCTTTTACCATCAGGGTCCAATGGATCCTTTCTATGTTTATGAATAAATCTACAGAAGTAAGACTAAAAGGATCGTTTTTTAAAACTTTATTAGAGACGTTAGTAATAGCAAATTTTCACAGCATATTTTCCTGGTTTTGAGTGTAGATAGGCCCAAAATGAGCAATGTCCTCTGCATGCAACTAACTGCTCACCAGCTGTCATGCATAAGCCTGGGACAGACCCATCTTATAAACACCAAGTCCTGATTTCAAGGAAATCTCTGATAAGTTCTAGCTCATCATTACTTCTGGTTCTTCTTCCACTTGCATCATAAAACTTATTACCTTTGAAACCTCTGACAGTTCATAATTTTGTTCAGGAGAAGATGGTCATCTTCTTTTCTCTGTAATTGAAAAGCATTTTTATTTTTAAATTTATAAACACCAATTAGAATGTTTAGTCCAGTGATTTTTTTCTTTCCTTTCCATACCACCTATTTCTTTTCAATCATCTTTGTACTCACCTTTGATCTGACTTCATCATTTGTCCCCTTCAAACTGTATCAAGAAAATTTCAATAAACAAACATAAAAAGTAAAAAAAAAAAAAATTGGCCCCCATTCTTTTAGCAAAACAGGATGCTCCAAGTTTTTGCGGCAAAATATAGTGTGATGAAATCATTCCTGTTGAATGACTAACAGGATGAGAATATCATATTTTTTGTTATCCTTAGAAATATATTGTTTACTCATGAATCCTTAAATCTGAGGAAATTAATCTAGGTTATTATCATGTAGGACTCATAGTCTGAGACTTTGCTTATACACTTCAGTCAGTTTCGCCATTATCGAGTCTTCCATAGTGCTGTCTCTCTGCATTCATCTTCTGATTTGACTAATAACTGTACAACATTTTCCTCTGTCACTTTTCTTCTCTTTACAGTTTGTGCAGAAAAATGAAAAATATAGCTGAATTTACAACTATATTTGATAAAAGTAAGAAGAAGAAGACTACAAAAATGGTATCCTCTGTCTTCTTTTATACTTTCTCGAGAAATGATGTAATACTTCAGGCAATGTGATCAAAAACCTGAAGGATGATACAACAGTGATAATTTGTTTCATTCTTGCATCATCCTTCTAGGTGATTCCATGATTCTCCCATTTCTTATTGGTGTTTTTTTTTTTTTTACCATAATTGGCAATAATTGATGAGTAATGATGAAATAATTTCTAGGGTGATAAAATGGAAGATGTTTAAAGATATAAGAAAATTAAGATCTCTAAGATCCTATGATACATCATCAATTTATAAATTATTTCAATAGTCATATGGTAACTTCAAGATAGAATGAGTTTTATTCTATTTTTGTTAAAAACTAGATGTTATCTTTCATCTTCAGAAGACTTCTGAAAACAAACAAAAGTCATGAAATACCAATCCTTACAAATTGTTAGAATTTCTCAGGAAAAAAAAAAACACCTTCAAAATCTAAAATTGGGTCCGATGGACCCTGATAACATACTGAAAGTTAAATCACATTAATAGATTTGGTCGTTTCCTGGAGCTTTCAAAATGTGGCTCCCTAGAAAACTGCCCCACAAAAAGATTCTTCCTTCAGCCACTTGACATCCAACCATTCTCCAACCAAAGTTAAAACCCACCCAGAGAGAGCTCTATCATACTATTCCAGCACCACAATGCCTGCCTCTGGGCCCAACCAGTACTCTCCATGGAAGCCAGGCAGCCCCTTGCCTGGGATACGTTCTCCTGGAGTTTGTCTCAAGATACAACAAGGAAGAAAAAATTATGACCCATGTAAAACAGAGAGGCCTTCTGGAATACCATTCAGGCTTCAGAGAAAGGCGTTAACAAAACTCAGACTACAGTCAGATGCCCAGTGTTTACTACTTTATATTCCTTCCAGTAAATGGGTTTATTGTGTTCCTACTCTCTTGGGGGTTTTTTTAATGCTTTTTTTTCTTTTGTATTTCCAGTCAATCCATGAATGGTTTGACTATTGATCTGTGACAGAGAGGAAATGCCCAATTCACAAAAGCGTTGTGTTCCCACACTTCCAAAGTTGGTTGTTTGGGGAACTCAGAATATATTTTCTTCCAAGAAACAATATTATACATGATAGGTTTACAGGCCAGCACCACAAAATCCTTCTTAACTCATTGTGTTGTTGGGCACTGCACTTTTATGGTATAAATTAGTAGAATATAATTTGGTTATAGTATTAAGAATAAACAAACCCAAATATTGAAGATATAATCTCCTTTATCCTGAATTATATTTAATGAAATAACCAGTTTAATGAAAAAAAGATAAGAGCAAAGATAGAGGCTTTTTTTTTTTTGAGACAGGGTCTTGCTCTGTCACCCAGGCTGGAGTACAGTGGTGCAATCATAGCTCACTGCAGCCTCAACCTCCTGGACTCAAGCCATTCTCCCAGAACCTCAGTCTCCCGAGTAGCTGCGATTACAAGCACATACCACCACGTCTGGCTAATGTTTGTATTTTCTGTAGAGACGGGGTCTTGCCATGTTGCCCAGGTTGGTCTCGAATTCCCGGGCTCAAGCGATCTACCTACCTCAGCCTCCCAAAGTGCTGGGAGATGGAGGCTTTTTAGGGAGAGACCTCTGCTTGCAAGATAATTTGGGAGGCCTGATAGCAGCAGTTTGTTATTTTTTTCTGTCCGGTTTCACCTTGATACCTTTTTTCATTTTCCTTCATACAGGTATGATGCACAGGAGCCAGGATTAGGGTAAATTTGAGACTCACAAAGGAAAACAGCAACGGATAGGGGAGCAAGAGGGAAAATAAGTGTGAAAGAGATCTCTTTGATGGGGGGATTAAGGCATGTTATTGCGAGGAGATTGGCTAAATCTGCATTAATTGATTTGCTAAGAAAAGGAAAGGAAACTGGGGAGAAGGCTGGAGACCCAATATCAGAACTTTCCAGGCAGGCAGAGTCGTGAGGACTGTGTAGCCAGACAGTTCCCTCTCTGACCATAAGGTGGTGCCATCAGCCCAGACAGTCGGCCCCAAGGGGGCGGGGCGTGCAGTGGGTGGAGCTCCCCACGTGTAAGCCATGTTCTCCACTCAGGTTCCGGAACTCAGAAAGCCTGGACCAGGCAGCACGTGTCAACTTGCACATCACTGACTCAGCACCCACGAACTATGCCCATCCGCTAAAGCCCCTTCGGCTCACACTCGAGCAAGAACACGTCTGTCTTGCTGGGCATCGAGACGCACGTGAAGATTCCAACTAATTCCTTCCCACTCCTCTGCTCTTTCTCCACAATGGCAGCTCTGGGCCCCTGAGCATTTCCTAATTCCTAAAGAGAACCTAGTCTAAAGCGCCCTACAGTCTCATCCTTAAATACCGTCAGATCTTCCGTGAGGAGCACAGATTTGTCACAAGGAGCCCAGCCTTCACAACATGCCCTGGCCGACTTCCCCAGTTTGATGTCCCACTTTCACACCTAACTGGGCAACCCCTATTCCTGATACAAATCCCACCGGATCCTCTCCATGCATTTAGCCCTGCTGGTCCTCCCACCTCCCATGCCCACTTTTTTCCTTGCCTCTACTTGTCACTATCCTCCCCCATCCTTCATGGTCTAACCCAAATATCCCCTCCCCCAAAACCTGCCACTCAGTGTTGACCGCATGTAACTAGCAAAGTGGATTTAGACAGGAAAACATGGGCTCCAGGCGTCAACCACAGAAGGCCCTGGATGACACAAGGTAGGTCATGTCTGCCTCTTCCTGGCTGTGTATGCGTTAAATTGAGGAGGAGGGCCCATCCAGACAGGTGCTGCTGAACCTCAGGACAGCAGCTGGTCCATCCAGGAGACCTCCCAGGCCTCAGTTCCCATCTAGGGAGGGCCCTAGGTCTGGAGGGACACCAAAGGCATGAGTGTGGTGTGTGGTGCGGTGTCATGTTAGCTATATAATAGTAATAATGATTATTATTACTGTCCCCTGCCCCACCCTCATCAGCCACAGTCTGCCAAACTTGGCCTCAGTTATAAAGCTAAAGGAATCAGCCAGAGAGAGGGGGAGTCAATCACAACAAAGTCACCAGTCTGAGCCCCCATCCCACTTCTACCCCTGCGGCCTAGACTGGCCATTTCAGCAAACTGCCTAGTGATTCTGCAAGGGAATTTTCACAGCCTTGGCGGGTCGGACTCAGATGGGCATTCTTATCTGGATGCTTTGGACTTGGCTAAGTGGCCCAGAGATAAACCCTTAAGAACTAGTGCCTGTGCTTACGCCACCTCCAATTCTAGCTACTATGTGTTCTTTTGGTTCTAAAGGGGCAGTTGGCTCAGGTGAAAACCAGGAATGTCCCTTGGAAGGCAGGAGCAAACAGCCTCAGGACGAACTTTGAAACTATGTAGGTCCTCTGAGGGCAGCCCCAGGGGCCCCATGGTAGCAAAAGGTAGGCCTAGCCAAAGGCTGGGCAAAGCAGGAGCAGGGAGAGCTCCATCCCCCTGGCCATCGCTCCAGGTATCCTGGGAGGCCTCTGCCCAGCACACTAAGTGTCTGCATCTGGCAAAAGAGGGCTTGCTCCTGCCCCATGGAGCTCTCTCCTATTTCTGCTTCTCAAAAAAAAACAGGTGACCAGATGCCTTCTTAATGTCAATATTGCTCATGTTCTCTCCTACAAAAGAGGCCACATAGAAAGAAAGTCTACCCAGCTGTACCCATAAGCAGGAGTGGGACCAAATGGCTACTTGTTCTCAGGAAATTCAGAGCCTTAAAGAGTTAGTTAGGAGAGGCCAGAATGCCGCTGTGTCGTTTGTTTGCTTTGTTTTTAAGGATCTACAGGAGGTAGTTTTCCATAAACTAGGAAGCTAAGTTAACTATGCAAACACAAGCAGGGTGGGCAATGTGAACTGGCCGTTTTAATGTATTTGTACCCGCACGTCCTTGCACAAAAGATCCAAGGCTGCGCGGAGTAATTGCTATTAGAATAGTGGGCATGGTCCCTACCGCCGCAGGTTCGGACCTTCAAAGTGACAATTTATGGATGCTCCCTGGCGCTCCAGCGCAGGGGAAGCCCACTCTGAAGACGCCCTCCCCACCCCCTCCTCTCCTTCCTTCCGACTCAGGAGAGCTCGACACGCCGGATAGCTGCGGCCAGCCGTGGCCATCCTGGCCCCCCGCCTCCGCCTTCCCCACTCCCGCGTGCAGCCGGGACACGGGAAAGGAAAGCTTTGGAAGTCAAGCGCCGGCCAAAAGATGACCTGCCCGCGTGTCTCCTCGCCCCCTCCCCCAGCCGTGTCACATGGCGGCCCCAACCAGGCGGGCAGTGCGCCCCGCCGCGGAGACCCAGGGCCGCGTCGCCTGGGCAGTGGGTGATGAAACTTCCCAGGCGCATTACCGCAGAGGGCGCGGGCGGGGCGCGGGGCGGGGGTGGGGGATCGAGAGCTGGTACCGGGGCTCACCTGTTCTCCAGGAGGAGGGTGGGGACGGGGGGAGGGGCGAGTGCGCGCCAACGCCGGGTGCGTGCCCTGGGGCGCTTGGGCGCGGCGCTCGTGTCCCCGCCCTCCCCCAGCCCTGCGAGCCCCCCGAGCTGCGCCGTGGGGTGACGGGACCGAGAGCAGTTCCTGTCCCCGGCCCCGGCGCGGGGGAGACGTGAGCGTGCACACGTACACACACAGCAGGGGAAGAGGCGCTCCAAGCGGCGCCCAACTTTCTCCTTCCCTCCACGGGCCGGGTGAGAAAGTAGCCGGGGGCTATCCCGACCCGGCGGTTCTTGGGGAGGGGGCCGAACAAGAAAAGGGAGGAGATGGAGATAACTTCCCCGGATTTAGCTTTTTTGTCTTTGTTTTTGTTCTCACCACTTCCATCGGATGACTGGAGAGTAAAAGGGAACCCGGAGCGGGGTGGCGAGCAGCGCTTTGAGAAAATGCAGGAGTGTGTTTGGAGACGCGTAAAGTTGCCTTTCAAGCTCTGGCCTCCGGGCACGCGATGCTCCGCGGCGGGCTGACTCAGGGCTGCCTTGGGCCTCCCTGCCACCCTCCTGGAAATGATGCAAGTCCTGACTGTCACCTGGATCCCTGCAGCCCAGCCTGGAATGCGTCTGGATTAGGGGAAAGACGAGAAACGACACTCCAGGTGTTGCACGGCCCACCAAAGCGGGAAGATAGGGCAGTTGCTCAGACCAAATACTGTATCTAGTGCTTCTGCTCCTATCTTCAATCGTGGGGTTCTTTTTAATGCAAAGTGTCACAAGGCCAGGAATTCCCATGTGTGCTCAGTTGGCCCACAGCATCATTGTGCCTAGGAAACTGCTTCAATTTATCAAGTCCTCTGGGCTGGGAATCTCACTGAATTCCAAACGGCGGAAAGAGGAAACTTTCCCAACCCGATGTGGGTGTGACGCGAGCCAGGGGCCCCAGGGACACTGTCCCAGAGCACACCGTCCCCCTTTAACAGCAACTGGAGCTTGGATTCGCTCTTATATTGTACAGTCCTTTCGACCATTGCCCTGGAGCACCCGCACACGCGCACGCATCTCCGGCCGCGCTCACACACACTCATACACACGCACGCAAACGCGTGGCCGCCGCCAGGTCGGCAACTTTGTCCGGCGCTCCCAGCGGCGCTCGGCTTCCTCCTGTAGTAGTTGAGCGCAGGCCCCGCCTCCCGGCCGTGTTGTCAAAAGGGCCGGGGTCTCGGATTGGTCCAGCCGCCGGGACAACACCTGCTCGACTCCTTCATTCAAGTGACACCAGAGCTTCCAGGGATATTTGAGGCACCATCCCTGCCATTGCCGGGCACTCGCGGCGCTGCTAACGGCCTGGTCACATGCTCTCCGGAGAGCTACGGGAGGGCGCTGGGTAACCTCTATCCGAGCCGCGGCCGCGAGGAGGAGGGAAAAGGCGAGCAAAAAGGAAGAGTGGGAGGAGGAGGGGAAGCGGCGAAGGAGGAAGAGGAGGAGGAGGAAGAGGGGAGCACAAAGGATCCAGGTCTCCCGACGGGAGGTTAATACCAAGAACCATGTGTGCCGAGCGGCTGGGCCAGTTCATGACCCTGGCTTTGGTGTTGGCCACCTTTGACCCGGCGCGGGGGACCGACGCCACCAACCCACCCGAGGGTCCCCAAGACAGGAGCTCCCAGCAGAAAGGCCGCCTGTCCCTGCAGAATACAGGTAAGTGCATGTGCCCCCGCAGCCGGGAGCTACTGGGAGAGGACACCGTGCACCCACGCGGCGCGCCCCAGGCGTTTCGCCGGGAGCCAGGCGCCCACCCAGGGCCACGCAAACTCTTGGGATGGCACGGGACGTGCAAAGGGAAGCGCGAGGCAAGGCGAGGTCCGCGCCGGGCTCCGAGGGCCCGGAATCTGCACGTGCTAGCAGGGTGATGAAATGGCTGGGGCAGGACTTGTTGCTGTCCTCCCCAGGGTCGAGGGGAAATGAAGCAGCGTCTGACGCTGCCAGCGCCAGCCCCCGCCCCCGAATCCCGGGTCCGGTGCAAAGCGCGCTTCATCCCGGCCGGCACGCGGGAGGCCCAGAGGGTCCCCGGAGCTGGGCTGCGCCCTGCGCCCGGAGAACTTCTCTTCCTGGCCTGCCGGCCTCAGTAAGGGTGCCGCGTCTTCCCCCTCCTCAAAAGATGCCCGACATCCCAGAACTTTGCCGGCGAGACAAATGGCATTGCGAACTTTCCCCCTGGGGGCACTGCTTTCGGAAGGGAGCGTGAGGGCAGCGCAAAGCGTACCTCCGCGGTGCTGCCGCCATCCCCAGCTCCTGGCCAGGTCAGCAAGCCAAGAAATGGTGACACGACCCGAACCGTGCGCCTCCTCTGCTCTACCGGCTCTTGGCTCACCGGCAAGCTGCAAAGCAGAGCCAGGCGTGCAGGGCACGGGGCTGGCCCTTTTCCCAGCTCGGAAAGAGAAAGAAAATCTGCCTACAGCTCCTTCGCTCCACGACCCCTCCCCCGACTTTGGGGGGCCGTGTGAACGCGGCAGCGGCGGCGTGCGTGCGCTCACCGCACGAGCTGGAATGCACGAGTGCCCATTAGGGACGCCCCAAGTGAGTGAATGGCGGCCCTGTGCGGTCCTGCCCCGGCGGCGCGTGGGGTCTTACGGATCCTGTCGCCTCCACATGCTGGGGCCGGCACCCCCACCACCCCGAGACCCTCGCCCACCCTCCCCCTCCTCTGGCGCTTCCTCTGAGAACTGAACCTGATTCTCGGTGGTCGGTGACCCTCAACAATACACGCCCCTCATTCTCTGGCTAGATTTAATCTGATGCGGGTTATCTGCTCCGACCCCGCCCTTCTTCCAAAATATACTTTTCTGATGTAATTTTGTGGTTGATTTAAATCAGAGACTTGGGTAGTGGAAAGGGAGGGAAGAGGCTTTGCACGCTGCAGCCTGACAGTTAACTCCCTCCGTCTGCCCCTTCCGAGAGAGGACTGGGGGCCACATTCGGTGAAGGGCTGCAAGCTTCCTCCCGGGCTGCGGGAATTCTAGGGGATTGGGTGATACCTCACCCGGATCCCTAATTAAAAGGAGCCTGCAACCTCTGATAGTGGCGTTTCTGAAGGCTCGCCCCCAGCTGACTCCACTCCTAAGCCTGCTCGCCAACCGCAGCTTCCCTAGCTGGTATTTTAATGCGAAGGGTTGGGAGGCACTGCCTTAATAGGAATTTTGTTTTGATTTTTAGGTGTTGAATCATAAAGCTGAATTGAAACTGCTTTTTAGATGCTGTCATTTGGGGGTCAGGAAGCAAATGGCTGTGATTTAATAGCAGCAACTTCTACAGATCAAGTAGAGAAGGGTACTTCATTGATGAAGTACAGTCTTCGACTCAAAATTTTATTTTTGTCTGTGGGTTTAAAAAGCGGAAATATATTTTGCTCTCAAACTAAGTATTCCCACAAATACTTTAATAAAATGGAAAGGATGAAAAGGAGGAATGCTCAGACCAGCCTTCTGGTTGTAATTTTTGTAATTTTTCGGCTCTTTTCTACAAATATTTACAAATAGAGATATTTTTCATGAGTAGATTAAAGGACGAAATTTTGTTTCCCAGGCTTTTTAGGTCCTGAAATAGTCATTACTAAGTCTTTTTTCCTCCTTAAATTTTCCTTTAGTTGTTAACTTTTATTTCAAATGACCTCTCTGCATTGCCCAGCATGGGTTAGAGTTTTGTATATATTTGTATGTGATTTTCCTTTTAGCGGAGATCCAGCACTGTTTGGTCAACGCTGGCGATGTGGGGTGTGGCGTGTTTGAATGTTTCGAGAACAACTCTTGTGAGATTCGGGGCTTACATGGGATTTGCATGACTTTTCTGCACAACGCTGGAAAATTTGATGCCCAGGTAAAAATCCATCCAGAGCATGAAGAATGTTTGGGGTGAGCATACATGATTGAAACGTTCATTGGAAAGCCTTGTTAACCAACTTCCTTTGCTGTTCCTTGTGGTGTGTTTTAGTGCTTGCAAGCGACAGTCTAGGTATAAAACATTATGCCAGTGTCTCCCTTCTGCACTCATAAGCTGTGTCTACACAGGCAGGGTGGACTGGAGACCAATGTCATAATAAACGATAAACACCTTGTAAGGGGACACGCTGTGTCTGGCCACCCAGAACTCAGTCTCCAAAGCCCACTGCATGAGAGGCAGGGGCAGGAACCCCCAATTATACATTTCAGAAGTCATTTCACCTACTAGGAAAATGAGACACAAAGTATGTAGAAATCCGTCATGTGGTGTGTGGGCAGCCAACCCGAATAACTCAGGACCTCCAAAAGAGCAGACTTCTATTCCTCCTGAGTAGCAGATCTTTCTCTCCCAAGCTGACCGGTCGAAACCCTGATTGAGTCCTTCAGTTCCACACTTTCCTTTTGCTCTATATGATAAATATAGTCAGGGCCTGACCCACTTCGGTTATCCCAGGGTCCCAAGGGGAACGCGGAGTTGCTGCTCAGGGCAAGGCAGGAACACAACAAGCAACATATGGCTCCAGTGCCAACAACGCAAATACATTTTTAGATGGCATGTGGCATCAGACTCACCTTCTTCGTGTTCTCCCTGGCCACTTATATGCCCTGTTGAAACGCCCTGTTACTATATCTCAGAAACGTCTCTCCTGCTTCATTGGAGAGCAATGCCAACATTTGGAGGTGGCCATCAGCTTAGGTGAGATTTATGGATGTCACCAGTCCCCATCCACTGACATATAGTAGTGAGCCTGACAAAGCAGTGCCTGGGAACAAGGAGGGGAGGCGAAGACGGGGCTGGCAGCCTAAACTGCAGAGGATGTGCGGTGTGGCCAGAGGGGAAACTGAAACCAGGGAAGGAAAGAGGTAGAACTTTGAACTCCTTGAGGCTCCCTAATAAAGCATCACTCTGGATTAACGGGAATTAGGAAACGTAATAGGAAATCCGGAGGAAAGACGTGTATTTAAGGGCAATCCCACAGGATGTCAGGGAAGAATACCAAGAACAGATTGCCACAGCCCTCGCATAAATTCATCTTCCTCTTTTTTTTCCCAACCAACAGGAATACGTTCTCAAGTTAGAGACATCCCTTTCAAGTTGATGCTCAGCACATAACTGCTTAATAAACGGGCACACCCTGCCCTCCATTCTGTTTGGCTCTGGCTGGAGAGTCAAAAGAGAGGGGGCCACGGGGAGGCCATGCGGGCCACATGGTTTTTCAGAGATCAGACGCTATCTGTAGACATTTCTATGGCTGCTAAAGACAAAACCAAAATAAATGTGCTGGCTGGCTTCCCACTTCCAACCTAAACCCATTTACTTTCTCAACTCAGTGACTTCCGGGCCTGTCTAAAAACAGAGGGGTGACCTCTCCGACGACAGCTAGTTTCTATAGTAATGTGGGGTGCGGGGATTCCCGGGTAGGCATCCCACAATGCCTCCGGGCTGCGCGAGGTTGATAAGGGAGCAGCACCGAGCTCGCCTCCACACCCCCAACAGCTGTCTCCTTTCTAGGATAAGCACAATCAGACGGGGTTGCCAGGAAAGAGAACTGCAGGCCAGATGTATGCCTGGCTGCCTTCGCCACTCGGAGGCAGGGAGCGTGGGGGAGGGGCCGCCAGTGCGGCAGTTCAGACTCCAGATGCTGCCAGGCAGGGTGCCAGGCCAGCCTTTTAGAGGCAATAATCCGAACAGTTTAAAGGAGTAGAGTCATTTTCAAAAAGGAAAAGAGCGCTCTTCCTGGTAGGGTAGGAGGAGACAAGGGTATGGATTTGGGGCGTGGGAGGCACGGAGGCAGAAAGGGAGGTACAATCAGCAATCAATCTCGGTGTCGCCCCTGGAATCAAGGGAAAAAGGAAACGTGTGAGATTTGGACATGCAGGCACCTTCCACTTAGGGAAGACTGCTTGTGAGAACCGTGAGGGATTTATGGATTTGTGTCTGGCCAAATTCCCTTTGTGTTCCAGAAAAGTTGCCACCACACAACCAACACAGGGCTACCTGAGGGACACATAGCCACGGAAGCCCCCGTTGGAGGGAAACTCACAGAGTAGCCAGGGAGGAAGGAGGGAGATGTGTTCGTCTACAGAATGAACATCCCTTGTTGCCCAGTGCTGGGGGTGTCATGTCACTCTGGACGTGCCTCCGGATGTCGCATTGCCTGTCACCTGGGAGGACGTCCGTCTCTGGTGGGGCCTTGGGGTTCTGATGTCAGAAATATCCTGTGTAAGCCCAAGAAGGGCTGAAATGTCCAAGCATGTAACGAGGTCTTCTGCTTTCTGCCCCTCTCTCCCTTCCCCGGCCTGTGTGTTCTCAGGGCAAGTCATTCATCAAAGACGCCTTGAAATGTAAGGCCCACGCTCTGCGGCACAGGTTCGGCTGCATAAGCCGGAAGTGCCCGGCCATCAGGGAAATGGTGTCCCAGTTGCAGCGGGAATGCTACCTCAAGCACGACCTGTGCGCGGCTGCCCAGGAGAACACCCGGGTGATAGTGGAGATGATCCATTTCAAGGACTTGCTGCTGCACGAGTGAGTACTGCCCCGCAGAGGGCCTGGGTGAAGGGGCCACCCAGCAAGGATGGCAATGTGTATGGGAGGAGAGCCGCGTTGCTTCTAGAGGCTGAATGCCTGTCAAATGGAGAAGGCTTCCATTTACTTCAGAAAGCTACACTGACTCTACTAAAAGGCCCCTTTCCTGCTGGCTTTTAGGAAAAGAGAGAATTCCCTCATCAGTCTCAAAATCACAAGCAACAGAAATGGGAAATCGTTTTACTAAGAATGAAATGTGTCGATTCAGTAATACTCTTCATCTTCCCCTTAGCCAAGAACCCACTAGCTCTCAGAATATTCTGAGTAGCTGTAGAGGTGTCCTTACAGACAGCAAATTGCTAATAACATTTGTTGAATATTTACTAAGCGCCAGGCACTGGGCTAAGGGCTCCTTGTGAATTTTTCACTTGATCCTCACCACAGCCCTCGTCACCTCCATTTGACAGATGAGAAAACTGAGACTCACTAAGGCAGAGCTCACACAGCTAGTGACAGGCAAAGCCAGACTTGGGACCTGGCTCCAGTCTGCTGAGCAGTCTGCCTCCAGAACCTATACTCTTAAATCCCGAAAACAGAGCTATAGATGCTTTTCCTGCCTCCTTAACTTTCCTTTCCCTTAGAAGGTTCGGTTTACCTTCTCTCATACATTAGTGCCCTCTCAGAGGAAATGCAAAACAAGTGCCAAAAACTTTAATCAGCTAAACACTTCTATGCCAAAACAAGGAAATGTGAACTTACTTATTTCAAGACTTGAAATTCAATGATAAATTCAGGATGCATCATTTCTTACAAAATATTTCAGCCACAGGATCCTAAATTTTGCAGCATGGTAAAGCATGTTGGTACACAATTGTTCCTAACATGAGGCAGGGCCAGGAGCCCCTGAAGATTTTTTTTTTAAATATTGACAATGGCTCTTTCCTAAGAGACACAGGGCAGAAAGAAAGCCACTAGCCAACCAGTTCAGTACAAGTCATTACCAGTTTGATGGCACTGTTGGTCTCTCCACGGTGACTCATTGAGCCAAATCGGTATAATTTTATGAACTCTTGATCCTCAGTTTGTGCCACAACCTTCTTCCAGTTATGTCCCTACCACACCAACACCACTTAGATGACAGAGAACAGCAAGCACCTCCTGTCTCTTTCCACTTGGTTATAAGGTCATAGGCATCTTGCAACACCCTTGCTACAGTGTTAGAATCATACAATTCATGGCGAAACTCTGCAGGAAGCTCTTGCCAAAAGCAAAACAATATTGCATTTTCCTCGAATTAGGCTAACGCCTTACAAAATATTTTTTATTCTTCAAATATTTTTAAGGGAACAATAGCAGCCACAGCATCATCAACAACAATGATAGCTGTCTTTTTTTATGTTTTTTTAATTTTTTTTCTAATGGTCTAGGCCCTTGGCCAGGGCCTTTACATGGGTTATCTCATTTATCTTTCCCAAAGATGCTACAAGATAGAAATTACTATGCCCAAGAGGAGGAAAGTGAAGCTAAGAGATTAGAGAACTCGGACTGAGGTTTGATTCCTGCTTTTAAGCTTCGGAATTGCTGGTATACATGACTGAAGCCAGTCATCAGGAATAGACTTCAAACCTGCTCCCAGCCTATTATCTCCCTCCTAGACCTGAAAGGGCTCACAGCTCCCCACATGTGGTGGGCTTCTTGTCCTTTTATCAAATATATCCCCATTACACAAGGAGAACACTCTAAAATTCCCTTCCTTCAGGTGCCTCTGGAAGAGAAAAATGCCCCATGGCTAGGAAACACCGTGAGCTTCACTCGCCTCTAGCCCTGTCCCCCATTAGAGAGAGTTTGCTGGCCTCAGGAATCGGTGGGGAATGGGGCCCATTCCTAGTTTATAAGGCTATAATGCATGCCTGGAGCACAGGAATTCTATCTTTCTTGGAGAAAAGTATTCTTTGGGAAAACTGAAGGTTGGAAGTCCCACCCCCTCCCCTTAATTTAAGAAGAAGGTAAAGCTCTCTGGCGTTCTAGTGTCTCCTTCTTGGGAATGTGGCCCTCGGGGCCATGGTCTCCTCACACCATTCAGAATGAGCCTATGACCCCCCACCCCAGCCTGCTCTGGAAATGCAGGCAGCCCATATAAGAAGCCTGGTCACATGCTGTTCCTCTTGCTTCCCCCTAAGTCAGCATCTCTAGGCAGGGGTCTCCCCTAACTCCAGCTTCCCAAAAACCCCCATTACCTTTCCTTCTGAAGCCATGATGTGGCGGTGCATCGACTTGTACTTCTAGCTGAACTGCCTGTTTTTTAGGTTTTTTTTTCCCAACCATCTTAACTGATTAAAGTATCCTATCAGTCCCCAAATATCAAGAAGCCCATTTCCAAATGTGTGGCATTGGTCAAAAAAAAAAAAAAAGAGAGAACTGAATTTGCTTTTCACTTTAGAGATGAGGAAATCACAGTCACCCCAGAATCTGCACCACCCCCATTCTTCAACCCAACCCCCATCCACACCAGAACACTCACCCCCAGTTAATGCTGCTCTTTTCAAGCTCTTCCTCTCCGCTCCCCTCACCCCTTCCTGCCCGCCCCACTTTCTGCACAGCATCTGTCTCCCCCTAGCTGCCGCCTGCCTGGTTTTACCCCCACTCGCCATGTCACTGGGTGCTGGCAGGCTCCAGGCACATCCCCCTCCAAGTATTTTTTAAAATCCTTTAGGCTTGCTGACACCCAGTTGAACGAGCTGGACTTTGTCATTAGACACGGGCTGAGCTTGCAGCCTCAGAAGGCACCAGGCCAGCTCGGAACACGGCTTGGATTAACTTGGTTCGGCACACACACCCCTCCCCGCAGTTCACAGCTTCCTCCTGGAGAGAGAGAGGGCCAAGGGCAGAGGACAGCATGGGCTCATCCAGCCTTCTGGGATCCAGATCCGCCCTGGGCTTCTGGGGGCTCATCTGGCAGACAGAACGCCCTGGCCGGGAAGGCGAAAGACAGTCTGCATATTCCCAAGACAGCCCTCCCCTTACTCTGGGGAAAGGAGCTTGAAGACAGCATCCAGTTAGTATCTCAGAAAGACAGACCCTCACCCCTGCAGTGTGCTCACCTAGCCCTGGTGCCGCGGCAGGCACAGTCAGGTGCTAAAATCCTGTTGCTGCTTTAGCAGACACACTCGGTGAACTTGAGCTCCGGAGGCAGTTTCTAGTTTTCAAAAAATAGAAGGAAACAAGCACGCGTGGAGCATTTCCCTCATATTGCCTCCTGCATGCCCACCTGCCCACCTCAGGGCAGTCCAAGGGACAGGGTTAGGTTGTCTTGCGCTGTCAGGGGCCTGCCTTAGGGGGTTTAAAGCCCTTTGCCCAGCGGCCATGCACAGACTTGCTGACTCCAAAGTCATCAAGCAGGCCCTAAACAGCAGCTGGATCTCTCTCAGCCAGAGCATTCCTCCTCTCTGCTCTGCTCTCAGCCAAGCCCTGGGCCCTGAAGCCCAGAAGCTTCCAAGAGCCACCTTCTCCCTGCTTTTCTCAGTTTTTGCATCCATGAGGTGAGGACAGTTCACTCAATTCCAACTTGAGGAATAATTAATAAAAAGGCAGTAAACTACTTCACACATCTCAAAACACAGTCTGCTCTTTCCACATAGCAACAACTGCCAACTTGCAAAGAAAAGGCTCCATGGGCTGTAACGCAGCCTCTCTGGTGGCCCAGACTTAGGGAGGACAAATCAGATTGCTCCTTGTTATGAATGACCTCACATTCCATGGTGACTTCCCTGCTCAAGGTGATGGCCCAAAGCTGCAATGCTTGTGGTCAGATAGATCAGAAACTTTGCCAGCGAGGACTGCCTAGGAATGCTGGTTAGCCATGTGAAACATTCTATACCCCCCTTGGGGGGTTTTAAAGGCCAGTGAGAGGTTAAAATAAAAGCTCAGTGAGTGGCCCATGAGAGCCCATTGCTGGGGACACTCTTTACCAGATGGGCCCATAAATATAAAAAGCAGATGCTCCTGCCTTCTGCACACCTTGTCCACCCCCTGGAGTAAATTATTCCAGTGGTTTTCCTACAGAACAACCCAAGACAACCGGAATGGCCTGAGGAACTGGCTCTGCCCTCCAGAACTAGGCGAGTTCATTGCACAGTGAGCTGTCTCTCAGTCCAGACACAGGGGCCCCTGACCGCCAGCCTTCAACTCCAAATCTAAGGAAGCCCAGACTGAAAGAATAAAGATGCTCAGATGGCCACACCTACTCCCCAGCCTCTGCTACTGAGAAAGGGAATCACTGCATGCACGGGCAATGACGTCCCAGGGACATGGTCTTCCTCCCTCCCACTTCAGCTCTTCCATACTCCTCCAGATGCAGAGGAAATGCATCCAATAACTTCCAAAAACACCCTTCTTCATCAGAAGCCTAAACCCGGGGCAAACACAAACATGGGGAAAATGGTTTCTTGGGGGCTTCTCATAGAGGGCACGTGGTCCTAAACCTTCATGGTTTCCTCTTCCCTACCAAAAAGAATCCTCTGTTTGGAAGTCTATGTAAGGCCCTGCACCATTTGCCTAATTATGATTCCACTGGACCCCAGAGCCATCTCCACTCTAGCTGAAACTCACCTAGTTAGTGTAGCCTAAAGGCACCCAGAGCTCTCCTGCCATTATTCACGCAGCCACCTGGATTTCTCACCATCCCCAGAGGGTCTTCCTTTTAGGGTCCTAAGCTCTTACCCTATGCACCTGTGAGCCTGGGACACAGTGGCCACCCAATAAGTGTTGGTTGAGGCCAGTACTCCATAGACTATGAGAAAAGGCTTGAAGTCATTTGAGAGAGATCTTCCACCGAACCCAAGACAAGCACTGGCCATGCCTCCTTCCCAGCATTGCCCCTGCCCTCTGTGGTCCATTCGGGACTTGCTCCATTCCCAGCCTCTCTCTCTCTCTCTCTCTCTCTCTCTCTCTCTTTGCTTTCAATCTTTAGACCCTACGTGGACCTCGTGAACTTGCTGCTGACCTGTGGGGAGGAGGTGAAGGAGGCCATCACCCACAGCGTGCAGGTTCAGTGTGAGCAGAACTGGGGAAGCCTGTGCTCCATCTTGAGCTTCTGCACCTCGGCCATCCAGAAGCCTCCCACGGCGCCCCCCGAGCGCCAGCCCCAGGTGGACAGAACCAAGCTCTCCAGGGCCCACCACGGGGAAGCAGGACATCACCTCCCAGAGCCCAGCAGTAGGGAGACTGGCCGAGGTGCCAAGGGTGAGCGAGGTAGCAAGAGCCACCCAAACGCCCATGCCCGAGGCAGAGTCGGGGGCCTTGGGGCTCAGGGACCTTCCGGAAGCAGCGAGTGGGAAGACGAACAGTCTGAGTATTCTGATATCCGGAGGTGAAATGAAAGGCCTGGCCACGAAATCTTTCCTCCACGCCGTCCATTTTCTTATCTATGGACATTCCAAAACATTTACCATTAGAGAGGGGGGATGTCACACGCAGGATTCTGTGGGGACTGTGGACTTCATCGAGGTGTGTGTTCGCGGAACGGACAGGTGAGATGGAGACCCCTGGGGCCGTGGGGTCTCAGGGGTGCCTGGTGAATTCTGCACTTACACGTACTCAAGGGAGCGCGCCCGCGTTATCCTCGTACCTTTGTCTTCTTTCCATCTGTGGAGTCAGTGGGTGTCGGCCGCTCTGTTGTGGGGGAGGTGAACCAGGGAGGGGCAGGGCAAGGCAGGGCCCCCAGAGCTGGGCCACACAGTGGGTGCTGGGCCTCGCCCCGAAGCTTCTGGTGCAGCAGCCTCTGGTGCTGTCTCCGCGGAAGTCAGGGCGGCTGGATTCCAGGACAGGAGTGAATGTAAAAATAAATATCGCTTAGAATGCAGGAGAAGGGTGGAGAGGAGGCAGGGGCCGAGGGGGTGCTTGGTGCCAAACTGAAATTCAGTTTCTTGTGTGGGGCCTTGCGGTTCAGAGCTCTTGGCGAGGGTGGAGGGAGGAGTGTCATTTCTATGTGTAATTTCTGAGCCATTGTACTGTCTGGGCTGGGGGGGACACTGTCCAAGGGAGTGGCCCCTATGAGTTTATATTTTAACCACTGCTTCAAATCTCGATTTCACTTTTTTTATTTATCCAGTTATATCTACATATCTGTCATCTAAATAAATGGCTTTCAAACAAAGCAACTGGGTCATTAAAACCAGCTCAAAGGGGGTTTAAAAAAAAAAAACCAGCCCATCCTTTGAGGCTGATTTTTCTTTTTTTTAAGTTCTATTTTAAAAGCTATCAAACAGCGACATAGCCATACATCTGACTGCCTGACATGGACTCCTGCCCACTTGGGGGAAACCTTATACCCAGAGGAAAATACACACCTGGGGAGTACATTTGACAAATTTCCCTTAGGATTTCGTTATCTCACCTTGACCCTCAGCCAAGATTGGTAAAGCTGCGTCCTGGCGATTCCAGGAGACCCAGCTGGAAACCTGGCTTCTCCATGTGAGGGGATGGGAAAGGAAAGAAGAGAATGAAGACTACTTAGTAATTCCCATCAGGAAATGCTGACCTTTTACATAAAATCAAGGAGACTGCTGAAAATCTCTAAGGGACAGGATTTTCCAGATCCTAATTGGAAATTTAGCAATAAGGAGAGGAGTCCAAGGGGACAAATAAAGGCAGAGAGAAGAGACAGAACTAAAAATACGAGGAAAGGAGAGTGAGGATTTTCATTAAAAGTCTCAGCAGTGGGTTTCTTGGGTTATTTAAAACATCACCTAAATAGGCCTTTTCTTCCTAATTGGCCATCAAATTAAAGCCTATCCTTTCTCAAGCAGGAGCTGGTATTGTAGGGAGTGGCCGGGTATTCTGGGCTGGGCTCTTCTGGAGTAGGGGGTCAGCAAACATTGTCTGCAAAGGGCCAGATACTGAATCCAGTACTTTCAGTTTGGCGAGCCGTGAGGTCTCTGTCGAAACTACTCAACTCTGCCGTCCTAGCACAAAAGCAGCCATAGACAACACACAAACGAGAGGGCTTGGCTCCCTTCCAGGAAGATTTATTTAACAGGCTCCCAGCTGAATTTCACTCACAGGACACAGTTTACTGATCTCTGTTCTAGTGAGTGGGTCAAAAAGCATATGCATCCTTATCCGTCAACTCATCAGCTCTTCCTCAAGGCAACCTGAGGCCAGACACCAAGAAACCAAGCGTATCTGCTCTAAAATGACTTGTTCCTGGGGAATGCCTTCAACCAAAACACAGCTAGTATTTCTATGCCCCAAATCCAATCCCAGTCTTTCATGATCCATGCCGGCGGTTGGGTGGGGAGGGGAATCATTGGTTGGGGGAAGGGAGGAAACCCCACCTCCAGCCCCCGCCACCGGGCTCCCTGGGCACCCAGCAAGATCTGGGGCTGCAGAGAACAGAAGAGCTGGTGCACTTAATCCAGCTCTGCCCTTGGGGGGAGGAGGACCTGTGTGTCAGGCTCTGCCATGGGAACGAGTGTAAACCGTGGCTGTCTCCTGCAGTGAGCCACCGCGGCAGGCACGTTGACTGTTTTACTGACATCACTCAAAAGCTAAAGCAATAACATTCTCCTGCGTTGCTGAGTCAGCTGTTCATTTGTCCGCCAGCTCCTGGACTGGATGTGTGAAAGGCATCACATTTCCATTTTCCTCCGTGTAAATGTTTTATGTGTTCGCCTACTGATCCCATTCGTTGCTTCTATTGTAAATATTTGTCATTTGTATTTATTATCTCTGTGTTTTCCCCCTAAGGCATAAAATGGTTTACTGTGTTCATTTGAACCCATTTACTGATCTCTGTTGTATATTTTTCATGCCACTGCTTTGTTTTCTCCTCAGAAGTCGGGTAGATAGCATTTCTATCCCATCCCTCACGTTATTGGAAGCATGCAACAGTATTTATTGCTCAGGGTCTTCTGCTTAAAACTGAGGAAGGTCCACATTCCTGCAAGCATTGATTGAGACATTTGCACAATCTAAAATGTAAGCAAAGTAGTCATTAAAAATACACCCTCTACTTGGGCTTTATACTGCATACAAATTTACTCATGAGCCTTCCTTTGAGGAAGGATGTGGATCTCCAAATAAAGATTTAGTGTTTATTTTGAGCTCTGCATCTTAACAAGATGATCTGAACACCTCTCCTTTGTATCAATAAATAGCCCTGTTATTCTGAAGTGAGAGGACCAAGTATAGTAAAATGCTGACATCTAAAACTAAATAAATAGAAAACACCAGGCCAGAACTATAGTCATACTCACACAAAGGGAGAAATTTAAACTCGAACCAAGCAAAAGGCTTCACGGAAATAGCATGGAAAAACAATGCTTCCAGTGGCCACTTCCTAAGGAGGAACAACCCCGTCTGATCTCAGAATTGGCACCACGTGAGCTTGCTAAGTGATAATATCTGTTTCTACTACGGATTTAGGCAACAGGACCTGTACATTGTCACATTGCATTATTTTTCTTCAAGCGTTAATAAAAGTTTTAAATAAATGGCTTCCACTTGAGTAGCGTCATTGTCTGAGAGGGTCATTGATGTCCGGTGCACAGGGGGACAGCTGTGAGCAAGTGGGCTTTTACGTCAAGAGAATCCTATGCTTCTGTGGATGTTCAGCCTACAGGGAAGGAAGTTAGATGAAGAGGACTACCCTAGGCTTCTCCGTCAGAGGGACCCTGTCCAAGCCCCTGCCTGAGTCACCCAGACAAGGAGGAGAATAAATTTCATGCAGTTGGCCTGGAAGTGCCACCCCCACACCCCATTAGGCAGGTCCTTAAGGCTCACTCTGGTCTCACCTTTGAGTCTCCCCTGTGAGTCTCCCCTGTGGCTTGGCCACCCCTTCTCTCAGACTGAGCCTGCAGCAGACACCACCAGCTTAACAGCTGAGTGGCCTGGCATATAGAGGGAAGCCCACTGCCTCCTCCCCAGCTCTTGCTCACGACAGCAGAACAGAGCTGGAGCCCCTGGTTTACGTGATCTGTGCCACTGTTGGTGTACCTACTATGTTCCAGGCACCACAGTAGGCATTTTGCATGCATTATTTCATCCTCATTACATCCCACAAATAATAGGTATTATCCTCATTCTACAGGTGAAGAAACTGAGGTACAGACTTGTCCCAAACTGTGTGGCTAGTGAGTGGGGTGGGGTCTGAACTCAAACTCAGATCAGGACTCCTAAGCCCACACACCTTCCCCTACTTCAGGCCTAGAATCTCCACTTTAAATTTATTTTTAAGTTAAACCAATCAGTGTTATGCCTATTTTACACGAGGCTTGGGGAAAGAATAATTATACTCTTACATTTATAGTTCCAGGCCTCCAAGGAGTTCTGCTTCAAAATGGAAAGGAAAGTTAATGCTCTCACCTTTACTCTCTGCAAAGACTCAAATTTTGGTTCCGATAAGGAAAGCAGGAGAATCGTGGAGCCTCCTCATTTTTCTTTGCATGTGGATAATTTTTTATAAGATTCTTCTCATGCACCACTGGGAAAGCATTTGGGGAGCATCTGGTTTTCTTGAAACATGCAGCTGGAGCTTTCCTCACTAAACTCACCCCATCACCTTTCTGAGAAGCCAGCCTCCTCCAAACCCTTCACCAACATCATCACCCTCATCAGGACAGCTGCAGATTCCTGGGGACCCATGATGTGCTCCGTGCCTTGCCTGGTGCTTTAGGGATATTATTTCTGAAACCCATTTTAAAGATAAAGAAACTGAGGCTTCATGACATTTAATATGCCTGGAGCCAGTCACAAGGCTAGTGAGCTCTAGAGTCAGCATGCAAATGCACCCCTCCACCTTGTCTTCTTGCACTCCAAGTGTGAACACATGGGTTAAATGCACCCAAATGAGTCGAGAAATTCAGCTGCCTCCCTCTAAGCCCCAAGGTTGTTCCAATCCAACTGTTCTGGAATTATTAGGCTGTGGGAGGAAGAAGTCAGAGAGCTTCCAAATATGCTGGGATTTAAGCAGAGTTTCCAAAGGAAGCTGGATCTATGCACCCCAAAATCTGGACACAGAAAACCAAATTGGTTCTAAAGTCAACAAAAAAGAAAGCCCCCTGCTGAGGAGGCGACAACCCCTGGCCAGAGAACAGTTTTTATGTGAATTATTTTTTGTGGGTGGAGAAGAGAAGAAAAGAGCAATAGAAGCCTTGGGCTAGGAGTCCCGTGTTGCTGCTTGCATAAGCAGTTCAGTTTTTATCACTCCCCAAAAAGAACAACAAAAAAAAGTCACTTCCCAAAGAGTACAGAAAAAAAAAAGTCACAAAGCCAACCTAGGCTTATGCATGAAATGGACTCCACACCAGGATGAACCCAGATCTCATGGCACCTTAGAATCTGTAACCACCTTGCCACCATTGAACATCACGCCTGAGCTAAAACTTGGGAGAAACAAGGAAAGCTCCTACATGGAATTCTCAGAGGCAGGGTATTGTTCACAAGGTAATGAGGAGAATCAGCTGGTTCCGTTTCCCATTCGATAAATTCCAGGAATTTTTATGGTTCTTAAAACTAAGGGGGAATGCACATGTAAAAAAGCAGTGGCATGCTAAAGAGGACAGGGACCACCTGCTTGTCCCCTGAGATATGAATAATGTTCTGCAAAGGGCCAAGGGCTCCAAAGAGGGCTTTGTTCAGAAAGAATGATCAGTCCCTAGAATTCTGTCCCAGATGTTTATTGCTGTTTAACAAAACTACTCCTGAAGCTTAGTAGGTATAAAACAACTATTTTATTTTGCTCATAATTTTACAGGTCAGAAATTTGGAAAGGGTGGTTAGACTCTTCACATGGTGGTGGCTGGGGCAACCGGGGCTGGAGGATCCACTTCCAAGATGACCTTCCCAAGATGGTGCCTCGGTGCTCCAGGCCTCCTCTCTTCTCCCGTCCCACCTCTCCCACAGTCCCCATTGTGGTGCCTCATCCCCCGAGGCCTGTCAGAGCATGGCCGTCCGGGGGTAGTCTCACTTCTTCCATAGTGACTGGCTTCCCTCAAGACAGGCTGGAGGATCTTACACCATACTCTTCAAATCTAAGCTGTTTTCACCCTTGGTACTATAAGAACCACAGGTTCTAAACTCCATGAGGACAGAGGCTATGTCATTTTTTGTACACAGTTGCCTGTATCCCCAGCAGCTCTGCCATTGCTCGGTGTGAGTGAATGAATGAATGAACGAATGAATGAAAGAAACCTCTTGTCTAAAATGGTGCCAAAATGTCAAATCAGATGAGTTTCAATTTACTTTAACTTCTAAAGCAAATATATCCTTGCATCCTTGTACAAGGGATCAACATGTCATAGAATCAGTGAGAGGGTGTCAAAATTAAAAATCGCTGGGAAGCCTGTAATTTTGAAGTCAGGAGACATAGACAGGGGTACCAATCCAGCCACCTACTCATCTTGCACCAGGTAAATCTCTTTGGGGATAAGAAGGAAATATAACTAATGACTGAAAAAATCAGGACTGGCCCTGAGACCTTGGCGAATCGGTTCCATTTTCTAAGCCTGTTTCCTTAGCTACAAAATAAGGAAACCAACAGCTATCCTGCTTTTCTCAGGGGGATGGAGGGCAGTTGAAGATAAAATGACTTAAGCTATATAAAAAGTCACAAAGCCTAGGAAATGCTTTGAAGACGATGACATGCCACGTAAAGGGTGGTGGTTATTTCTCTCGGCCATTTCAGAAGACAGTGGCCTAAAGCCAAGATCACGGATGGGATGAGCTGCCTCATGCTTTTTACTCTGTCCTGTCTCTTCTGGGGCAGGCTCAAGGTCTCTAAGGGACCCAACAGAGGGGCCAGCCCCGCAGGGTGAGACTTTGCCTGAAGTGGGCATGAGGGGTTGGAGGCTAACTAAGTGGGAGCCCTGAACGAGTCCCAGCCCCTGCCCCAGTGAGGTGAGTGGGCCCTGAGCAGCTCCTGAGCAGCCCCATGATGCTCTCACCGAGCTGAGTTCCACCAGGAGTGCCATGTGGCAAGCTCCACCGGGTGGCACCAAGGCCCATGCCCAGGAGCAGAGGGCCCTTCCTGCCAGGGCTCCCTCTGAAAACCTCAAGGCAAAGGACTTACAGAAAAGCTAATTAATAAACCTCTTTACTGAGAAAGGAAAGCAGAGCCTGACAAAGACAAGGGAGGAAAGAGATTTGGGGCCAGAGCCCACTCGGCTCTGTGCCAAGGTTCCTAAGAGTTTGACATTTGGAAAAGATCTGGCCTGCAGGAGCCAAGGATTCGGGACAGGGCTCCTTCTGGCTCCCGGGAGTGTCAAGAAGAGAAGGAGGAGGAGGAGGAGGAAAATGACTCAGCTGAAATGAAGAGAAATGTATTTTTAAAAAGTGAAACGATGAAAGGCACAAAGGAACGAAATGGAGCCCCAGGACAGGGTCCAAGTGCCTTCTCAGAGTAAGTGGGGCAAATTTTCAAAAAGCTAGAGAGCTCGCCTGTGTTTCTTAGCCAAGAATAACACCATGAAAATGAAGACAGTCCTCTGGGCTTGCCAGGCCCACCATTCTCAGAAGCCCTCCCCTCCCAGGTCTCTGTTGGGGCTCGTGCCCACCTCTGCAGGAGAAACACTGAAAGCCACCTGGCAGCAGAGACCCTTCTCCTCTCTTCCAACTTGGAAAATGCAGGCGAGGTCTGCAGCAAATGAGTTAGGCTGCACTGGGCTCACGTTCACCTAGTAAGGCAAGGACAGAAAGGGGGGTCCCATTGCTCCATCGGGTGCATGGGAACTGTCAGGGGGGCAGTGAGGAGAGGGAGATGGAAGGAGCCTCCCTCCCCTGAAGCTGCCACAGCCCCATCCCTTTCAACAGCCAAGGTCAGGTGACCCTGATTGCAAAAGTGTCATTTTGAAATATTCAATGGAGAGCGAGCACAATAATGAGATATGAGAAGAAAGAGAAGCCACTGCCTCTACCGCTCAGACCTCCCTTCTCCAGGGTCATTCAGCAAACATCGGCTTCATGCCTTCATGCTGGGTTCCTACCTCTTCCCTAGCATGCAACGCCATGGAAACTCTCATTTCTAGAGAGCCAGCATGGCTGGGAGCACAATGACCAAAGCGGCGGAGGACCCCAGGAAGGGGATCAGTTGATCAAACTCCCCTGCCCCAAGTGTCTCAAAGCAGGGCCAGGGTAGGAGGCTCCTCACAGACCTCAGGAGAAAGCAGCCTAGCTGTATTCCCCACATTCCAACAGAAAATAGCAAACCAGCAGAGAGTTCCTGGCCCTCCAGCCCCTGGGTCATCCCAGCGCCTCCAAGGAGGGAAGCCATTCCTGTAACCCCTCCAGATGGTCACCAGCACCTGGTGGGGACGTCCTCGGCCTCCTAATGGCTGCAGCTGTGCAGAAGGAATGGGGCCGGCTGCCCTCTGAGGCCCCTCCCTGCCAACCTTGAATGTCCTGAGATTCCTTTTCCAACCACCACTTGTCTAAGCAAACATGTTAGGCCAAGAGGGAAGCCACTCCATACTTATATTTCCAAGCCTGGAGCCCCAAAAGCTGCGCCCGTTAGGGTCCTCTAGGAAGCAGAGGCAGAATTAAATGCAGGGGAAACGCCATGAAGGATGATGCGAAGAACAGGCGTGGGTAGGCAGAGCCTCGGCCCATGGTGCTTTCTGACACTTTTGGAGGGACAGAGGGGACAGAAGGAGAGCTGGGCAGGACTGCAGCTCAGCCCCAAAAGTCCCTGCCAGGATGATGGGGAGCCCCAGAGTGAAACGTGAGGCCTGTGCTGGACAGATGGAGGCCCTGCTCCAGCACCTCTAGGTGCTCAGTCACTGCTGGGAGCAGCCTGGGAAGAGGGTGGCTCAGCAGGGACACCGTCAGGGGCCCTGACAGTGGGGCAGCTGGAAGCTGTGAGCAAATCTCATTCTTCACAGCAGGGAGATATGAGCAGCACACACCATGGCTACCTGAGGTCAACGCTTTTTTGGAAAAAAAAAACAAAAACAAAAACAAAACCTTTAAACAGAACACTATGCTTAGTTCCTGAGACAGGTTCTACACGTGACAAGATCTCTGGCAAGAGGCTTCACAGAGTTGTTGTAAGAAAGAAAAAACAGAAGGAATGGAACACTCATTTGCACACTGTAGGGTCCATACCTGGGGTGGGTTGGGGGGGGACAAAATGGTGGCTCATAGGCCAAATAGTGCCTGTAAGTGTGTTTTGTTTGACTTACGTGTTGATTTTTTAAACACCAGATTCGTTGCAAGCAAGTGCAAGCCACAAAAATCCAAATTTGCAGCATCTTTTCAAGAATGAAAACATCTGCCAATACTGAGCCCACATTCCAGTTCAACACAGTCCCCACCACTCCGTATTGTCTCCTACCCTGTCCACTTCACTCAAGGGCTTCACCAGCCTGGCCCTCGCAGGCCTCCTGCCCACATTCACAGGTGCATCTAAGCTATTCATGGTCATCCCATTTCTTAGGGGGATATGAAGAAGAATATTCAGGAAACCAAACAAGAGTTCCTGAAAATTAGAATAAGAGAGAAAAAATAAAAAATACAATAAAACAGTTGGAAGATCAATTTGAGAAAATCTCTCAGAAAGAGATGGGCCATGGAAGGAAAAAGATAAGAAAGTCAGAGGATCAGTCTAGGAGATTTAACACCCAAGTAGTAAGAACATTAGAATGAAGGAACAGAGAAAATGGTAGAGAGAAAATTATCTAAGAAATAATAGTACAGAACTGAATGGTAAGAGATTCCAGATGTAAAAGGCCTGCAGAGAACCCAAGGCAGTCAATGAAAAGTTTCCCAACAAGACACATTCTTGTGAAATTTTGAAACTCCTACTGGTAAAGAGGAAAATCCCAAAAGGTTCCTGGAGCAGGGAAAAAGTCACATAAGAAGGATCAAGAATCAGTATGGCATCAGACTTCTCAACAGCAACTTTGGAAGCCCAAAGCCAGAGGCTCAATGTTTCAGCCTGCCAAGGGAAAATAATTCTAAACCTAGTCAGATCATCAATCAAGTGGGCTACTATCAAGATGTATTTCAGGCATGGAAGGTCTCAAAACATTTCCTTCTCAAATATCCTTTTGCATGGAGCTCCTGGGACTGTGCTCCACCAAAAATGAAGTACACTGGCTAAGACATAATCTGATTCAGGAAGCAGAGATCCAGCCCAGGAAAGAGGGCAGGGTCCCAGAACGTGCAGCTGTGCAGTGGTGGAGACAGCAGCCAGCCCCACCAGGAGGTGGGGACAGGAGGGGCTGCAGGTGATCATTGCATGGTTCTCTCAGATGGCTTGGGGATAAGTCAGTTATGATTAAATTTGGTACAGATAGCAAAGCCAAAAATGAGCAAAAGACTTGAACAGGCATTTCACAAATAAAGATGTTCAAGCAGCCCATAAGCACATGAAGGGGGCCTCAATATCATTAGTCACCAGGAAAATGGAAATTAAGACCACAATGGCAATCACTATCCACCCAGCAGAGTAGATAAAATTAAGAACAACAGACAAGCCCAAGTGTTACAAGTCAGCGAAGCAACTGGAACTCTCATTTGCTCCTGGCGGCGGCATGAATGGTACAACAACTTTGGAAAACTCTTTGGCAGTTCTTTTTATTTTATTTTATTGTTATTTATTTATTTATTTATTTGAGACAGAGTCTTGCTCTGTTGCCCAGGCTGGAGTGTAGTGGTGCAATCTTGACTTACTGCAACCTCCCTCCACCTCCCAAGTTCAAGCGATTTTCCTGCCTCAGCCTCCTGAGCAGCTGGGATTACAGGCATGTGCCACCATGCCTGGCTAGTTTTTTTGTATTTTTGGTAGAGACAGGGTTTCACCACTTTGGCCAGGCTGGTCTTGAACTCCTAACTTCAAGTGATCTACCTGCCTCAGCCTCCCAAAGTGCTGGGATTACAGGCATGAGGCACCGCACCCAGCTGGCAGTCTCTTATAGTGTTAAACGTAGACCCATCAATGGCCCAGCAATCCCAGTCTTAGGAATATCCAGAAAAGTGAGTGCCTATGTCCACAAAGATACTGGTACAAGAATATTATAGCCAAAAACTGGAACCAGCCAAATGCCCATCAAATAAGGGACAGATAAACAGACTGTGGTGTTTCCATCCAAGGAATATTACTTGGATGGAAATATTAAAAGGAATTTAAAGGAATGAATGGCTGATTCACACCACAACTTGTGGATCTCAAGACATTATGAAGCCAGGCAGAAAAGGACACATGTAGTAGGAGTCTATTCATATGAGATTCAAAAACAGGAAAACTAGTCTATAGGAATAGAAGTCAAAACAGTGATTATATCCGGAGAGAAAAGCATAGGCAGGTATTAACCGGATAGGAACACAAGGGAACCTTCAGGGATGACAGGAATGTTCTATATCTTGGCCTCGGGGGAGGTGTCACAGGAGATCATGTGTAAAAGTCATTAAGCTGTGCACTGAAGATTTGTACATTTTACTACATGTAATTTGTTCCTTCACAAAGTACTGAAAGAAAAGAGAACTAGACACATCCCAAAAGATACATTATTAATTCCATGCAAAGTAAAGAGTTATTTTCAAAAACAAAATGTCATCCTTAAAACGCTCCCTGCATAGGGACTTAGCTCAGATGTGAACAATATTCACACGGGTGTAATAAGGGACAAATGCACTATATGTGGATTCAGCCAGTCATCTGCACTGGGAGGATGAGCAGAAGGACAGTGTTTGGGGCAGTAGCAGAGGATTGGGGGTGAACAGAGAGCTGAATCCCAATATTTTGTAGGAAGATGTCAATAGATAACATCTAAAATAAAATAAACACATAAACAAGACATAGCAGCAGAGCTGTGTTGTTCAGCCATCTGGAGGGAAATACTAGAAGAAACAGCTCAAGGGCAGCAAGTGATTGTCTCTGGGAGTGGGATTCAGTGGTGGGAAACTGTACAGCTACTTGTAATTTGGTTCTGCTAGAATCAGTTTTAGCAAAAAGAAACTGGAACTCAAAGCAAAATCCCTTACTTAAAACAGAAATGTGGCCAGGCGCAGTGGCTCACGCCTATAATGCCAGCACTTTGGGAGGCCAAGACGGGCAGATCACCTGAGGTCAGGAGTTCGAGACCAGCCTGGCCAACATGGTGAAACCCCGTCTGTACAAAAAGTACAAAAATTAGCTGGGTATGGTGGCAGGTGCCTGTAATCCCAGCTACTTGGGAGGCTGAGGCAGGAGAATCGCATGAACCTCGAGGCGAAGGTTGCAGTGAGCCGAAATCATGCCATTGCATTCCAGCCTGGGTGACAAGAGTGAGACTCCATCTCAAAAAAAAAAACCAAAAAAACAGAAATGTATTTCTATCTCAGACAAAAGGCTGGAGCTTCGCAACTCAGGGCTGCTCCACAAAGTTCTAGAAGACTAGATCTCCTTTTTCTCACTGCTACACCATGCATGGCCTCCATTTCCAAGATGTCCTTCTTGATCAATATGGCTGCTCCAGCTCCAGCCGTCGAATCCACCTTCCAGTCAGCAGGATGGAAGATGGAAGGGACAAAGATGAAAAAGGGTTCACACCCTCTGTCTTTTTAGGCAGTTTCCCCCTAAGCTACTACATAACACTTCCAGCCAGAACCAAGTCCTCACTGGCCAGAACCTAGTCCCATGGTTACTCCTAGGTGCAAAGGAGGCTGGAAAATACCATCTATATTCTGGAGTGCCATAGCCAGCTATGGAACTAGGGAGTCTCTGCCATTAAGACTTGTATTTAAAGTTGTCAACTATCTATACGTATTACTTTGATAAAATGTAAAATGTAAACAAAAAGAAATAGCATGAGCTGCCAATAGACAAAGTGAAGAGTACTTGGGCAGGGTGCATTGGTCCTAAAGCACACACCTGGGCAGATAGTAGGGATGCCTGATGAGATCAGGACCACCACCCCGGCCCCCCAGCACAGTCCAGGAACCAAAAGAGGAGCTCTAGGAGGAAGACTAAGAAGCTGGCCTGGCAGAACGAAGGCATTAGGTGCACACTGTCACTATGGGGCCAAATAACTCCATGTCAGCATCCTTGCTGATAGCCTCAAATGCTCAACTCTTTCTGGCCTTCCACATTTAGACCAGTGTTTAAAAAAATATTGTCTCACGATGCCCCCCAGTAAGGTGGAAATGGTTATTCCTACTTTACAGATCAAGAAACAGACTCTCAGAGGTAAAGCAACTTCCCCCAGGTTGTAACTGGAGGGTCTTAGGCTTAACCTCAGGAATCCAAAGACTAAGTCCAGGTTCCTGTCCTCCGAGGGGTCTGCCACCCGCAGCTTTTGGGTTCTCTGCAGGGCCAAATCAGGCCTGTCAATAAGTCACGAGAAGCAATGATTCATTTGAAGACAAGATACACAACAGGGAGGCCCGGTGGAATGAGCAGTCCTGTTTCCTAGGAAGTCGGCCTTCTGCAGGGCTGAAAGAGTACACAGTTAGCAGGGAGGATCCCCTTCTGCAAACACCAGCACAGCAGTTTCCAGACAAAGAGAAAGTGCTGCTGGTGCTAGCCGGGAGGTGCAGTTATTTCAATCCTCAAAGGGCTTTTGTCAAGACGAGGCCACGAGCTGGAGCATATAGAATTCCAAGTTTTTCCCTTCCGATTCCTCCAAAACCAGAAGGGAAAGTCGTTCTGCACTGCTCTAACAATATTTGCCCCCTGAGTACCATCTGAGAACCTCAGAATGCTACACTAACATTTCTGAATAAAACTGCAGAACCTCCAAGTGACCTTGGGACGGTCATTGCCTCTCGCCGCACCCCACGTGTCATGGAAGGTGCTGGAGAGACACTGTGGTTCTTGGAGAGAAGGAGGCAAATTGGCAGAGGGCAGAAGGAGTTTACTGTCCCCAGAACCCATCCTAGCCATGCCTGTCTGGATGCAATGAATGCATGAGGACCAGCCAAAGCCCGGAGCTCAGATGGTCCAACCAAAAGGGGCAGGCAGATTAGGGAGAGCCAGGCAGACAGAAATAGGTGAAGGGCAGAGCAGAAATGTGCACGGCCTGGCAACAGGGACCTAGCTGGAGGTTCCTGGACAGCGCTCAGCACCTGCAAAGACTCGGATCACGGCAGGACCCCCCACCCCCAGATGGAATCAGGTTTCAAGTGAAGAATCCGGGTAGAGCTGAGTCATGGCAGGGTCACTGAGAAACAAGACAGGAGAGGGGCCTGCTGGGGCTGTAGGTCACAGTGAGGTGACAACCGTAGTGTTGACTCAGCCAGAGAGACATTAGAGGAAATGTTCACACTCACACTCCTGGCTGGTCACAGAACTGATGCCAGAGTCTGCAGTTGAGGCAGCTTCAAATGTTAGGGGACTATGAAGACTGACCGGGCACCACGGAGGCAATTTGCTCAGCAGCAACCGCTTTGCCCCTCCCCCTGTTTTCTTACTGAGGGAAATCTTTCTCCAAATCATCAGAGCCAAGCAGGTGACCTTCAGTCCAGGACTGTCACCCTCCTACAGCCCCTAGAACTAATCCCCGCTCCTCCTTGACCCCTTCCCAGACTCCTCCAGCTTGAACGAACCTTCCCAATGCATGAGTTTTATCTCTGACCCAATTTAAATCTTCTATTTTAAAAAGTTTTTTTTTTAAGGTGTTCCCCAGATGTTTAATTTTATGTTGCCCAGGCTGGTCTCAAGCTCCTGGGTTCAAGCAATCCTCCCACTTCGGCCTCCCAAAGTGCTATGATTACAGGGGGTGAGCCACTTATAATAATAGAAGGCCCAGCCTTCTATTATTGTGTTTAAATGACTTACTCTCACTCCACCCCATCCTCCAGCACACTGTCACATAACCAGAAGAGTTCAGTAAATATCTTTATTGGTTTTTTTTTTTACTTGACTTGAAAATATCTAGTTAAGGACATAAAAGAACAATACCACCAAATAACAATATACAAATAAGCACAAAATGATACCATGCAAATAACAATTACCAGTCCTGAGGGAGCGTTGAAAAGGATAAGTGAATCTGTAAGAGAGGGCACTGATCTAGGGAGGTTGCATGGAGGAGGCCAGTTCTGAACCAGCTACTGGGAAAAAAATAGAGTTTGGGTTAATAGATTAGACTTATTTTGGTTGTAAGCAATAGCAATCTAATTCAAAGCAGTTTAAGAAAAAGAAAAAAGAAAAAGGATGGAAGGAGGAAAACAAGAGGGAAGGAGGAATAAATAAAGGAAAAAATAGAGGAGACTATATTGCCCCAGGTAATGGGAAACAGGCATGGCCGGTTCCAGGTGCTCAAATGATAACATCAGGAATCCACTTCTCTCCATTCGGCTTTCTTCTGTGATAGCTTCATTCCCAGGCAGACTCCCTGCCAGGTAGCCCCCCGAGTTAAATGCACAGATTTGCAATGCCAGTACGGAGAGGGAGCTTCTCTTTTTCAGTAGTTGAGGGGGCATTTAAAACACACACACGCATACATACACACACACACACACACACACACACACACTTTTGTTGTAAAGAGATATTAGCAGGATGATTTGTTACTGCAGCTTAACTCGGCCTGTCCTGAGTGATATATGCTTCACTGGTCTAGCTTGGGACACACACTCATCCTTGTGGCCAGAGGGGCACAGTGCTCTGATTGGCCAGGCTGAGTCACAGTCTAGCCTCCAGCCATGGATCTGAGGGCCAGCCCCACCCTAATCACAGGGTTTCAGATTTCCTTCAAAAGAAAATCAAGACGAGGTTGCCAAAAGAGAAAGGGGAATTGATCACTGGGCAACAAAACTCAGCAGGGTTCAACAAGCACTTGGCAGAATGTGGAGGGAGGGTGGGCACCCTTCACCTCAACAGTTTCTGGATCTGGGGCCCACTGCTCTGTCTAATACCCCCCACCCCCGCCACAAGGCACATGTACAAAGGTGCCAAGCTCCCTGCCTCCCCACGGGTTCCACAGGAGAGCCTGGGGCTCCCAGCACAGGGACAGGTTCTAGCCTCCCGCCCTTTGCCGCCCACCTCCTGGTGTAGCCAAGACTCCCAGCTGAGACAATCTCCCAGCCCTGCAGGGAGACCTGAAGGTGTCTGAGAGTGACATGGAGGCCAAGCGTCCACACCTGCAGCCTCTGAGGGCCACCAAATCCCACCCAGACCCTCCCAGCAGCCAGCACACGGATGCTCACACATCATTCCGGCAAAGCCCATTCCTCCGGGAACTAAGCGAAGCCATCCACACTTCTAGCCCTGCCATTCCCCTACATATTTTTAACCTCCTGGGCTCAAGAGTTCAATCCTGCTTGTCTGCCTCTCCCACAGCCCCCTGAATCCAGCCAGAGTCCGTACGTCACACTTCCTGCAGCAGGCCCGAGGGTCAGGAGTTCATCCCATTGAGCCATTGCCTGGGCGGGGCGGGGGTCCTAATGAGCATGACATCCTCCCCCAAAGCTCCAACAGCTGTGTTTCCCCCTTGCTTGGAAGGAAGGAGACCACGTAGAGCAGCAGAAAGAATTTCGTGCTGCAGAAATGCTCAGGGTAGGACTCACAGTCAAAAGGTCAGACTCTCAGGATTTCAGGCAGGTCATTTTTTTTGGTTTCTGCCTCGGTTTTCCTGTTGGCAAAATGGGGCTGAAAGGGGCAATTTTAGAAAAGCAAACAAGCCTGTGATGGGGTACCAGCTTCTCCGTTCCAGCTCCACTGGGTCAAACAGCAGTCCAAAATCAAGCCAATCCTTTTACAGAGAATTTTCTAGACTCCCAGACCCACTTTAGGAAAGAGAACTGAGAGTTGAGCGTGGTGGCTCTCACCTGTAATCCTAGCACTTAGGGAGGCTGAGGCAGGGGGACCATTTGAGGCCAGGAGTTCAAGACTAGTCTGGGCAACAGAGTGAGACCCTGACAGAAAGGAAAGGAGAGGAGAGGGGAGGAGAGGGGAGGGGAGAGGACGGGAGGGGAGGGGAGGAGAGGGGAGGGGAGGGGAGGAGAGGGGAGGGGAGGGGAGGAAAGGGAAGGGGAGGGGAGGAGAGGGGAGGGGAGGGGGGAAGGGAGGGGAAGGGAGAGGAGGGGAGGGGAGGGGACGGGAGGGGAGAGGGGAGGGGAGGGGAGGGGAGCGGAGGAGAGGAGAGGAAAGGAAAGGAAAGGAAGAAAAGAAAGGAAAGGAAGAAAAGAAAGAGAGAGAAAGAAAGAAGGAAAGAAAGAAAGAAAGAAAGAAGGAAAGAAAGAAAGAAAGAAAGAAAGAAAGAAAAGAAAGAAAGGAAGGAAGGAAAGAAAGGAGAGAAGGAAGGAAGGAGAAAGAGAGAGAAAGAAAGAAAGAAAGAAAAAGAGAGAGAAAGAAAGGAAGGAAGGAAAGAAAGGAGAGAAGGAAGGAAGGAGAAAGAGAGAGAAAGAAAAAGAAAGAAAGAAAGAAAGAAGGAAAGAAAGAAAGAAAGACAAAGAAAGAGAGAAAGAGAAAAAGAACTGAGGAATGAGGGTCTAGCTAAGCGTGTGTGGTCAGTTCTCTGTCTATACCTGCTGCTGGGTAGAGTAGAAAGCCAGAGGGTTGAGCCATCAGCTGATGGCCTTAATGGCTGCTAAGCATCTCTTGAAGGTGACCAGAAGCTGGCCAAGGAACGGAAGCAGGACAGGCCACAGTGTCCCCAGAACACTGGGCCTGGCCTCCTACACTGTGCCTGAGAGCACCACAGGAAGGGGCGCCTCTGAGAACTCGCAGCTGCCACGCTGAGTTCTGTGCACACTTATAAAGGCAATGAGGGCCACAGTGACAAAGAGAGTCCACAGTCTGGGGAGTGGCTTGAAGAGAATTAAACATGCAACGAGGTCAGAAGAGGCAACAGAGAGGTGGATCCCAGCTGTTAGTCTAGAACTCAAAAGTTATTTATTAAAAAAAAAAAAATACACAGTAGAAATTTTTAAAATCTAGTCAACGCACCTTCTATGCTCTATGCTGGGATGAATACAACTGAATATAAGGTTCTGAGCCTTCCAGGAAGCAAGGCTGACCATAAGGCCTGTGTGTGGAAGGGGCTTCAGAAAGCCAGATCCAGCAAAATCATTTAAACAGAAATAGAGTGAGTCCTGGCCATTGTATTAGATGACTTCAGTTACCAGTAGCAGCCACCGAATTCACACTGGCTTAAGCCAACAAGGAGGATTTATTGGTTCACTCGACTAAAAAGGTCAGGGTCCAAGTTTCAGGCATAGCTGGACCCAGGCTCAGACAGGACCATGAGGCCTCCACCTCCTCTTCTCAGTGTCTCAGCTCTGCCTCCCTCTGTGCCCGCTTCATTCTAAGATGCCGCGTGGCATTGCCGAGGCTGCAGGCTCCCAGCCTCCTTCTCACGGGCAATCCTGGGGAAAAAGGAGCTTCTCCTCCCAAGGGTCCTCATTGGCCCTGTTTGTGTCACTATCACTGTGGTCAGGGACAGGGAATACACTGACTGGGCAGACCTGGGCCTCATTAGGGGGCCTGATACAAGGGTCTTGAACTTGGGAGGCCTGGGCTGGAAATAGAAAAGGAAGTCATGCCGGGCGAGGTGGGTCACACCTGTAATCCCAGCACTTTGGGAGGCCAAGGCGGGAAGATCACTTGAGGCCAGGAATTCAAGACAAGCCTGGGCAACATAGCACAGAGACCCTGTCTCTACGAAAAACATTTTAATTAGCTGGGTGTGGTGGCACGCGCCTGTAGTCTCGGCTACTCCGGAGGCTGAGGCCGCAGGATCACTTGAGCCCAGGAGTTAGAGGTTACAGTAGCTATGATTGCACCACTGCAATCAGAGTGGCGCTCGGAGCAAGACAGACGGAAGGGAGGGAGGAAAGGGAAAGCAAAGGGAGTTCCGGGATCCAGATGGAGCTCAGGGTTACCCAGCTTTGCCGCTGACTAGCTGTAGGGCCTTGGGCAAGTCATTACCCCTCCATGAACTTCTGTTTCCTCATCTGTAGATGGGGGTCATGATACCTACTGCGGATGGCTGCTATAGAGATTAAGCATGATAAGTTATGTAAGTTAACCGGCACAGGGCACTTAGCAAATAGTAGCTACTAGTATTCTTTTCTCTACGTCTTCCATTTGTTTCTCACTTCAGTTTCCCTTTGCCTTGTTTCCACCTTAAGACGGCCTGGGGCTGGCCCTTCAGCATCACTCAGTACCCTGGGAAGTGCAGAGGCTAAAGAGAGGGCCTGTCCTGCCATTCATTCCCACGTGTTCTTGGAGCCCTGATCTGAGAGACAAATTGGAGATGCCAGGAGCCAGCCAGGGGGCTGAGGTTGAGATGGGGTTCCAAGGGGCTGGGGGAGCAGGGAGTTCCATCCGCGCTGGCACCACCTGGGAATGTCCAGTGCAGAGCCCCCAAGAATACAGCTCCGGTTTGGAAGCATCAAGGCAGGAATGGAGCTGGGACTGCCAAGCTGGGAGGGCGGGAGCAGGAAAGGGAAGCAAAGGGAAGAGAAGGGGCAGAGAAATGACCCATGGAATCCAACAGCTCATCAGGGACGGGAGACCTCCTCGGCAAGGCTCTAGGGCCCGGCTGGGGCCATCCCTGAGTTCTGAGAGATTTGTGAAATTCTTTGAATTCAGAAAAACATCAGGACAGCCCGACCCACTGTTCCTGGAAAGGGCCACATAATGATGACAGCAGCAGTTATGGCCAGGAAGCCGGGTGGGAATCCAGGGAGGGACGGTCACAGGGAAGAAAGAGCGGCCACCGATTTCAGAAGAGCAGCCATCCCAAAAACCCTCTCACGCCCTTCCCGTCATCTCTGCCTTCGCAAGAGTCTTCTCACCGAGAATGCCTCCCAGACCTTCCAGCACGCAATGAGAGTTCTCCAGCTGAAAAGAGCCCCCTTTCTCCTTTTCTAATCCTCCCTGCAACCCAGAGGAACAGCAGTTCTACAGACAATAGGGCTGCGAAGGGAGGCTGGGCCTGTGGGCTCGCAAGAGAGCAGGGAGAGCGGACAATGCCGGGTGTCTGTCACTCCTGGACTGGGGGTCCTTGGCAAGTCTCATTTCCTTGTTTGGAAAGTTGAAATAACTATTTCTCACAGGGTTTCCAAAAGGAACAAAAATAATGTATTTGAGAGTACTTTGCAAAATCTCAGGAGCAGTTTCAATGCTAGTTTTTAATATTATTATGAGCACCTGCAGAAGCCAGTCCTCTGTCCTTCACTCACCCGCAACCTCTGTGTAGCAGACGCTGCCATGGCCGTGCCCCACCCTCACACCAGCACACTCCGTGCTGGGACACACACCTGTGCCTCTCTCCCTGGAGGCTTTCCCAAGGCCTGTGCATGGGGCAGGCAGAGGTGCTGGGGAGCTGGTAGCCGTAGGAGCAGCCTTTAGCCGGGACAGACACTCCTGCTGTTTTTACCTGCTTGGAGCCCACTCTGTCTTCAGGTAACTGCACGACAGTTTGGGGACAAGGGGAAACTCCCCTCAATCCATGTGCTACAGTTGCGGGGACCAGTCCCTCCCAGCAATCCCAGGTTAGCCAATCAATATCGGAGGCTACTCGGGAATGAGCCTGTATCTGTCCCCAGGCCAGGGGACTCACGGTGGGGAGGCAGCTGGAGCTGGCAGTGGAGGCCTGCCCGAGAAGGCAGTGGTCTTCGATGGGCTTCACAGGAAACAGATTCAAGACAGAAAATTGCAAGGTTTGTTGCGAAGAGCAGTCAGGAGATGCCCCTGCACGGAATGACCAGGCGGGAGTGGGCAGCGGAGAAGCCGGCCCACTGTGCCATAGTAAGTGAGGCCGCCGCTGGTCCTACAAGGAGAGCTGAACATGGTGATCCTGCAGAGTAGTCCCAAGGGCATCAGGAGTCAGCAGCCACAGGCCAGCCCACTGGAGGTGGGGCGTGACCTTGGGTGAGGTGTTCCTGGAGTCCAAGGGCGATTCCTGGTGAGGGGAGGGGAGGGAGGTACTGGTGGGCCCCAGCATCAGCAGCTCGGGGACCACGGGCCCTGAGGAGGGGCTGGGGCTGCATGCGCAGCCTTCCTCCACAGAACCTGACTCTGAACAAAGCAGAGATGGGCCAGAGCAAGGAAGGCGCACTGGCGGCCCGTGTGACCCCAGGACCCACTGCCCAAGAGAGGCTCGGGTTGGGGAGGTGATGCAGTCGCTGCAGTGGAAATGGCCCCCTTCTGTGCACCACGCGTTTGCTGCAGGACAGCCTCTGGCCAGAGTTCCCCCTGGGAGAAAATGTAGGGGCAGGTCAGAGTCCAGAGAAAGCTGGAGTGGATGCATGTGTCCCCACCCTTCAGATACCCTCCGCTGGGTACATTACCCATTCGGTCATGTCCTCAGTGCACACTCATTAGTGCTGACCATGGGGGGGGCGCGGTGGGTGGCACAGATGTGAGCAAGGGGCACTGCCGTCCTTGACAAGCAGCAGGGGCTGCCCTGCTCCACCTGCTACCCTAGGGGCCTCCTGGCTTGGAAACCCAGAGGCAATGCTTCAAAGGCCTCTAGTTCTCCGCCCCCAGGTCCTCCCCTTGCAGCAGAACTCTGGCATATCCCTGGCCTTTCCTGAGTCTGAATCCCTCATCAGAGTGGCAGTGCAGCTTGCTGGGAGGCAGGAACACAGCAGCTCAGCACCTATGTTTTGGGGCCCCATGGCTGGATTCAAATACTAGCTTACTATTAGCTGTGTAAATTACTAGCTATGTAACTACGGGCAAGTCATTTTTCTGGCCCTCAGTTTTGCCACCTGTAAAATAAAGATAATAGTTTCTATGTCATAGGATGTCGAGAGGGTTGCATGATCTCGGTGGCTAGCACATAAAAATCACTCAGTGATGATAGCCGCTGTATCAATATTGTTGTGATTATTATTATTAGGCTTTGGGGATGAAAAGATGTCTTCAGCAAAACATCTCAAAATCCACAAATTTAAGAGAGATGACTCACAACCTGAAATTCCATTTTGTCACTCCTTTATCTCTCTGCTTTCTCGTCTCTTCGGCACCTTCTTGCAAAATTGCCCGAGCATCTGCCCTGTGTGGATGAGCAGCATGGAAATGGACAGCCAGAAATCAGACAAGGAAATGGAAAAAGCTATAGCCACAGACAGCAGCTGGAAAATCAGACTGGGATGCAAGTGTTGGCATCTGATTGAATGGGTGAATGCCTATGGAGCTCTAAAACAGGCCTGGGTTAGAATTCTGCCTCTGCCACTTATGATCTGTGTGACTTTTGGCAAGAGGTTTAACCTCTCTGAGCCCCATTTCAGCTGTAAAATGGGGAGAATAATACCTAACTCATAGGGCTTGGAAAGGATTAAATGAGATAATGTATGTGTTCTTGGCAGAAAATAGATGCCCAATAAATGTCAGCTCCCCTTCCCGGGAGATGAGTGCCAAGCCAAGCAGTGGAGTGGGTTACCTTTACCAAACACAAGGATAAAGTCAAGGGTCTTGTTCCAAGCACAGCCCAGTGACCACTTACATTATAAGCACTGAGGTCTTTGTATTAGGACTGAGGTCCTTACAATGAGCCTCTAGCTAGCAACTCCGTAGCTAGGATCTGGGGAGCTGCCTTTAACAAGAACACACGGATTGCCTAGTTCATCCCTAGTCCTGGGGTTCTGTGGTTCATGAGACCTAGTGCTCACCCAATGAGGTGCCCATGGCCCTATTTCTTTTTTCTTTTCTTTTCTTTTTTTTTATTATACTTTAAGTTTTAGGGTACATGTGCACAACGTGCAGGTTTGTTACATATGTATACATGTGCCATGTTGGTGTGCTGCACCCATTAACTCTTCATTTAACATTAGGTATCTCTCCTAATGCTATCCCTCCCCCCTCCCCCATGGCCCTACTTCTTGGCTCCTCACCCCCCCCCCCACCCACAAGGAGGGGGCCAGCTGTATTCATTCCCACTTCACCAAGGCAGCTGATGGAGGAGAGGGACAGAGAGTGTGTTGGTCGAGAGCAATCCCTCTGAACCTTTCAGACACTCCCTGTCCTAACCTATCCTTGCAGATGAGGATTCAGACATCCCAGAGACCATGAACCTCCAGAGGCCTGGGAGCATCCAGGTCTCAATGGCCACACTGACATCCTTCAGCTTGGCACCTGAGCCCACTTGCCCACCCCGACATCCTTTGTACCTGGCAGGTGCCTCAGCAGACAGCAAGCTCCTCCAGGATCTCAGCCTTCAGAGTTGGCCAAGGCAGGAGCATTTGGAACCAGGACAGGCTTGATTTGGTGGCTGCCCCAGGGACAGGCATCCTGGACTTGGCTACCCAGAAGACCACATCTGCCAGGGCAAGTTCGAGCACTCTGGCTGGGATTTTAGGGCTTCCCACGAAGCGTCCTCCTCCCCAGACTGCTCTGATTCACTCACCCAGCACCAGGAGCAAATCCTGTACACACACCACATCCCTTCCTACATCCAGGCCTTTGTTCACGTTGTCCCCTGAACCTAGAATGCCGAGATCCTAATCTCCCTACTCAGTTACCGCCTGATTTCTCAGACCGGCTCAAGCCCCACCTACTCCAGGAAGCCCTCCTGGCCCCCTTATCTGATAGCCTGTAGTAGCTACTGTCTAGCTCACAACTCGAAACCTCTGATCATGTTCTGTAGAGTACACCCGCTCAACTGATCCAATGCAACCAATACAGTATTGGAAGCTTTCTACGAACAAGGCACCCAGAGAGGGCTCGGAGGAAGATGACAGTGCCAACGGGCACAGGGAGAATCGTGAGCTTACTGCACCTTCCCAGCAGGCAGAGTGAGCCCGTAGGACAAGAGCCCCCTTTCTCCGTTTCCCATCTGCCCTGCAGCCCCGAGGAACGGTCCATTCTACAGACAAGAGGCCTGACGCTCAGAAGCAAAGCAACTTGCCACAATCGCATCACCGGTAAGTGCCTGAACCTCATCCAAACCTGATCCCTGTGGCCCCAGAACTCACAGGAAAACCTCCTCTCATAGGAGGTTTTTAATGACACTGTGTTCATTGGCTCCTTGCTGCTGTATCTTTCTCCCCCAGTGTGTGTCTACTTCTGCCGGGCTCTCGCCCTCCCTCCTCACTCTGCATGGTGCACACACCCTTAGTGGCTGTGCATTTTCAGCTTGCTTCCTTCTTTTCTCTAAAAATCTCCGCTTTGCTCTCCCTTTATTTCGCCTTTCACGCACTGAGCAGCGATTCGTTTCCTATTCCACATCGCCACCTGGCGGCCATGGAGAGAGAACACCGCGCGTTTTTTATCAAGCGGGCAAAGGCAGGGGAATCCTCACGCCAAACGGGTTTGAAGACCTCTTCACACGGACGGCCAGGTCTCTACGGGACTCGCCCTTACACTAACTCCACTACAGCCCGCTCTGTCGGTGGAGGAAATAGACGTGGAAGGCTTCCCTTCATCACCTGGTGGCTGCCGGGCCACATCCTGTACAAGCCGGGGCCAGCTCTAAGTCTACCCCAAAGCCTCAGCGTGCCTCTTCCCTCTAACTCAGGCGAAAGTACCTTCAAGACAGTCCTGGACGCGGTGGCTTCACGCCTGTAATACCAGCACTTTGGGAGGCCAAGGCAAGAGGATCACTGGATCACTTGAGCCCAGAAGTTTGAGACTAGCCTGGACAACATAGTGAAACCCCTGTCTTTACAAAAATTGATTAATTAATTAATTGTTTAAAAGAGACTATTCCTCATTCTTTTGACATCATTTTAAATGAGAATGCAGAATATGACATTGTACATACTGATATTTGATTCCTTTTATATAACCTTTCATGTATTAAAAAACTGCACTGAAAATCTAGAATTAAGTTAAAATTGGTGTGGGTTATTTGTGAATGGTGGGATTTTTTAAATGTATTCCAACACCCATATATTCCAACTTTTCCACACTTCCAAAGTCTGGAATACTTTGAGGATGGGGAGGAAAGATATGTTTACGGTCCTTGGGAAACTGAAAAGCATTTCCTGTGATGTCCCAGGGAGCTGGGGCACAGGAGCCAGCCTTGAAGTGGAAACCCCAGGCCATCCACTCACAATCTGAGTATCCTTGGGTGAGTGATCTCTCTAACCTCCCATCGAGTCCCCTGTAAACTAGAAATAATTATAGCTGCCCACATCACTGTCTTACTATAAGAGTAAAATGAGATAATGTATTTTAAAACATTGGTATAGTGTGAGTATTCAATAAATATTCTTTGAGTGAATTTAGTGCATTGTTTTGTTTTGTTTTTTTGAGATGGAGTCTCACTCTCACCCAGGCTAGAGTGCAATGGCTCGATCTCAGCTCACTGCAACCTCCGCCTCCCAGGTTCAAGCGATTCTCCTGCCTCAGCCTCCCGAGTAGCTGGGATTACAGGCGCCTGCCACCACGCCTGGCTAATTTTTGTATTTTTAGTAGAGACAGGGTTTCACTATGCTGGCCAGGCTGGTCTCGAACTCCTGACCTCAGGTGATTCGCCCGCCTTGGCCTCACAAAGTGCTGGGATCACAGGCATGAGCCACCGCGCCTGGCCGAATTTAGTGTTTTATATACTTTGGATTGATCAGTTTAATGCAAGTGACAGAAATCCAACTCAATCCAGTTAAAAAAAAAAAAAAGGAAAGATAGAATATATTGAGTTATTAAACTGAAAACTAAAAAGATTAGGGTTTCAGGCACAGCTACATCAGTGTGCTCAAATGGTGCCATTAGAAATCTGCTTTCTCTGTCTACAGCCACACCGCCCTGGACATGCCTGGTCTTGCCTGATCTCAGGAGCTAAACAGGGTCAGGCCTGGTTAGTATGAGAAAGGGAGAAATCTGCTTTGTCTGTCTCTTGGTTCTTCTTTCCTCTGTACTGACTCAAATCTCAGGCAGTCTCTTTCAACACAATGGCAAGATGGCCCCCCACCAGGCTGCAGCTGACATCTCAGCTTCTCAGGGCCTTAGTAGGAAGAGAGCTTCTCTTTCCCAATAATTCCAACAAAATTCCTCAATGCTAATCCAAACACTAAGGCAATGCAGCCTGACCATCAGGCCTGGGAAGTCACTAGCACTCCTGCAGGAAAGGGGGTCAGGACCTGCCCTGCCCAAACCACATGATTACTTGGGGTGTTTTCCCAAAGGAAACTGGAGATGTCCTCAAAGTGCACATTAATCAAATTCAGCACAAAGCCTGTCATAAACGCAGGGTTACACTGCCCTTAAGATTAAAATGCTGATGATTAGCTTAAATACCTGTGGAAAGAGCCACAGGGCAGTGGGAGTCCAAAACGCGGATTCCACTCACAGCTATATCACTGTGTGACCTTGAATAAGCAGCGTGGCCTACCCAGGTCTCAGTTTCTCCATCTGTCCAATCAGGGGTTGGACTAGAATCCGGGCTCACATCCCTCCAGGGCTATGCAGTTAGGAAATGAGCGCAGTGGCCAGGTCAGCACAGCAGGAAGTGGCGGGGCCCTAGGAGACCTGTGAGTGCAAGTCCCATTTAGCATTGTGATGCCAGCTGTGTGCTACGAGGTCCTCTGATTTTTCAAGGCATTCTATGAAATCTCCTGATTTTTCAGTGTTAAAAACTAATTGTGATGGTTGCACAACTCTGAATTGCACCCTTGACTTGTACATTTCAATAGGTGAATTGTGTGGGCGGCAAATTATATTTCAATAAGGCTGACAGAAATGAATTCAAAAGCTTTTTATCATTTTTCAGCCTTTGAGAAAGGATGCTATGATACAGGAGAATCTTGCAAACCTTATGGGAAGTGAAAGAAGCCAATCACAAAAGGCCACAGTTTGCATGATTCCATTTAGATGGACTATCCAGAAAGGGCAAAAAGCAGATTGGCAGTGGCCAGGGTCTGGGAGGAAAGGACACGGGGAGTAAGTGCTTAAGGGGGACAGAGGTTTTTTCTGGGGTGATAAAAATGTTTTGAGACTAGGTAGTGGTGATAGTCATAAAACATTGTGAAATGTGTTAAATGTCACTGAATTGTACCCTTTAAAGTGGTTAATTTTATGTAATGTGAGTTTTCCCTCAATTTAAAAAACAAAAAAGTTTGCTAAATATTCTGCTAGCCAAATAAAACATATCTGCAGGCTGAATTGGGCCCCGTTTTTAATCACAGCCACACAGTCGCTAAGGTCCCTTTTAACATTTTCTCAGGTCATATTTCCAAAGATCAAAAACGTCACCTCCAGTCGGGGGCATGGTGACCAGCTGACCACAGCTTACAACAAAGAGGAAACAGGCATTCTCTTTCCTCTAAGTAGAGCCTCCCCCAAAATAATTTTAGGCCAGAAAATAAAAGCCTGCTTAAGCTGGAACCACGCCAGCCTTTTTCTTTCTTTCTTTCTTTTTTTTTCCTAACTGCCCTTTGCCACCATGAAGGGCAAAGAGTCGCATCTGGGTGACAGTGAGTGGACTTTGTTGACACAGCCCAACTTCAATTTTTGTGAAGTTAATAATTAGGCTGTCATCCCTCTGCTCCAGAGCAATTAGGGGCCTGCGGAGGCAATGAATGGGCTCTATTATCAAGGGAAATTATAAATAGAAAAAAGCCGGACTAGACGGGAGTTCTGCACAGCATCACTGCCCTGCCCTCTCTGTGCAGAGCTGCAGCGAGCCTGAGTGTGTTGACTCGCCTCCGGTTGACAGCTCAGATCCCAGCTGCCATCCAAAAGGGCTCTAAATTCTGCCTCTGTCATCCGAGCCTGACTTTTTATGCTGTCCAGAGCCTGGCTGAGCAGTCCAGCAGAGCAGCAGGAGAGCCCGGGTGAGATAAACGCCTTTGTTTAAGTTGCCTCCCGACTCCAGGGTCTGGAGGTGTCTGGTGCTGAGCAGGAGGAACTGGACTCAGCCTGACAGGCCAGGGTGTTGGGGACGCTGAGTGACACCCTGCTCAGTGGCTCCCTAGGTCAGGGCAGGTTCCCAGCCAGGGGTGGCAGCCCCCAAAAGTGTGGCCATGGTAGAAAGCAGCCCAGGTTCTCAGAGGAATCGTCTCCACTTGCCTTGCTTCATCCAACATCTCCAACGGGTTCATACCTAACCCTCCCTGCAAACTCTATCTGTCTGATCACAGGGAAACAAAGATTCGTAGTTCTAGAAGAAAAAGAAATCTGTCACTGTAAAGGGAGAGCAACAGTCCAAAAATGAAAACACCCACAACTAGAAAACAATGATAATAAGGCTGGGTGTGGTGGCTCACACCTATAGTCCCAGCAGTTTGGGAGGCCGAAGCAGGAGGATCACTTGAGCCCAGGAGTTCAAGACCAGCCTGGGAAATATGGCAAGACCCTGTCTCTACAAATAATTTTAAGATTAGCCAGGAGTGGTGGTGAACATCTGTGGTCCCAGCTAGTTGGGAGACTGAGGCAGGAGGATTGTTTGAGCCTGGGCAGTTGAGGCTACAGTGAGCCTGGGGAAGTTGAAGCTACAGTGATCCAACCACTGCACCCCAGCGTTGGTGACAGAGCAAGACCTGTCAAGGAAGGAAGGGATGAAAGGAAGGAAGGAAGGAAGGAAGGAAGGAAGGAAGGAAGGAAGGAAGGAAGGAAGGAAGGAAGGAAGGGAAGGAGAAAGTAAGATAGGGAGGGTGGGAGGGAGGGAGAGAGGGAAGGAGGAAGGGAGGGAAGGGGGGAGGGAGGAAAATTCATTTAAGACTCTTAAAACAACCCTATGAGATATGTGCTATCAGCCCTGAGACCTGTATTACCAGGTTTTCTGATTTTTCAAGGCATTCTATGAGATCTCCTGATTTTTCAATGTTAAAAACTGGTTTAATTAGTCGAAATTAAATGAATGTCCCCATTTCACAGGTTTGTAAACCAAGGCAGTGAACTAACTTGTCCAAGGTCACACAGCCAGTTGGTAAAATTCAAATCCAGGCCTTCTGGCTCCACAATCCATGCTCCTACCTATCATCTCTACAGCTCTTACTTCGCTTGATGGTGACGCAGATCAGGGGTGGGAAACAAGAGGGCGTGGTGGGGACTGCGGTGCCCTGGACACAGCACACTCAGACTAAAGGAAGCAGCTGCTGTAGCCGGCTGGTTGCCTTAACAGGAATGAGGACTCCAATATTTTTAAGAAAAGCTGGACATCTGGATTTAGCATGAAATCTGATTTTTAAATGTTGGTGGCCGGGTGAGGTGGCTCACACCTGTAATCTTAACACTTTGGGAGGCAGAGGCAGGAGGATTGCTTAAGCCCAGAAGTTCGAGACCAGTCTGGGCAACATAGTGAGACCTCCTATTTTTTTTAATAAAATAAAATAAATGTTGCCAACTCACTCAAAGCTCTTAAAAACACCAAGCAGATCAAACAAAGCACCTTGTGTGGGCCGCCACTTTGCAACTCTGATATGGAAGGATGCTCCTGGATCACTGGCCTGACCTCTGGCCTCACTGGGTTCCCATCAGAGTCAAAGTTCAGCTCCTTACTCTCCAGGCATCTTTCCAAGCAGAGAGAGTGAGACAGAGGATGAGCCAAGGACCTGGGCTCAAAGTTGGGCTCTACAAGAGCTGTGTGACTTTGGACAAGTCACTCACCTGGTCTGGGCCCTCATTCTCTCATTTGTAAAGTAGAGATGACAATAATTTCTGTGTCACAGGATTGCTCGGGGCCTGGATGAAAAGGACGCAGGAGGAACAGTTTGGTGGGCTATAGAGCTCCTTGCAGATGTGTTGGGGCCACCTCGCCCAGGTAGCCTCAGCCTGTGGTCTGCCAGGAGAGGTAGAAAGGAAGTGGCCCCAACCCCACCCCACGCAGCCAGGGTCTACCTCACAGCTACTTCCCCCACCTCCCGCCTTTGCACCCACACAGCCTGGAGCCTGTGCACCCCGCATCCCTGGTGACCTCGCCACCACGCTTCCTCCCAAGAGGGAGACTGCCCGCTTTGACCAGTAGACATCGCAGGCCAGCCACTTACGCCCGTACATGACACAAACTTTTAAAATCAGAGAAATATTAAAAATATTTAAAAATGAACAACCCCTATGTACCCATAAATAATTTGATGCACAATCAACTAAGTAATTATTTCCATGCACAAAGACAGGAATTACTTGCAGTATGTTTTTATGAAACTGGAGTCAGGTGCACATTGCATCTCCTTTTGACTTGCTCATTTCTCCACGCAATTGACATATGCGACTGTGTTCGTTTCAATGGTGGCACAGAGTTTCACTGGTTTTTAAACCAGTCCCCTGTAGGTGGACGTTACTTCCGATTTTTTTTTTTTCTAACACAGGCAGAGCCCCTGAGAGCACCCCTGTGCCTGTAACTTTGGGCACTTTGGGGGATGTTCATTCTTAGAGGTGGAAACACTGAGTCAGAGAAGTGAGCGTTTTGTGTGAACTGATATTATCAAATTGCCCTCAGAGGGGCTAGACCAATTAATGCTTCCTGAGCAAGGTGTGAGGAGACCTCATGACCTCATCCCCTGCGAGCCTCCTAACATCTTCCTTTTGGTCCAGGACCTTAAGAAAACCCATTCCCAGGCCGGGCGCAGTGGCTCACACCTATAATGCCAGAACTTTGGGAGACCTAGGCCAGTGGATCACTTGAGGTCAGGAGTTCGAGACCAGCCTGGCCAACATGGTGAAACCTTGTCTCTACTGAAAATAAAAAATTAGCTGATGTGGTGTGCACGCCTGTAATCCCAGCTACTTAGAGGCTGAGGCAGGAGAATCGCTTGAACCCGGGAGGTGGAGGTCGCAGTGAGCCAAGATCACACCACTGCTCTCCAGCCTGGGCAACAGAGTGAGTGAGACGGTCTCAAAAAAAAAAAAAAAAAAGAAAGAGAGAAAAGAAAACTCGTCCCCTTTGCACCCACTGATGCATCAACTAGATGCTCAAAGTTGCCTTCCAGGTGCCCTCATCCAGAATTTGTTAAACTCATCTCCTTACCTGAAATCTACTTCCTCAGTGCACTATTCACTCATTTTGGTGGCCAATCCTGCCCTCTGAACTCACCATCCCTCCACCTCCTTTATGCTTTGCCCAGCCCCTTCCCTCCTTCTCAACCCCTGCCCGTGAAACCACCTGCACCAAGCCCGCCTCCCTACTGCCCTGGTAGCCCCACCCCCACGCTCCCCATCCTCTCCGAGGGAGAGATCCCCAGCGCAGGTGTACAGGCTGCGCCCCAGATGCGTCATCACTGTCTAGTCCTCTGTCCAGGACTTGTTAAGAGAGAAAAGTGCTATATTGGGATGGTAGAAGTTTATGAGTCCTTTCATTTTCTTTGATTTATACAAGTTATTTTAAGTTGTAAAACATTTATTTACTAAGGAAAGTAAAGAAGCCTAAGGTAAGCATCACAAACTAATTTTAAAAATCGTTGTAACCAAAATATTGTGGCTGATCACAGTAGGGTACTGCATAGCTTTCTTAATAAACTCTGAGACTGAAAAGTCAGTGCTTGTGGTCAGGGTTACCGTTTAAAGAGAGAGAGATCCCCTGGGGTTTTCCTGAGTTCCCTCCAAGCATTCTGGATGAAGAGGGCCACTTATGTCCTCCCTGACAGGGAAGAGAGAGTTCCCAGATGCTCGGGCCAACAACATGGAAGACCCAATTATTAGCTTCAGGTAGTTCTTACCTGAAGCTAAGGACAGAATAAGAGAGAAGGTAGAGGAGGTATAGGAGAAAACCGGTGAATCAGGAGGAAACCTCGGTTGGAACCCTGACTACATCTACAGTCTGTGTGGCCCTGGGCAGGTCATTTATCCTCTCTGACCCTCAGTCTCTTCCTCTGAGAATGAGTGTAATAATTCCACCTTATAGGTATGTGAGGAATCCAGCACAATCTTTAATAATCATTGGCAAGTAGCAAGTATTTAATAATTGTTGGCTGGACCAGAATCTTTGAACCCGCCCCTGCAAGCAATCTAGCAAATTCTGTCTAGGTTCACAGTGGACTCCTGAGCTAAGTGAATTTAGCAATCTGTGGCTAAAGTGCCTCTCGTTGATTTTTTAATCTCAGAATAGGCTGGCTGCTTCCCTTCCTCAGGGAATAGTTTGTCTTGACAGGGCCCACCATTAGTGAGTTTTTGTTTTGTTTGGTTTGGTTTTGTTTTGGGCTAATGCCATGGCTGATAGGCTGAACATGCAAGCACTATTGTGTAGGAAAATATTTTTGCTTGAGCAGTCCCTGTCCGAATACACCCTTTCCACTTCTCTCTAGCACTCCTGGTTCTTAAAGACTAACTAGGGACTCACGCAGTGACTTACACCTATAATCCCAGCACTTTGGGCAGCCAAATTGGGAGGATCACTTGAGGCCAGGAGTTCAAGATCAGCCTGGGCAGCATAGCAAGATCCCAGTCTCTACCAGAAAAAAAAAAAAAAAGATTCACCTCTTGAAGAAGTCCACTCTAGCCCCTCACTTTGCACTGCTTCAGCCCACAGGCCTGCAGTTGGTACACACATGTATGCAAGCACACACATGCATGCACAACAGTCTTGCAATATTTTATACTCGTTAAAACTCTCCAATTGCTTTATGTACCTACGTCAGGCCTCCCTAACTAATACATAAGCTTCTACAAGATTAGGTGTCTTCTAAATTTCAGAACTTGTAAATGCCATTTACAGAGCATCTACTATGTACCATGTATTTCACCTACATTATTTTGTTAAGTCTTCCCAACAACTTTGCAAAATTTAGGTGTCATTATGTTCAATTTGCAGATGTGGAAACTGAGGCTCAAAGAGGTAAAGTAACTTATCCAAAGTCATAGAGCTCAGCACTCAAGGTGCACAAGTTGACACTTGTATTAGTCTGTTTTCACACTTTAATAAAGACATACCCAAGACCAAATAATTTATAAAGAAAAAGAGGTGTAATGGACTTACAGTTCCACTTGGCTGGGGAGGCCTCACGATCATGGCAGAAGGCAAAAGTCACATCTTATATGGCAGCAGACAAGAGAGAATGAGAGCCAAGTGAAAGGGGAAACCGCTTATAAAATCATCAGATCTCGTGAGACTTATTCACTACCATGAGAACAGTATGGGGGAACCACCCCCATGATTCAGTTATCTCCCACCAGGTCCCTCCTGCAACACGTGGGAATTACAGAAGCTACACAATTCAAGATGAGATTTGGGTGGGGACACAGCCAAACCATATCAACACTCAACAAATAATTTTGAATGACTGAAAGGATGGATGGATGGACAGATGAATGAATGGATGGTTGGATGGATAGTTGAATGATGGGTGGGTGAGTGGATGGATGGATAGATGAAAGGGTGGATGACTGGATGGATGAGGGGATGGATGGATGGATGGATGGATGGACTGATGAATGGATGGATGGTTGGGTGGACTGATGAATGGATGGATGGTTGGGTGGATAGTTGAATGATGGGTGGGTGAGTGGATGGATGCGTAGATGAATGGGTGGATGGTTGGATGGATGAAGGGATGGGTGGATGGATGGATGGATGGACTGATGAATGAATGGATGGTTGGGTGGATAGTTGAATGATGGGTGGGTGAGTGGATGGATGGATAGATGAAAGGGTGGATGATTGGATGGATGAGGGGATGGATGGATGGATGGATGGATGGACTGATGAATGGATGGATGGTTGGGTGGATAGTTGAATGATGGGTGGGTGAGTGGATGGATGGATAGATGAAAGGGTGGATGATTGGATGGATGAGGGGATGGATGGATGGATGGATGGACTGATGAATGGATGGATGGTTGGGTGGATAGTTGAATGATGGGTGGGTGAGTGGATGGATGCGTAGATGAATGGGTGGATGGTTGGATGGATGAAGGGATGGGTGGATGGATGGATGGATGCATGGATGGGTGGACTGATGAATGAATGGATGGATAGATGGATTGATAGGAGGGTGGATGAAAATATGCAAGGGTGGTGGATGAATAGATGGACAGGTGGTTGGATGACAGGGTGGACGGACGGATGAATGGATGGATGGGAGGGTGAACGAATAGATGGATGGTGGATGGATGGATGAACAGACTCAGCATATAAGTGGTGGAGCCAAGTTTATCTGACTCCAACAGGCCTTTCCATGTGAGCATAAGAGAGCTCCTGCTTTTTAGCACCAGAATAGGGACACAGCAGGCACTGTCACATAGTCCCCCAAACACAGGGTAGCAGCTGACCATCCTGGTTTCAACCAGTTTCCACAGCTGCCTGGATGCGGCACGTGCGAGCGGGATTCAGCCACTGGGTGAGCCATGACGGTGAGAACCAAAGATTCTCCTCCTCAGTAACCCCACGAGTGAGTTGATGGGCTGAGGTTCTGGTTTACCGGGACGCGCCCCCAGTGAGCAGGAGGAGCCCCCGCACCAGGCCACACGGGGGCAGCAGCTCGGCGTCTGCAGGCATCCGCGCACAGCCGGCGGGCAGGGCTGGTTCCGGAGGCCGCCGGGTAAGCACGTGGCGCCCGGTCTCACCTTCGCGCTGGCGGCGGGCTGGTTCCTGCAGCGCCGCTGGGGTGGCGGGGGCGTGGCTGAGAGTGCTCTAGGAAACACTGGAGCAACCACACGTCCGCGCCCGCCCATGGGGCACCTTCAAACCAGCCGGGCATGGGCGGCACAACTCTGCGCAGCCCTTAAAAGAATGGGGTTTTGCTGCTGCCAAAGATCCCGGAGCAGCAGCAAATGAGAAAAGCAACGTGCTGGACGCGCCTGGAGTGCCACCCCTTTGTGGATTCTAAATGTGTGCAAGTAACTAGATGCATTACTTGTCTATTGGCCCACGCACAAGAAAATTCTTGAAGGAAACCCAGCAGTTTACTTTTTATTTTCTGCCTTTCTGTGCTGTTTGAATGACTGTTTTGCCGTGGGAATGTATTCTCTCTCTCTCTCTCTCTCTCTCTCTCTCTGTCTCTCTCTCCCCCCCCCCTTCCCCTCTCTCCCTCTCTTATCTCCCTCTCTCCCTCTAGTCTTAATAGGAATTATCTGGAAATTGGGATTGGGAAGATTTTTTGTTTGCTTTTCCTTTCTTACACGTTCTTGGTTTTTTAACCTAATGTTTTTAAAGGAGGAGGGAGACAGTTTAGGGGTTGCTGCTGGCCCTGCCTCCTTAGCCCTGGGGGCAGGAGGGCTGGCTGGCAGCACTTGACTGCTTGGTGACCCTCCCTCTCTAGGGCAGGGAGCAGGTTCGGCCTTAGAGCCTCAGGTCCAGGACGCCCAGAGCCACAGGGGGCCCAGGCCATTTAACTGTCCAGGGCTGCCTTGAGGAACCAGGATGGGTCCATGAGGTACTGCGTGCTTGTAAAGCGCCCTGGCCCGCTGACATAGAGGGCTTCCAGTGGGGCCCGAGAGGCAGAGCTCCGGTGAGAATAGCAGGGCCATGGAGTCACCGAAGCCACAGACTTGACTTGAAGATTTGCCAATTCAACCTGGGCTGGGATCTGCATCGTCCTTGACAGTTTCATCGGGAGATCAGCCTGCTATAGCAAAATGGTCAGGACTTAGAACCCAACAGACTTTATTTGGACCTGGTTCCTGCATCTGACAGCTGGGTGACTTTGGGCAAATAACTTGACCTCGCGAGTCTCAGTTTTCTCATTTGTAAAACAGTAGTTATAAGAGTATTATCATAAAATTTAGCATGGATGTATGTAAACCACCTAGCAAAAAGACTGGCGAATAGCAGTTTTTAATTCTTGGTGGCTCTTTCCATTCTCCCTCTCCCTCTTCTTCCTCTTCTTCTTCTAGTAAGGAAATCGTAAAACTGAATGGAATAAAAACTGAATCGAGAAGCCAGGCGAGGTGGCTCATACCTGTAATCCCAGCATTTTGGGAGGCCAAGGCGGGCAGATCATCTGAGGTCAGGAGTTCGAGACCAGCCTGGCCAAGATGGTGAAATCCTGTCTCTACTACAAAAATACAAAAATTAGCCAGGTGTGATGGCACATGCCTGTAGTCCCAGCTACTTGGGGGGCTGAGGCAGGAGAATTGCTTGAATCCGGAAGGCGGAGGTTGCAGTGAGCCAAGATTGAGCCACTGCACTCCAGCCTGGGTAACAAGAGTGAAACTCCGTAAAAAAAAAAAAAAAAAAAAAAATGAATCGAGAAAGTCAACTATCTGGTGATCGTCATCTAATTGCCCCAGGTCCATCTCTGAACCAGATTAGTGTCTCCTAAAGATCTCAATCCTACACCCAAACTCAAGTGCCCCATCCAAGGCAGAGACCCATCTCCCGACCCTGCAGTTCCTACATGTTCTCACTTGAAGGCAACATTGAGCTTTGGATTTCAACCTACCCAGGGGCGCTCCCCTCTCCTCTCTTCTCCCAGCCTAGACTAACAGAACCAAACTACTCGCGACACTTAAAGAACAATTCTAGAGATAAAGCAAAGGCATGCCACTTCACACAGCTGACAGCAAAGGTAGGAAATTTACTAACCCTCAAAGTGACACTGGCTGAAAATATAAATGGGTCTCAATGGGAGACAAAATAAATCAGGTGCATGGGGGAACTATGTGCATCTTTGCAGACTTAACTATGAATAATTTTTAAGATTACAAGCAGCGGCTTGTAATCTTAAAAATTATTCATAGTTAAGTCTGCAAAGATGCAAAAACCAAACACCGCATATTCTCACTCATAGGTGGGAATTGAACAATGAGATCACTTGGACACAGGAAGGGGAATATCACACTCTGGGGACTGTGGTGGGGTCGGGGGAGGGGGGAGGGATAGCATTGGGAGATATACCTAATGCTAGATGACACCTTAGTGGGTGCAGCGCACCAGCATGGCACATGTATACATATGTAACTAACCTTTACAATGTGCACATGTACCCTAAAACTTAAGAGTATAATTAAAAAAAAAAAAAAAAAGATTATAAGCAACATAAATAACAGTGATGGCTAAATAAACTGATGCATCCACTTGAATGCATATTTACAATTATAATGAAGATTACGCAGTAACTTGGGAAAATTCTACAAATGGAAGGAAGAACACAAAAACATATTCAATATTTTGATTCCAGATATCTAAAAATTCTATGTACTTGTAGGAGAAACAAAAGGAAAACAAATAAAATTGAATTGCTGAGGTCATAGGGCTAGGAGTTGTTTTCTCCTTCTATGTTGATTTCATATTGTTTATTCACTTTTTTTTTTTTTTTTTTTTTGAGAAGGAGTCTCACTCTGTCGCTAGGCTGGAGTGCAGTGGTGCAATCTCGGCTCATTGCAACCTCCGCCTCCCAGGTTCAAGAGATTCTCCTGCCTCAGCCTCCCAAGTAGCTGGGACTACAGGCGCCCGCCACCACACCTGGCTAAATTTTTTTTGTATTTTTAGTAGAGACGGGGTTTCACCATGTTGGCCAGGATGGTCTCGATCTCCTGACCTCGTGATCCACCTGCCTCGGCCTCCCAAAGTGCTGGGATTACAGGCGTGAGCCACCGTGCCGGGCCGTTTACTCACTTTTTAAATATTAGGACTATTCACAGGCAGGGTGTGGTAGAAAACACAGATTCTGTCATTGCACAGTCCTTATGCTTCCAGCTCTCCGAAGTCCCTGGATGTCCAGAGTAGAGGCACTCCTGTGAATGAAGATACAGATGGTCTCCAGAAAGCTCCTCAGAAAATGTGGACTCTTTAAAAACACATTAGAAAAGAAGAATGTATGCATCTCTTAAGTTAGCTCTGTTTCCTATAGAAAAGCAGAATTTCACCAGGAAGGGAAGAGAATGGAAGAAAATGGCAGGAGACACTATCGCGTAATAATAACCGCTTATTTGAACAACTTGGTTTATCTACCTATGACATAATAATAATTCTTTGCCAAGTATTAAGCCTCACCATGTATTAGGTGCCAAGCATTACACTGAGTACTTCACACACATTATCCCATTTAATGCACTCAACAACCTCATGTGGCAGTACGTGGTGCTTTCCACCCTTTTTATCTTTCTGTTTTGGAGACAGAATTTCGCTCTGCTACCCAGGCTGGAGTGCAGGGGCATGATTAGAGTTTACTGCAGCCTCACACTTCTGGGATCAAGTGATCCTCCTGCCTCAGCCTCCCGAGTAGCTGGGACTACAGGTGCATGCCATCACACCTGGCTAATTTTTTAATTTTTAGTAGAGGCAGGGTCTCACTATGTTGCCCAGGCTGCTTTCTACCTTTCATAGATGAAAACTAGAGGTCACAAATGGTCACTGGCCTGACGCTGCATCGCTTGTTAGTGGCCACGCCAGGATTTGGACCCCAGTGTGTCCCTTACTAATGCATATGCTCTTCCCGCACATACACAGCCAGAACTGCCTAGAAGGGCAGGACCTGGGCTTGGCCTTAAACACCAGGCAGAAAACAAAAGCCTTCACTGGAGACCCTCATCTGCATCATAATGGTGACAGTGTGATATCTGACATGTGTGATGCCAGCAGACCTGGGCATTTTTGTTGCCAGGGTGAAAGCAAAGCGTTCAGTTAGCAGGAGGGCAAGGGAAGGTCTCAGGAAGATGCTCACGGGTTCTGGCTCTTTTTGTTCCACCTATTCCTCCTTTCTCGCTTTCCTGCCTCTCAGCATCAACAGGTGACCCTACACAGCCCACTGGCACAGACTGAGTCCCTGCCCACGTGTAAAAGTTCCAGGGTCACGCAGCTCGATTCAATCCACAGTTCCCAAGAACTCCTGAGAACAGGCCATCATGAAGACTGTGTTTGCGAATATGCCAAAAGGAAAGATTTTTTTTTCCGAGTGTGGTGTTTCACGCCTGTAATCCTAACACTTTGGGAGGCCAAAGCGGAAGGATCGCTTAAGCCCAGGAGGTTGAGGCTGCAGTGAGCTACAATTGCGCCATTGCACTCCAGCCTGGGTGACACAGCAAGACCTCATCTCAAAAGACAGACAGAAAAAGAAAGAAAAAGAAGAGGTAGGGCACTAATAGGAAGGCGCTGTTATTGTGCCTATTACAGAGATGAGAACACTGAGGCTCAGAGACAGGAAGGAACTTCCCAAGCTTACTTAGCTGGGAATGTGACAAATTCTAGAGTCCAAGTTCACTGGAGCTCAGGCTTTCAACCCCTGTAATAGAATGGCTTTCGCTCTGCAGACCACTTTGATGGAAAAAAGAACAAAAACTTCACGGCAACCTCTGTACGCCTCAGGCCCTTCATCTGTAAAATGGGCCAATAATAATAATGCCTAGCTCCAGGGCTGTTGTAAGGATTAAGTAAATTAATATATGTAAAGTGACACATGGTTTGCACTCAGTAGATATTACTTGCTCTTTAATTATTATTGAGATTATAGAGTCAAGGCTTGGAAGGACCAACACCCCTAGAACAGCTTCCAATCTCCACTTAAACTGCAAAGGTGCATCCTTGCTCCATGAGGCATTTTGTTCTTTCATTAAGACATTTGTGATTAGAAATGTCTTCCTAATATATGTGGCCAAATCTGGCTCATACAGCATGCATCCTCCCCCAGGTCTATTTCTGCCCTGGAGGGAGATAGAATGCAGCCAGCCTCTCTAGCTTGGCAGTGCTTCCCTGCTGAGGAGAAGCCCAGCGTCCACCCAGGCCCCCTCACCACTCAGCACCTCTCTAGAGGCCCAGAGCAGGACGCAGGCATTTAGCTGGGCCCTGCCGCCTCCCTAACCTGGACTAATATCAATGCAAAATTGATTCCCTATCATCTTACGTTAACAGAACGTGGGAAAAGGAGAAAAGATATAAAAGTATAATATTGAAAAATAAAAATGGCAGTTGCATTCAGAGCACTCTCTGATGTCATGTATCTCGGTTCACAACACTTCCTGATTTTTTAGCTTCTGTCCCCAGGTTTATTCTCGCTGACAACTCAAGCTCTTCTGGGGTGAGGCCCTCATCCTGGCTTCTGTTCGCTTCTAGCACATTCAGGCACTGAGAATAAACCCGGCAAACAAGAGTTGGATTCAAAACACATTTCTGTCCACGCAACCACTCATCACGTGGCCAGGCCTGTCTGGAAGCCTGAACCCTGCCCAGGGGCCTCCTGTGCCAGCCTTCATCACTGGAATGGTGTCTACGCAGCAGCCAGAGGAGGGCCAGGCTCCAGGCCAACTTCCCACAGAAGCAGCATTGGCGTTTTGAGTATCTTTGTCTCCCAGGGGCTGCAGGGAGCGGGGACGGTTGAGGGAGCCTCTCCATGTCAAAGAAAGATGTTATGAGACTACAGGAAGGACAGATAAAGGGTTGCTTTCTCATCTTAGAACTTAGTGAGATTCCTCTGAATGTGTGGAAGTATTCTGGAAAGTGAAAGCCTTATTCCAAGTCTGAGTTAAGTACTCTCACCTATGTGCCCTCCTTCTCTGAACTTACCGTCTTAGTACTTACCACTAGATTGCAATGGTCTGTTTGCTTGTTTAGATCTCTCACTAACACAGAAGTTCCTTGAGGGTAGGGACTGTGTCTCTGTTATTGTCACCTGATTTCCCAGTACAATGCCCAGACATAGGTGGTCAATACGTTTGCATTGAATGAATTGATTACATGAATGACTCATTTTAGCACTTACCATCCGATCCACACACTGTACTTGAAAAGAAGTTGCACAGGTTGAGCATGGTCACTCATGCCTGTAATCTCACCACTTTGGGATTTCTGGCCAGGAGTTTGAGAACAGCCTGGGTAACCCCATCTCTAGATAAAATGTCTAAATTACATATTAAAAAATAAAAAATATAAAGAATCGACACAGCCTAATGAGAGATGCATTGGAGGGCTTCCAGTCTCAAGATAAGGGAATAAAGATTTTCCTTTTGACAATCTCACAAGGACAAGAAGCAGAAGAAACAGATGTACAGACTACATCTTCCATGAACCCAGGAGGCGTGGCGTCTATAACGCTTAATTCCAACATAGAAAGATAAAAAGCACTGGAAAAATGTAAATGACTCAGCGGAGAAGTAGCAAGGCAAACACAAGCGTCTTCAGGGTTGGGTGGCAGGGCCCACAAATTGTTCTACAGAGCCCCAGAAAAGGCTCAGAAATAGGAGGCATCGAGTGCTCACGTGAGATAGAGATTGAACAGGAATGAAAACAAGAGTTGTTTGAAAAACCTCTTTAAAGAGTACAGAGTCAATCGACTGATGAATGGATAAATAGATGGGTCTATCCTACAGTGGAATGTTACTCAGCAATCAAAGGGAAGGAAGCACTGAAACGTGTCACAATATGGGGGAACCTTGAAAGCATCATGCTAAGGGAAAGAAGCCAAACACAAAAGGCCCCATTCTGTATGATTCTATTTTGATTATATTTATAGGAACATCCAGAATTGGCAAATCTATACAGACAGAAAGTATATTAGTGGCTTCCAGGGGCTGGGGCGAGGGTGGAGGGAGGAGTGACTGCTCATGGGTACAGAGTTTCTATTTGGGGTAATGAAAATGTTCTGGAGTTAGATAGTGGTAATGCAGTCATTGTGAATATACTAAAAGCAACTGAATTGTACAACTTAAAGAGGTGAGTTTGCTTTATTTTTTGTTTGTTTGTTTTTACTTTAAGTTCTGGTATACATGTGCAGAACGTGAAGGTTTGTTACATAGGTATACATGTGCCATGGTGGTTTGCTGCACCTGTCAACCCATCATCTAGGTTTTAAGCCCCACATGCATTAGGTATTTCTCCTAATGCTATCCCTCCCCTTGCCCCTCACCCTGACAGTCCCCCGGGTATGATGTTCTCCTGTCTGTGTCCATGTGTTCTCTTTGTTCAGCTCCCACTTATGAGTGAGAACATGCAGTGCTTGGTTTTCTGTTCCTGTGTTAGTTTGCTGAGAATGATGGCTTCCAGGTCCATCCGTGTCCCTGCAAAGGACATGAATTCATTCTTTTTTATGGCTGCATAGTATTCCATGGTGTATACATGCTGGAGAAATAGGAATGCTTTTACACTGTTGGTGGGAATGTAAATTAGTTCAACCATTGTGGAAGATGGTGTGGCAATTCCTCAAGGATCTAGAACCAGAAATATCATTTGACCCAGCAATCCCATTACTGGGTATATATCCAAAGGATTATAAAAAGAGGTGAGTTTTATGGTATGTGAATTATATCTCCTTGAAAAGGAGCACACAGAGCTTCCAATCAGCTTCTGATTTAAACATAAACCGAGAAACGAGAATCCCCATAATCTTGAAGAATACCACCATGAAAGACAGACCAAACATAAAAGACTATGAAGAAACTCAGAGCACAGAGAGATCATGTACAGCTCAGAAAAACATCGAAGAATCATAGTTAATATTCTCTGTGTGATAAGAGAAGATATTGCTCCCATGAAACAGGAGATGCATACTATAAAAAAGGAAAAGTCAAAGAACGAGAAATTGCTCTGAGTAAAAATTTTTGTTTATTGCTGAGATGAACGAATCCTTCAATAAGAGGAAGATAAAGGATATTTAAAATAAAAAGCTTAGATAAACATAAAGTTCAGTATATCCTCCTGAAATATCCCTTGCAAAATAAAGAGCCAAAAAGATGGTAATAGGTAAGGAAAGATTGAAAAGAAATTAGAGAAGCAATTTGAGAAGCCTCACATGAAAATCTAAGTAATAGGAATTCCAGAAAATGACATCAGATAAAATGGTGAAATGGAAATTATCACAAAAAAATTCAAGAAAAGTTTACAGAATTGCAAAGCATGCATCTCCAGATTTTAAAAGCCTTCAAAGCCTCCAACATAACAAATGATAACAATAACTATGCAAAGGAACATAATTCTGAAATTTCAGAACAGCAAAGATAAAGAAAAGATACTGAACACATCCACAGAGAAAAAAAAAAAAAGCCAGTCCAGATACAGTGGCTAATGCCTATAATCCCAGCACTTTGGGAGGCCAAGGTGGGAGGATCATTTGGGCTCACCAGTTCAAGACCAGCCTAGGCAACAAAGTGAGACACCATCTATACAAAAAAATAAAAATAATAAGAATTAGCCATGCATAGTGGCATGCACCTGTATCCCAGCTACTGAGGAGGCTGAGGCAAAAGGATTGCCTGAGCCTAGGAGTTAAAGGCTGCAGTGAGCCATGTTCACACCACTGTACTCCAGCCTGGGCCAAAGAGAAAGACCCAGTTTCAAAAAAAAAAAAGAAAGAAAGAAAGAAAAGAAAAGAAAAACAGCCAAGTTACATACAAAAATATCAAGAAATAAAATAGTAACAGACTTCTCAACAGCTAGAGAAAAATAGGGAACTTACTTCAAAAGCTTAGGAAAAATGAATTTCAACATCTATATCCAGCCAGATTATAAATCAAGCGAAAAGACAAAATTAAGACATTGTAAGCATGCAAGATCTCAAGAATTCACCACTTGCACACCCTTCCTGAGAAAATTACTGAAGGACAGTATCCAGGAAAACAAAGAAGGCAGAGAATCAGGAGAAGAAGGAACCAACAGAAGAGAAAAGTAAACAGATTTCCCAGGAAATGGGTGAATGAAAATACCAGGATAAGCAGAAAGCTTATAGATCAGGAAGAGCAGGCTCTTCAAGAAAAAGACTGAACTGATGCATTATCTGATGGTTTGACCATAGAGAAAATGATATGGAGTGGCTAGCAGAGCTGTTGAAGAGCAAGTCAGATATTCAAAGAAAACCAAGCACATAGAAAAATTGTACAAGAAAGGAAACTTAATCACAGTAGACTATCAGGTTCAATGGTGAATACTGTTGAACCATGTTTTTACAATGCCATAATAATGTAAATACTGTATAAACATTTTATAAAATAATAAGTTCTATTGGAAGAAAAAGGAAAGAGAAAATATGCATGGAATAAAATCTTCATTTGCATAATTGAAGGTCAAACAATAATGGTCACAATTGATAAATCAAGAGATAGCTTAATATACATGTTACTTGGAAATATTGAAGCAAATACCCGAATAAATAGCAAATAGGCTAAAAGATGTTGTTTCTGGGAGTGGGGATGAGGATTAGTTGGGTGGCTGGAAGTGATAGGGCAAGATTCTTTTTTTCCACCCTGTCTCCCAGGCTGGAGTGTGATATCTGCTCACTGCAACCTCTGCCCCCTGGGCTCAGGCAATCCTCCAGCCTCAGACTCTCCTGAGTAGCTGGTACTACGGGCACACCACCATACCCAGCTAATTTTTGTATTTTTTGTAGAGACGAGGTTTCACCACGTTGCCCAGGCTGGTTTCAAACTCCTGGGCTCAAGTGATCCTACTGCCTCAGCCTTCCAAAGTGCTGGGACTACAAGTGTGAGCCACTGCACCCAGCCTGAGCAATATCATTTTAACAACACTTTGTACATTGTTTGCACTGGCTTTGAAGGCAACATAATTTGACCTGGTTCTGCCACTTCCAAGCTGGTGACCTTAAGTGAATTATTCCCCTCTTCAGGCCTCAGTTCCTTCTGTGTTAATAATTCCTACCTGGTACGTGACAGGGACACAACGTCTTAGTAGATGGTAAATAAATGGGAGGCCCTTCTCACTCCTCCTGTGTTCCACATGAAAGTCATTTTGAGTCGTCTGGGGAGCAGCGGCTCTATCCTTTGCCCTTTTTGTAAGCACCCAGCACCTAAGAAAGTATATGACAGGGATGTCATTTGACAAACTGCCAAATCGAATAATTGGATGTTACAACTGAGTGCTCACCTGAGAGAAGGCAGTTTATTGAGTGATAACTACAGGAAAACAGAGATAATGCTATTATAATAATACCATTACTACTATAGCATTTCAATTATTCCCATAGTAACAGAGTTGTATGAGTTTAGCTAAAATAAAAGACTGCAAGATAGTCTGGTACAGTCAACAATTTCTAGCCCTTCTTTTTTTTTTTTTTTTTTTTTTTTTTTTTTGAGACGGAGTTTCGCTCTGCCGCCCAGGCTGGAGCGCAGTGGCGCGATCTCGACTCACTGCAAGCTCCGCCTCCCGGGTTCACGCCATTCTCCTGCCTCAGCCTCCCGAGTAGCTGGGACTACAGGCGCGCGCCACCATGCCCGGCTAATTTTTGTATTTTTTTTAGTAGAGACGGGGTTTCACCGTGTCAGCCAGGATGGTCTCGATCTCCTGACCTCGTGATCCGCCCGTCTCGGCCTCCCAAAGTGCTGGGATTACAGGCGTGAGCCACCGCGCCCGGCCCTTCTAGCCCTTCTTTTATTTTAAAAGTCCCCGTGGCCGAAGACTTTCATTTTCCCCCAGTCTCATTTTCCCCTTCTTTTTAATAATAAAACCCCAGGCTGCATCCTGGCTGCCCCAGCAGAGATTACATTTCCCAGACCTCTTTGCAGTTAGGGGTGGTCCCTGACCAAGTCCTCACCAATGACAGTGAGAAGACTTGATGTGTCTGATTCCCACATCTCTTCCTGGAAAGGAAATTGCCTACCCTCAACTATCTCTCTTTCTCCCATCACACAGGCTGGTGACCAACAAGATAGGAGGAGCCTGGGGCCCTAGATGTCTTAGTGGAGCCGAGCTGCCTTCCTGCCTTCACCCAGCTATCGAGAGCCTACGGTGTCTTATGAGGCCGACTGTTGATTATGAATGCATGGTGCTGGACATGCCAGGGAAACAGAGCTGACTGTTGATTATGAATGCATGGCGCTGGACATGCCAGGGAATACACAAAAGCCAGTTATAGAGGGACTCCTGCTTCAGTTCTACAATTAAGCAGCAATTAGAGTTTGTCGTTAGTTTTTAATTTTTTAATAAGTCATAGATACACATGCTTCAAAACTCAAAATAGCAAAAATGTATGCTGTGAGACGTCTTTCTTTACCCTGTTTCCCTGCCTGGATCCCATCCCACCCTCAGTGGTCAGATAAATACTGTCATTAGTTTTCTGTGGATTCTTCAAAAATTTATTTACATACATACAAATATAGGTGCTTATATTTCACCTTATTTACATAAAACATAGTTTTCTACATTCTACACCAACACTCTACACTGGTACCACTTCCGGGAATCTATCCTTAGAAAACAGCTGAAACTTTTACTATATGACCAAAGAAATTAATTGCAGCATTATTTATAATAGTAAAAAAAAAAATGGAATCCTTAATGCACAAAAAAACACAAAACTTAGCTACCAGTATTAAATGTATTATGGTATATATAGTGTCCATGAAAAAAAATTTGTAAGCAACATTCAAAGGCAGGGGAAAATGCTTATAATTTCATATTAAGTGTAAGAATTAGATCAGAAATTGCAGGCCATGTGTTCACAGCTATATAAAAAAACATACATAGGCTCACTCCTATAATACCAACACTTTGGGAGGCTGAGCCAGGAGGATCTCTTGAGGCCAGGAGTTCAAGACCAGCCCCGGCAAACTAGTGACACCCCACCCCCATCTCTACAAAAAAATTTTAAAAATTAGCTGGGCTCAGTAGCACACACCTGTAGTCCCAGCTACTCAGGAGGCTGAAGTGGGAGGATCGCTTGAGCCCAGGAGATTAAGGCTGCAGTGAGCCATGACGGCATCACTGCACTCCACCCTGGGCGACAGAGCAAGACCTTGTCTCAAAAAATATCCATCTAGAGAAATGAATGAAAAGCACCACACCTAAATATTATCAGTGTTTTTTGTCAACTAGCGAAATTAGTTTTTCTTCTGCTTTCTATTTCCCAAAATGACAATGACCTTGTGATTCTTTACATAATAAGGGAGGGAGTTGGCTGAGGGAGGGATAGAAACAAACCCCGGCCTGCTTCCAGAAGCACTTGAGGGGTCCGAGGGCCCTCCTGCGGAAGGGGAACAGTGAAGTGGGAGTGGCCTGAGCCTAAGGCCGAAGTTGCATTTTCCTTTTCTCTGCTTTGGAAACAGGAACTCCTGGGCCTCGGCCTTGCTGCTGCCATTTCGTTAGTCCTCCCCACTGGTGCTCCCTTCTGCCTGCAGTGTCGAGGTTGGGGGTAGGAGAAGGAATCGCCCATAGGTGCCAAAGCCACGGGTAGCCACTTCACTGGCTGGCCTCTCTGCTCAGCTTGCCCCAGGTGACTTTCACTCCCAGTATAGACGGGGCTGGGTTTAGTAAGCCTTCCTGGTTGGACAGCCACATCCAAGGCAGAAGCTTTGTACTAGCCAATTGGGACTTCAATGATATCTCTCCTTTTCAGCCCAAGGAATGAATGTTCCCCAAATAAGATGCTGCTCTACCTTTTCCGGCCAATTAAGTTTCTCTTCTGCCACTTCTCCCCTCATCGACCCACGCCCCCTCCACCAGCCACGTCCACCACTGAGCCCCCTTGCAGACGTGTCTGCCCCCTCCCACCCATGCCTGCGCCATGGCGACTGGAATTCTCCACTTTTCCGTCTTTCATTTAGTTAGGCCGCCATTTTCCAATGCATGATAGTATCTGGGCTTGTGTTTGTTTGTTTGTTTGCTTTAGAGATGGAGTCTCGCTCTGTCACCCAGGCTGCAGCGCAGTGGCAGGATCTCAGCTTACTGCAACCTCCGCCTCCCAAGTTCAAGTGATTCTCCTGCCTCAGCCTCCCGAGTAGCTGGGATTACAGGCACCTGCCACCACGTCCGGCTAATTTTTGTATTTTTAGTAGAGACGGGGTTTCACCATGTTGTACAGGCCGGTCTCAAACTCCTGGCCTCAAGTGATCCGCCCGCCTTGCCCTCCCAAAGTGCTGGGATTACAGGCGTGAGCCACTGCGCCGGACCAGTACCTGGATTTTTTAAAGTTAGTATTTACTTTAAAGTGTAGAAAGACAAAAAATAACTAGGGCCTCAAACCCATGATATCTTGGATACTCTTACTTGGATACTTAAGACATATACTTGGATACTTGAGGCAATGCTAAAATAAGTTTTTGGGTTAAGAAAAAGGTGAATCAATGTCAATAAAAATATTCTTTCAGTAAATATATTCTTTAATATGTTTATTTTTATTATCTATATTTTTATGTCTTTATTGATACAGTATTTATCTTATCTAGGCTATGGTAAACAACTGGGGTTTAGGAAACTCTATGCTAGGGTAAAAAAAATTGGGGGGCACAGATGTGGTGGCTCATGCCTATAATCCCAGCACTTTGGAAGGCCGAGGCAGGAGGACCACTTGAGCCCAGGAGTTCGAGACCAGCCTGGGCCACAAATTAAAACCCCATCTCTGTTAAAAAAATAAAAAATAAAAAATTAGCCAGATGTAGTAGCATGTGCCTGTAGTCCCAGTTACTTGGGAGGCTGAGCTCAGAGGATCACTTGAGTCCCAGGAGTTCGAGGCTGCAGTGAGCGATGATCATGCCACTGCACTCCAGCCTGGGTGACAGAGCAAGACCCTGTCTCAAAAATAAATAAATAAATACAAATAAATAAATGATTTTTAAAAAATTAATACATACCTGGGAGGGCTAACTTGTCACCCTTGAGATTTCTGCCCTGAGAGATGAGCCTGGGCAGAGAAGCCCAGACGGACAGAGCTCCACAGTGGGGTATGAGAAGCCAGTGGCCACACCAAACATATTGTTTTTTTCTGGGCAGAATCCCTGGGGCTGCATCTGAAGCCTCCTCCTGATGTGATGGTCTCAGAGCTCCCAAGGCAGGCACAGCCAACACCTGGCATTGCCTATTTTTGCCCAGGAAAGGGAGTGAGCCTGCAGGCAACCTTCCTAGGCAAGTGGGAGAAGCCTCCCTCAATGCACCAGGGGCTGGGGGCAAATCCCACCTACAGTCTCTGCATCTCTAAGAAGTTTGCTGAGGTAAGTTAGTGCAGCCCCAGTGAGATAGAACATACCTTCAAAAAAAAATCCTGTCCATTTCCTGAAAGACAAGCTGACAAGCCAGGATCTTCCCACCTCCTCCAGGGAACGACAAAAAAAAAAAAAAACAGGGATGGAAGGCGAGATGGAAACGAAGATGGAGCAAGTTAAATGCAGCAGGGCCTTTTAATCCCTCTGCACTTACATTTGGGACTCTCAGGCACTTGGCACTTTTCTGAGCTGCCTAAAATGAGGGCCATTCAGAACGCCTCACTGCAACAGGGAGATACACGTGGGTCGGGGTGGAGCAGGAGTGGAGGGCAGGCGAGAGGGTTCCTAGACTTGAAGACTTCAGGGGATTAGGGAGGTGACAGGCATCTTCTGCAGGGACTGCTGCCAGCCCTCCACCCCTCCCGCCCCCAAGTCTGTGTCCAGCCTTCGCCTGTTGCTGCTGACCTGAGTCTCTCACAATGACGCAGTTCACTGCTCTGGACATGTGGGAAGTGGGTGGAGGAGGGGTTGGCAGGTCTGGTCCCCACCAACTGCCACCTTGCCGGGTGTCAGCAGAACAGCAGGTGGGTCCAAAAGGAAGAAGTTTGCCCACATTGGCATCTGGCAGCATCACGCTGCAGCTTCCATGATATAAATACAGGGAGTGAAAATAGCTAATCCCAGATAACAGCGGTGTAATCACCCAGCACCCGGCCTTGAATCCCAGAGCATTTGGAGGAAGCAGCTGCGGGGCTGCCCCCTTCAGCGGCCACTGCCCCTGGGTGGCCTGGGCTGAGAGTCTAAGCCAGAACAAAGCTGGAGAGCGGAGAGCAACTGGAAGAAAGAGACCTGATGAAAAGCACCTCTAATCACAGCTTGGCCTGGGATGGGATGATTTTTCTAGAGGCACCATGAAAATTCTGAGCTTCCAGCAATGTGAACCTGGTCTCCCTGCTCTTTGTTGAGACACGTGATGATATACATGGGATCATCTAAGTTCGGGGTTTGGTTGTTTTTTTAACCTCTGGGTATTATCATCATGAGTATATTATTGTCCTCTAGTTTGGGAGGGTCAGGGCCTCTCCCAGGCTCCTCTTACATCTGGCCCTGAGCACCAGGGTGGTCGATCTGTGGCCATAACCCCAGGTTTCTGACTTCAGTTCTGAGGCACTAGCCACTCAGAGTAGTTACCCCTGAGGATCCAGAAGGCAGCTCGCAGCCACCACTCCTGTGGTGACCAGAAACTGTCTGGGAGAAGCCACTGGGCTTTGCTGTCCTCAGTCATTATGCTCCAACAAGACATTAAATGAGGGCTGGCGGAGATGGCGTGAAGAGCTCAGGCGCTCCTCCTGTCCCATGTAGGGCGCTATTCGATTGTCTGGCTGCTAGCTGATGGACAAGCCATCCCCAGCCACCAGTGACCTGGCTTCCTAGTTGCACTTCTGAAGGCTGTGGGCACTCAGATCCCTTCCGATGGGTCATGAGGCACCCTCTCTCTCAGACGCAGAGAGCCGACAGAGCTGGCCGGCACTGGAGCCGCCTTGGGCTGAGCTACGACGTGAGGACCCTAAGACAGAGAGGCCGCAGAGGTGCCCAGAGGAAGGGTGGAGAGCTGGGCCTCAGAAGGAATTCTCCTGTGAGCACCCAAGATATGTGATTCCTTACAGAACCGGCGTTACTATACGTGGGAAAAGGAGAGAGGAACCGCCCAGAACAAACCAGAAGGAAGGGGAAACAGAAACATGTGTCACCTACATGCAATCTAGGAGTGGGGATGAACAGGACTCTTGACTGGTTTCTGAGAGGCTGTTCTCTGATTCTCTAGATTAGAGAACGCAGCTTATTATGAATAATGTTATTTTTGTTTGGAGTTTCACGTCACTTTATTAAACAAGTGTTTCCTTTAGTCAACCACAGATGAAAGTCACTGTGCTCTCAACTTCTAATAAGATCATAAAGATCAGTCATGAGTATTTCAGTGAAAGCAAAACATAAGCCGCACAAATCTCTGAGCCCCAAACTCGAAGTTGTAAATGGTTGGGAGACTGAGGTGGGTGGATAACTAGACCCAGGAGTTCGAGACAAGCCTGGGCAACATAGTGAAACCGTGTCTCAAAAAAAAAAGAAAAGAACATTTTTCAAGTGCTGCAAATGGAGTGGGTGGACAGCTTGCCCACCTCAGAGTCCCATCAGCTCACCAGCAATAGAGACCTTGTCCAAAGAGGGTCCCATGAAGTTGTAATGCCACCCTGGGCCACCACAGGAACCTCAGCTCCCAAAATCAAATTTGAAGAGAATATTTGCTGATATGAGGAAATGCGTATAATTTTAAATTAGGTAGAAAATCAGAACAGGCCGGGCATGGTGGTTCATGCCTGTAATCCCAGAACTTTGAGAGGCCAAGGCAGGAGGATCATTTGGGCCCAGGAGTTCAAGACCAGCTTGGGCGGCATAGCAAGACACCTTCTCTACAAAAAAAAATTTTTAATTAGCCAAGCAGGGTGGCAGGTGCCTATAGTCCCAGCTACTCAGGAGGCTAAGCAAAGAGGATTGCTTGAGCCCAGGAGGTAGAGGCTGCAGTGAGCTCTGATTGCTCTACTTCACTCCAGCCTGGGCGACACAGTGAGACCCCCATCTCAAACATGAAAAATCAGAACAGAAATTGCATACAATATGATCTCAACTATGTAAAATATATATACAGAAAAACAATAAAAAGCAACACACCTAAATATTGTCTGATACTACATTTCAATTAACACATAAAATAAAGAATAATATGACTTTTTATTGACTATGGCAAGCAACTGAGGTTTAGGAAATTTTACATTAGGATATTCATTCAAAAAAAAAAAACTTAAAAAATATATACAAGCATGTATATATTTTTTATATACCAGGCACAGTGGCTCATGCTTGTAATCTCAGCCCTTTGGGAGGCTGAGGTGGGAGAATCACTTGAGCCCAGGAGTTTGAGGTGGCAGTGAACCATGACTGCACCACTGCAGTCCAGCCCTAAACAGAAGATGACACTGGTTCCCTACTTTACCCTGCAGGTGAACGCCACAAGGTTCTATGTAGAGCCTCTTCCTGATCCCATCTTCTTCCGCCTTGGCTTGGACACTGCTCACCCACTAAGATCCTTGGTAACGGACTGAGATCAGAGATGACAGTTGACATAGGATCTATGGTGGGATATTAACTATAGTGCAATCTAACCATATCTGAGTCTCTTACTCCGCATCAAAACCTTTTTCCTGAAATACTTAACAGAGAACAACCAAAAAATACATATAAGAGAATAAAAAGAGAAGGAAATCACCATTCATCGAATGTATGCTAAGTGCCAAAAATTATTTTTCAAACATTATGTATTTTCTTTAATGCAGCCCTCAAAACAGCTTAGAGGATAAGATGCTCTCCTTTTTGTGGATGAGAAAACTAAGTCTCATGGAAGTTGATTAACTTGCCCAAAGTCACCCAGGTAAAAGTGGTCGAGCAAAGTTCAAATCTGGTGAGTCTGACACCAAAGCCCAATGTCTTTGCCCCCAAGCCCTTTGCTCCCTGCCCCTGAAAGGACTTAAATACACAACAAAAGCAATGAGTGGGTAGGAAGACGAGAAGGAATATAAGCTGAGATTGACAAGATTCCAGGTGGTTGGAATAAAACCTTTGGGTTTTGGATTCCAGGTGGTTGGAATAAAAGCTGCTAATAAAACCTTTATTAGCAGATGTTTTAGCATTGTGGAAGCGTGCGAGCTTAGAAAAAGAAAGCCAGAGAAGGAAAAAAAGTGAAGAAGTAAAAAGCAAAAGCTCAGGGAAGCATTGTGGAATGAGCCTCTCAGCTCCACATTTCTGCCTACTACTCCAGAAATGGATTTCTCTGGCCAGTCTGAAACTGCGGGAATCCGCTGCCTATGAAATGAACAGAACCAAGTCTTCCATCTCCGCCAAACAGGCAACTCCGCCGTAATCTAATCACACCCCTTGAAGCCCCAGCCAGCAATCTCTTTCCCTCACCCTGTCACAAATGCCATCACGTTGCATCACCGCCTCCCTCACATGCACAGCCCGGGCAGGACACTGGGACCTGTCTTGGCCACACATCCACAGTTCGGCAGGGTCAGCCCTGGTTCTGCGCAGTTCACAAAGGCCAAAACAAGTGTGAGCCCCAGAGGGGCCCCTGCCAGGTGGCAGGCTGAGCTGCCCAGGGAGGTCAAGGTTTGGAGGTTTTCTTTTAACCAAGTCCAGGGATCCTCACTGCTGCACACTGTGGGGTCTGCTCACGGAAAGTTATTAGACACAAAAACTAAAGAAAAAGAACTAACCCGGGGACGCTTCCTGAAATGCAATTATGGGGGAAAAGAAATGAGAAAAAGTACGATAAAAACTCACCTGATCATCCAGATTCAAGATTTGACTTGCAGAATGGTGTACCATTAACCTGCCTGATGTTTAGAAAGCAACAAAAGAGACCACCTGATGCAAATTGCTCTGGGCACCTGCACCCTGGGGCTGGGAGTCAACAAGGGCCCTCCTTCCCACAGGGCTCAGATGCCTTGGGAAATCTAGGGTGTAGGACCTGGGCTTTAGCACCTCACATTTACACTGGGTTCCAGGTTTCCATGTAGCTTATCCCATTTGCTCCTGCAATAATCCAGGAGGCAGGTAAGCCCAGTGTTAACAATCTAATTTGACAAATGAAGAAAGAAAAGCACATGTGACCCAAAGTTTTTTTTTTTTTTTTTTTTTGAGACAGAATCTCGCTCTATCGCCCAGGCTGCAGTGCAGTGGTGCCATCTTGGCTCACTGCAACCTCCGTTTCCTGGGTTCAAGCAGTTCTCCCTGCCTCAGCCTCCCGTGTAGCTGGGATTACAGGCGCCTGCCACCACACCTGGCTAATTTTTGTATTTTTAGTAGAGACAGGGTTTTACCATGTTGGCCAGGCTGGTCTCGAACTCCTGACCTCAAGTGACCCGCCCACCTCGGCCTCCCAAAGTGCTGGGATTACAGGGGTGAGCCACCGTGCCCAACCTCAACCCAAGGTCGTAGAAGTAATTAGTTACCATGCTGAGACTAGAACTAATAAAATCTGGAAGGGTGAACTCCCATTATCAGTAATAGCAAAGTACGTAATTCAGACTGCCCTCCATTCCACTGAGGACAACTGGGAATGCTGCAGAATAAGTAAATCCTAAATCAGACAAATGGGAAAAAAATCACGAAATGTCTTGGAATACATAATGAAGAGGGATATTGTCAAGCCCTCTCTGTTACTTTGCCCAGCACATTTAGAATTGAGGGTTATTAATCGATTCAAAGTAAATAATGAAATTAACCTGCCCTTCATCTCAATAAATGTAAAATAATAAGCCAGGAGTGGTGGCACACACCTGTAGTCCCAGCTACATGGGAGGCTGAGGCACGAGGATCACTTAAGCCTAGGAGTTCAAGGCTGCAGTGCACTAGAAGGGCACCTTTGAATAGTCAGTGCACTCCAGGCAGGGCAACAGAGCAAGACCCTGTCTGTAAAAGAATAAAATAAATGTAAAATAATTTATGATGATGGTGATTCTTAAATGATGATCACTTTGTCTCAGGTGTAAGGATTTGTCACTAAAGCATACAAAAGTAAAATAAACTGAAAGAAAAATCTGTATAGACTGTGAGAATTTTATTGGTCAGATGAAATGAAAAAGATTATCAGCTTATTTTGCTGCTGTTTATAAGCATCTGTTGTACGCTTTTAATAAATTTGATAATTATTCAAAATAAAAAAAAAAACCGAACTGCTTAAAGACACCAGAGAGCTACAAAATAGTGAAGAATAACCAGCCAGGACCCAAAGGAAGGAGGAAGCCGTGCGAAGTGAGTCTGTCCTTTGAGCTACCCTGGGCCTGGCAGCGTGGGCCAATTCTACCATGGCTGGCAGAGAGGCTGGGTGGACTTTCAAGAGCCTCACGGGGCTAAAGGGGCAGGGACGAATGTGAAGCTTACCAAGATTAGAGTTGAGATTCATCTTGAACTGGGATTCTAAAGGGAAGCTCCCTACAAGTAAATGTGACCCAGAAGCAGACAGGCCCTTGCAGAGACCATGGCTCCACTTCAGGTATTCTAAACCCCCGAAATTAGATTTCAGTAAACCTAAATTGTCGGTGCCCCAGGAGCCTAGCAGAGACAAACATAAATCTTCTTAGGAGGAAAATATCATCATCTGAAGCCTATAATTAGTTCTGCAAGCAATTTTTCAAATGCAATGTCCAAAACACAGTAAAAAATAATAAGCAAATAAATAAGACACAAAGAATACAAAGCAGTATTTTTTAAAGAAAGAAAAATTAAATATAGAAAAATCAACTAATAATAAAGAGGCTGGGCATGGTGGCTCATACCCATAATCCCAGCACTTTGGGAGGCAAGAGGATTGCTTGAGCCCAGGAGTTTGAGGCCAACACTAGTCAGAGTTCATACACAGTCATTTCTACAATACACTATTGGTTACCAGGTCAGTCCTACTCACTGTTGGAGGGGAGTAGGAGCTTCAGTTCTCCATGTGGCCTCCTATCCTTCCAGAATATCAGGAATTGAGAATCACCAAGGTCCGTCTTGGAAGCTGGCTACCACAGGTGGCCAGAGTGGAACTGAATTTTTTCTCACACTCCAGTAGATGGAACAAAATAGCAATGCTGAGAGAGGAAGTACAGAAATGGAAATTAGCTGGGCATGGTGGCACTTAGTCCCACCTACTTGGGAGACTGAGGTAGGAGGATCACTTGAACCCAGGAGGTCCAGGCTGCAGTGAGCCATGATTGCACCAATACACTCCAGCCTGGGTGACACAGACCCTGTCTCCAAAAAAAGGAAAGCAGAAGAACAAGACTGCTAAGATAATAAAGTAATAATAACAGTATGATATCATCAGTAGCTATCACTTATCAAATGCTTCTCTGGCAGTGGGCAATGGCCAAGATCTTTCCATACTCTCTCACTGAGGCAACAAATTACACTCCATGGCCCAAATCTAGCCCACCACCTGATTTTGTAAATCAAGTCTTATTAGAACACAGCCATATCCATTTGAATACATACTGTCTATGACTACTTTCACCTACAACAGCAGAGTTGAGTAATCGTGACAGAAACCATAGGATCTGCCAAGCCTGAAATATTTACTGTGTACCCCTCACCAGAAAAAAATTTGCTGATCTGTTGTCCATCTCATTAAAACCTCATAATAAATCCCATGAAGTGAGTGATATTACTTTCCTTATTTGATAGAAGAGGAAACAGAGGATCATATAAGTGAAGTGACTTGCCCAAGATCATGTCTGTCATAAGTAGCAGAGTAAGGTTCATACCCAGGCAGCCTGACTTCAGGATCCGAGTTGCACTGGGCTAGGAATCAGAAAGGCTGGCTTTTCTGAGTAGCTATGTGGCAATTATTTAAGGTCTTGCTCCTCATTTTTCTCTGCCGAGAGGATAGATGTTTAAATGTCTGTTCAGCTATTTCACAGGAAGATCAAATGATAAATATAAAAGTGGAACAAAGAAGCAGCTAGTCTTCTTAATTTGTGATGCTAGGGCAGGAAGAAGAGCTCTGAAAGAAATGGCTAGAGGAGAAGTCGCTCGGTTACCTCTGCACAACCCAAAACTTACTGGCTTAAAGCAACAGTGGTTGATTGTGGCTCATGATTTTGTGAGTTGGCTGGGTGGTTCCTCAGCTGGTTCCCCACGAACTCATTTATTCAGCTGCATTCAACTGGAACAGTGGTTCTCAACCAGGGATGACTGGGGACTCTGTTGGTAGGTGCTGCTGGTACCTGGTGGGTAGAGGCCAGGGATGCTGCAAACCCTACACAGGAGAGCCTCCACAACAAAGAATTATCTGGCCCTAAATGTCAATAGTGCTGAGGTTGAGAAATCTGAGCTGGAAAGTCAACTGGGATGGAAAATTCAAGATGCCCTCACTCGTGAGTCTGGTAGGTGGTGCTGGCAGTTGGCTGGGGGCCTCAGTTCTCTTCCATGTAGTCTCTCATCCTCCAGGAGGCTAGACTAACTTTGCTGCAACATGGTCTCAGGGCAGAATTCCAAATGAGTGAAGGTGGAAGCTGCAAGGCTTCTTGAGATCTGGGCTCTGGAACTCACCCAATGTTGTTGCCATCACATTCTCTTTTTTTTGTTGTTGTTGTTGTTGTTGGTTTGTTTTTGTTTTTGTTTTTGTTTTTTGAGACAGAGCCTTGCTTTGTCGCCCAGGCTGGAGTGCAGTGGCATAATCACGGCTCACTGCAGCCTCAATCTCCCAGGCTCAAGCGATCCTCCCACCTCAGCCTCTCAAGTAGCTGGGACTACAGTGTGTACCACCACACCCAGCTAACTTTTTGTGTTTTTTGTAGAGATGGGGTTTTACCAAGTTGCCCAGACTGGTCTTGAACTCCAGGCTGGTCTTGAACTCCAAGAGGCCTTGAGTGCTGGGCTCAAGCAATCCACCTGCTTCAGCCTCCCAAAGTGCTGGGATTACAGGCATGAGCCACCACACCTGGCCTGTTTCCATCACATTCTATTGACCAAAGCAAGTCACAAGATTAGCCCAGGCTGGAGTGCAGTGGCATAATCACGGCTCACTGCAGCCTCAACCTCCGAGGCTCAAGCGATCCTCCCACCTCAGCCTCTCAAGTAGCTGGGACTACAGTGTGTACCACCACACCCAGCTAACTTTTTGTGTTTTTTGTAGAGATGGGGTTTTACCAAGTTGCCCAGACTGGTCTTGAACTCCAGGCTGGTCTTGAACTCCAAGAGGCCTTGAGTGCTGGGCTCAAGCAATCCACCTGCTTCAGCCTCCCAAAGTGCTGGGATTACAGGCATGAGCCACCACACCTGGCCTGTTTCCATCACATTCTATTGACCAAAGCAAGTCACAAGATTAGCCCAGGCTGGGTGCGGTGGCTTGTGCCTGTAATTTCAGCACTTTAGGAGGCCAAGGCAGGAGGATGGCTGGAGGCCAGGAATTCAAGACTAGCCTGGGCAACATAGTGAGACCCCATTTCTACAAAAAAATTTTTTAAATGAGCCAGATGTGATGGTGCATGCCTGCAGTCACAGCTACATGGGAGGCTGAGGCTGCAGTGAGCCATGATTGCACCATTGTACTCCAGCCTGGGCAACAGAACAATACTGCATCTCAAAAAAAAAGAAAGAAAGAAAGAAAGAAGATCAGCCCAGATTCAAGGAGTAGAGATCTAGACTCCATCTCTGCTGGGGAGGAGGAGAAAAGTCACATTGCAAAGGGGGTAAACACTGGGATCGGAAGAATCCGTGGCTATTAAACCATTATCTACTACAAGAAGTAAGATTAACTATATTTCCACTTTAGCTACATAGCTCAGGGGACAGCTCTATGCCAGTGGTTCTCAAAGTGTGGTCCTCAGACCTGCAGTATGAATATCCCCTCAGAACTTATTAGAAGTGCAAATCCTTGGGAGGCTGAGGTGGGTGGATCACCTGAGGTCAGGAGTTTGAGACCAACCTGGACAATATGGCGAAACCCCTCCTCTACTAAAAATACAAAAATTAGCAGGGCATGGTGGGATGCACCTGTAATCCCAGCTACTAGGGAGGCTGAGGCAGGAGAATTGCTTGAACCCAGGAGACAGAGGTTGCAGTGAGCTGAGATCGCGCCACGGCACACCAGCCTGGGTAACAAGAGCAGAACTCTGTCTTAAAAAAAAAAAAAAAAAAAAGAGAAAGAAAAGAAAATTATAAGGCTCCAAATCAGAAATGTGGGGTGGGGCCCAGCAATCTGTGTGTTAGCAAGCTCCCCAAAAGATCCTGACTCTCAATCAAGTTTGGAAGCCACCAGCCTAAGGTAAGCAACCAGATCAGAAACCTCTCCATGCCCAGGTCTCTAGCTTGAATGTTGGTGGAGGCCAAAACATCCCTCCCCTCCTATCCCCTACCTCTCCATGGGTCTCTGCCATTTGCCTGAGGATAAAGTGCTGTCTTTAGGCCAGGTGTGGTGGCTTACACCTGTAATCCCAGCACTTTAGGAGGCCAAGGTGGGAGGATCGCTTGATGCCAGGAGTTCAAGGCCAGCCTGGGCAACATAGCAAGACTTCATCTGCATAAAAGTTAAAAGTTAATTTTGTGTCAAACTCTTATAGAAAATAAACAAGAAAGAAAGAAAAATTAAAATAAATAAAAACTGTTTTTAAATGCTCTCTTTAATAATGGAGTTTAGTAGAAACACTCTTTATATAGATGGTTCCCGACTTACAATGGCTCAACTTATGATTTTTCTACTGTAAAATGGTGTAAAAGCAATAAGATTTCAGTAGATTTCAGATTTTGGACTTTGATCTTTTCCCAGGCTAGCGATGTAGGTACAGTACTCTAGCAATGCTTCACAGTATCGTGAGTATGAGAGATATTCACCATGAGAGGACATGAGATGTTCAACACTTTCTTATAAAATAGGCTTTGTGTGAGATGGTTTTGCTCAGCTGTAGGCTAATGGAAGCGTTCTGTAGGCTAAGCTATGATGCTCGGTACTGTAGGTGTATGGAACGCATTTTACTTAACAATATTTCCAATCTATACTGGTTTCATCTGGACATAAGTCGAGGGGCATCTGTACTCAAAAGGGAAAGGTGTCAACAGCCAACGAGAGGGCAGAAGCCTGCAGCAGCTATTGCCCAACAGAGTCCGTGGGGCGGGGGTAGCAGGGAGTCAGCTCCCTCATCAGGAGCTGGACAAGAGGAACCAGATCAATTTTTTAGTTTTTGCTGCTAAAAATACAAGTGGGAAAAAACTTTAATGTTAAATAAAATAAATAAATAAGGTTTTTTGTTTTTTTTTTTTACACACGTACACACACACACTAGCAGAGCACATTTAGAATTTTTATCCCCAGCCCGGAACTTAAATTTACATCATGACCCAGAAGCAGAAACTGACTAAACCACTGCCGGTGACTGCTGGCAGAAAGTTGGAAGAAAACAATAAAAAGCTCTGTCTTCCAACACCACCAGGCTCTGCAGCCTCTGGGCCAAATCAGTGTTAGGACAGTCAAGATCCCAAGCTACCCTTGAGTCCCCCTCTGATGACTATGCCTCTGACTATGCCTCTGGTTGTTTTTGTTTGTTTCTTTGGGTTTGTTGTTGTTTTCAGGAAATTACCAAATCAGCCTCCAACCTGGGTAACACCAGCTGATAAAGCGACTCCTTTGCAAGGCTGGTGTCTGCATGGGAACATGAAAACCCAAGGCTATCCCTGTGTGCCGGAAAAGCATCAGACCAGAGGCCATGGTAAGAACAGGCATGGGCCTCTGCACCTCTCCCAGCCTTCCAACAAGGTCTCTTGAGGGAGGAGGGTGACGTGAGGGTGACATGTGGCCGACTTCTGCCCCTGACAGCATCCACACGGTGCAAATCAAGATGAACCAGATCCCCGGCAGACCACACAGTCCAAGCAAAGGACGCAGTCATTGTTTAGCACATCCATGGCTCAGCAGTTGGAAATATCCACCGTCTCCAGCACAGGTACTAAATGGGCTACTGTTAGAACCTTCTGGGGATCGCAGATTTGGGAGAGGAGTAGGTAAGAGAATTTTATTGTTATTAAAGTAAGTCTTTCTGGCCAGCAACAGTGGCTCACACCTGTAATCCCAACACTTTGGGAGGCTGAGGCAGGAGGATCGCTTGAGCCCAGGAGTTGCAGGCCAGCCTGGGCAACACAGAGAAACCCCATCTCTACATAAAATTTTTAAAACATTAGCCAGGTATGGTGGCTCACACCTGTGGCCCCAGCTACTTGGGAGGCTCCGGTGGGAAGATCACTTGAGCCCAGGAGGTGGAAGCTTTAGTGAGCTGAGATCACGCCAGTGCACTCCAGCCTAGGCACCAGAGCAAGTCCCTATCTCAAAATATACAAAAAATAGCAAATGATAAAGCAATGCTTTCTGACCATTGGCTCTGTCTTAGCACAGTAGAGGCTGCTTTCCAAGGCACTGGGGGTGTGAGAGGAAGAGGCAAGACCGTAACAATCAATTGCTGGGGATGCTACAATGAGGATTTAGGGACTGGATAGAAATTTAAACAGAGAAGTTTCCAAACAGGAGCCACCATGAGGTCAGGGGGAGCCGGTATTGAAAGCCCCGAGTGCCAGGCCTCTGCTACGCTCAGTCCTTCTGTTTGATGTATTGGGATTTTGCATAAACATATCATTTGCTATGAGTGTTCCATTGCTTTAAAGCAAAAAACTCGAAAACAACTGGATAAGCACTAATGTTCCTTTTAACTTCCAGATTGTAATGTTCTGTGTTTTAAGTATGTGGGTGCCCAGAGTGTTCAATAATACCCAAAACATAATCATCCTCCTTATCCTCATGTACAACATATAAATATAAACTATTACTATACATAAACAACCCAACCTCAACACTCATTTCCCCTTCCACTGAAAAACTGAAGATCATCTTCTTTGGTTTGAACAGGCAGAGAGGAGCGCTTTCGTTAATGACCTTTTACTTTTCGTCGCTAGGAGAAAACGGTGATGACATCTTTTTGGCCAGATGGAACTGATGGAAGATTTATGGAGCAGCTGAGAACTGTCAGAGCCAGGCAGAGCCCAGAAGACAGTGACCGTGGCCTTTTCATCAGGGAGCACACTGTTTTCTGGACTCTGCTAACACAAGAGAGCCCTATCTACCCAGTCATCAGTGAGGTTATCCCAATACCCCACCAGCTGCTGCCACCCAATCTGGAGGCCTGCGCTCCTGCTCTTGAGAGATGGCATGTGACTGCACAGGAGCCTCAGCCCCCCCTTGCCCCAGTCTGGCACCCAGGGCCCTCCCAGAGTGGGAAACCTCATCCAATGCCTTCTCAGTTACAGAGATTTCAGAAATTAGTCACAGAAAGGAGGGCGGGAAGAGAGTGGAGGTTTCCCGAAGGAGCCGGTAACAGTATCTGGGGTCTTTCCCCTCAAGGTCACAGCAGTTCGATTGTCCCTGAGTTAGCCACGAGTGGTCAAGAATGAAATCAACCTCTGCAAACCCTCTGCTGACTTGCCCACCATTTACTCTACAAAGAGCTCCTATGGGGTAGGGCCTCCCACAAATGAGACTCCTCATTCACTGAGCCTTTCTCTTTGGATATTTTCATTGCTTACCCTGTCCCTTCCCCCAGCCTCAGGGGGCTACCCCAATGCCCACCAGTTACCGGACAGAAGGAAAGGGTGAAGCTGGAGGCTGGATTCCAGCATTTGTTTGAGACAGTCTTGGACTGACTTCAGATCCTCATCTTGTGAAGCATCTCCTATTAAAACACGCATTCGGACTCTGTCTCTGGCCCTAGTGACCAAATGTCCAAAATCTGCACAGGGCAGTCTGAGTCTGTACCTCTTCATATCCTGGAATCATTACTGCTATCATTGTCTTTCACTCTCAAAGTTCCCATGTGGACAATAAACCATACAGTTACCCGACATTTCACTACATCATCACCTATGTTTTTCAGGAAGAATCTGAGAAACCCCAAATAGTTCTGCATGCCAAGAGATGTGGGATTAAAAACAAGCCAAAAAGCAATGATGTTCATTGGTTAGTAACAGGGAAGCCAGAGAAACAAGTCAAATGTCCACCAATAGGAAATGGTTTAATAAACCATGGCTTGTCAGTATGGAATATTATGCATCCCTTTAAAGGGAAAAAGTGGATCTATATGTCCTGATGTAGAAAGATCTCTGAAACAGGCTGGTAAGAGAAAAAAGCAAACCGTAGGTCAATGCAAAATGAATGATCCCTGTTATCTTTTCTTGTAATTATACGTGCAGAGGCGCATATGTATGCATATAAATGCATAGGGAAAGGTCTAGGACAACATTGTCTAATAGAAACAGAATGTGGCCGGGCACAATGGCTCAGGCCTGTAATTGCTATACTTCAGGAGGCAGAAGCAGGAGGATTACCTGAGGCCAGGAGTTTGAGAGCAGTCTGGGCAACAAATCGAGACCCTATCTCTACCAAAACAAAAATGTTTTAATTAGTACGGTGCAATGGCATGAGCCTGTAGTCTCAGCTACTCGGGAGGCTGAGGCAGGAGGATTGCTTGAGCCCAGGAGTTCAAGGCTGTAGTGAGCTGTGATCGTACCACTGCACTCCAGCCTGGGTGATCACAGAGTGAGACCCTGTCTTAAAAAAAAGAAAGAGAGAAAGAAAGATAATGTGAGCCACATATATCATTGAAAATTTTCTAGTATCCATATTTTTACAAAGTGAAATTTATTTTATGTAAACCAATGTATCCAAAATATTACGCAAGTCAATTATAAAAAAATTAATGAACTATTTTACCTTTTTTATACTAAATTCTCAAAATTATGCTTCCAGTGATCTCAATTCATTTCAGCCTCATTTCAGGGGCTCGGCAGCCACATGTATTATTGAATAGCACACATCTAGAAAGACACACAGCTAACAGGTAAGAAGGGTTATCTCTGAGGAGAGACGTGAGACTAGGGAAATAGAGTGATTCGTATAGAATTTGAAATGTTTACAATGAGAATTTATTCCTTACTTATAGAGGCTTATAAAACAATAAAAACTTTTAATGTTTAAACATAAGGAGCAAGAACATGAAATGCAAAGCAAAACCTATATGTGGCTATGAGGAAACAGCATTAGATTTATCAGCCAAAAAGAGAGTTTGCATATTCTTTTTAATATTTGGTCCCCCCCATCCCCCGGGGCTGGCCCTCTGGCTGTGGGGCTTCGCTAGCTTGCCGGGGCACCCCACAGCAAGCCTCCAGAGGGCTGCCTGGCTTGGTTTCCCCATCTAGAAACAGGAAGCCCTGGCTGCCTCCCTGAGGAGTCTGTCATCTCAGGAAAGCAGGATGGTGCTCTCGAATACTCACACGGAAGGTTTAAGTCTGTCTGTCAAAGTGCAGATCCGAAAACCAGTGCCATCAAAATAGCCTGGCGTGTTTGTTTCAAAATGCAGGCTCCTGGGCCAGGCGTTGTGGCTTATGCCTATAATCCTAGCACTTTGGGAAGCTGAGGCGGGAGGATCGCTTGAGGCCAGCAGTTTGAGACCAGCCTGGGCAACGCAGGGAAACCCTGTCTCTATTACACATACTTTTTAATTTTTTTAAGTTTTTTTTTTTTTAATGCAGACTCCTGAGACCTACTAAATAGGAATTTCTGAAGGGAGCCCAAGAATCTGCATTGAGCAAGAATTCCAGGTGATTCTTAAGCCCAACTGAGATACCATGGGTTATCATTCTCTTCTGGCCTTTTTCCCAATGCTGAGGATTCCTGGCTAGAATCTGATTCCAGCTCAAATCCTGCTGACAAAGCCTGGGAGAAGACAGGAAATCCAAACACTCTGAGCTCCCCCTGCCCCACTGGTGGTCCGAGTGCAATGGTGTTTACAACTAATTGGTCACAACCAGTTACAGGTTTCTTTATTCCTTCTCCATTCCCACTGCTTCACTTGACTAGCCTTTAAAACAAAAAAAAAGGAAAGAAAGAAAGTACTTTTTTTTTTTTAAGAGATAAAGTCTAGTCCTGTTGCCCAGGCTGGAGTGCAATGGTGCAATCATGGCTCACTGCAGCCTCAACTTCTGGGTTCAAGCAGGAGTCCGGTCAGATTTTTTTATTTTTTGTAGAGAATGGGTGTCACTGTGTTGTTCAGGCTGGTCTGGAACTCCTGGCCTCAAGCAATCCTCTCTCCTTGACCTCCCAATTAACTGGGATTACAAGTGTGAACCACCATGCCCAGCTGATATTATTTTTAATTGACAAATCATAAATGTATATATTTATAGGGTACAATGCAATGTTTCAATATATGTATGTGGTATGGAACAACTAACTCAAGCTAATCAATATATCCATCACCTTGCTTACCTAATTTTTTATGGTGAGACATTTGAAATCTGCAGTTAGTCATTCTAAAGTGTATAATACATTAATACTGACTACAGCCCCCTGCTGTGCAATGATGTCAAAACCTATTCCTCCTTTGTGTCTGAAACTTTGTACCTTTTGATCAACAACTCTCTACTCCCATTTTCACAACTGAAGGAAGGGGCTGGTTGGCACACAAAGCTCAGGAGAGACAGATTATCCACAGGACTCCTCCCGGGTACTCTTTCCCCTGCTTCACAGGAATCTGACACAGAATGACTTACCACCCACTCACCCCCACTCAGCCACCCTTAGCTGGTTAACAGAAAGGCATTCTCCCCATAGTTAAACATGCAAATGAACGTTTCCATCAAAGCTGAACGTCCTTTAAAAAGCTGGTGCCCATTCTCCTTCCCTAACACCTGGCCACTGTCAGTCTCCATGTGGATGAGAGACAGAAAGAGAGACATTTTCCTTCTCCCCACACCCAGAACCCTTCCCTCCCAGGCCAGGCTGGGCATATTCCCTCAGACTTGGAAACCCTCCTTGCCCTTGAAGGTCATCTCTCTCTCTCCCCCTCTATCTCTCCATCTCTCCTCTGTCAACTGTCTCTTTCTTCTCTCAATCTCCTCCCCCTTCTCTCTCTCTTTCTGTCTTTCTCTCTCTCTGTCTCTCTCTCCCCCTCGCCCCCTTCTCTGTTTCCCCTCTCTCTCAATCCCTCTGTTTTTCTTTCTCAATCTCTCTTTCTCTTTCTGTCTCCCTCTAATATGAGAGACAGAAAATTGGGTCCAATTTTCCAAAATATTGGTTCTGTGTCCCCACCCAAATCTCAATCGAATTGTAATACCCTTGTGTCTAGGGAGGGACCTGGTGGAAGGTGACTGGATCATGGGGTGGTTTCCCCCATGCTGTTCTCATGATAGTGAGGGAGTTCCCCACAAGATGTGATGGTTTAAAAGTGTGGCACTTCCCCACTCTCTCGCTTTCTCTTGCCACCATGTATGACGTCCCTTGCTTCCCCTTCACTTTCTGCCATGATCGTAAGTTTCCTGAGGCCTCCCCAGCCCTGTGGAACTGTGAGTCAATTAAACCTCTTTCCTTTATAAATTACCCAGTCTCAGGTAGTTCTTTATAGCAGTGTGAAGACGGACTAATAACCCTCCCTCTCTCTTCTGCTTTTCTAGGAGAAGCCCCACGAGCAGCGAAGGAAAGAGAAGCAGAAAAAAAGTGGGCAGGTGAACCTTTGTCAGGGGCACCCCGCTACGGAGGAAGGTCAAGGTGAGGTTCAGGAGAGCCGAGACCAGCCCCAAGGAGGTGTGGCGTGCAGCAGCATTAACCACCTGTCCAGATGTTCTGCAGTTGTGGAAAATCTTTCCTGTCATATCACCCTGCCTGCCGCTCTCCAGAGGACAGGGGACAGCAGTCACCACAGAAACCTGGGCAGAATCTGCACACAGTCCCAGGCCCCCTCCACGAACTCCTGAGGATGTGCTGGGGCCAGGACACCATCTCCAAAGAAAAATAAAAGGATGGTACTGCTGCAGCTTAAAATTATGTAGTGTTTGCCAAGTCCAAGGCTTTCCTTTCTGCGGGCCTGGACCCCCAGATGCCATGTCCCTTAGTTGCCTCCTGACTCCATCTCCCCCTGAGGCCCTGCAGAAGGAGAAACAAGCAGGTGGACTTGAACGGGGCCAAATGAAAGCCTGAATCATGCACAATCAGAGAAACAAACTCCCCGTGCAGGAGGCAGTGCACACGCAGAGGGACTTGCTGTAAAGTCACTGCTCAGTGTGGTCCATATTTATCAATCAGCAAGCATTTGTTGGACACTTGCAACCTGCCAAGAAGTGTGCTAAGAATGTGTTCTCCACCTTCAAATGCCTGAAGACCAGGCCATGTGAAAGAAGGCACTTAACAAACTGAAAAGCAGTGCGCAGAGACAGGGATGACTTATTCCGCCTGATTGTCATTATGGTCGCTTCATAGTTGCAGCAACAAAGTGCTTTCTGATGCCTCCTCTGCTCTCCACCCCCACATTCCCCAAGCTCAACTCCAGCCGACAATCCTTGCCAATGCCACTCCAGAGCTTTTTAAAAGGGGACAAGGGGGTACACAAAGGAAACTCTAAGGCCCACTGACTCCCTCCTTTTGTGGCTATTCGGGGTTTTAAATTCTGGAAGAAGCGGGAGGGGAGCTAAAATTAGAGCCAAGATAAAGACACTGTCCAGGTGGAAAGCTGGAGATTGTCCAGGATCAGCTTTCCTCGAGCAGGGCCCTCTGCCTTTTCTTCCTTAACAGCCCTTTGTTCTCTACGCTGGAATACCCCTGTTACCAAAATGCTACCGACAGGTGCTGTTTCTTTAGCACCTACTACTGGGCAAGCAGTACACTAACCCGTTCTATTTGGACCACGTTCCGGTTATCTAACTGCTGCATAACAAACAATCCCAGAACTCAGTGGTATGAAAACAAACGTTTCATTATGCTCACTGATTTTGAGGGTTGGAAGTTTGGAGAGGACACAACAGGGATGAGTTTTCTCTGCTCTATGAAGCCTGGGGCCTCAGCTATGAAGACTGGATCAACCAGTGGGGCGAAGTAGCTCACGCCTGTAATCCTAGCACTTTAGGAGGCTGAGGCAGGCAGATCACCTGGGGTCAGGAGTTCGAGACCAGCCTGGCCAACATGGTGAAACCCCCGTCTCTAAAATTAGCCGGGTGTGGCCGCATGTGCCTGTATTCCCAGCTACTCAGGAGGTTAAGACAGGAGAATTGCTTAAACTTGGGAGGCGGAGGTTGCAGTGAGCCGAGATCGTGTCACTGCACTCCAGCCTGGGAGACATACCAAAAAAAGACCTGTCAAAAACAACAACAACAACAACAAAACCTGGATCAGCTAGGTGCTGGAATCATCTGGAAGCTTCCTCACTCACACATCTGGCACCTGCACTGGAACGACTAGAAGGCTGGCTTAGCTAGAACTGTCCACCACAGTGTCCTACCTGTGGCCTCTTTCTATAGCTTGAGCTTCTTCACAGCTCAAGGGAGTCAGTCTCTCACACAGTAGCTCAGGGATCCAAGAGCAAATGCTCCAGTAAACAGAAAAGAAGGTAAGTGGCTTTTTCTGACCTACAGCTTGCAGTCTCATGGTGCCACTTCCTTAGTACTCTATTGGTTGAGGCAGTAGAAAAATTGCTGTATTGAAAGCGGGAGGACATAGACCCTACCTCTCAATCAGAAGAGTGGCAAAGAATCTGAGGCTATATTTTACAATGTTATCTTCTTTAGTTCTCACAAATAATCTTTTGACAAAGTACAAGTATTATCCCATTTGACAGATAAGAACACTGAGGTTCAGGGAGATTAAACAATTCCATGCAGTAGGTTGCAGCCCTACTCCAGAGCCTGAGTCTGCCCATCAGATTTCCCGCCTGGCTGATGTTCTCCTTTCTTCTGGATCCTCCCCAAGTCCCCTCCACCCACCAGCCCAAACTCAAGGCACCTCTTCTTCCTCACTTCTTTCTGTTGGATTACCTGCTCTCAATTTCCTTCTTCCCTGGGAGTAGCCAGTGGCACTCCCTCCTCCATTCCATCTTTGCCAGCCTGGGGCCCAGGATGGAAGCTTCAAGGAAGGCAGTCCCCCAGGTTTCCCCAGTCTCTGAAGCCAGCTACTTACAGACTCTTCATACTCTACAAGGCTAGAGTGGGATAGGCCTCTGTCCTCTGGAATCCCCACTGCCTCGGGCCAGCTGTAAGGGAGGTTAGGGCCCTGACATTGCTCTTGACCAGTCCCAACTGGGAATCAAACACCCCACCCCGTGTTTGAGTGGCCCCTTCGTACATTATCATCAAGTGTCTTCAACTAAAAAATGAACGTTTTGAAAAGACAAACGGGAGAATGGCAAAAATATTTGCAGCACAAAATAAAATGACAAAGGGTTCCTAAGATCTCAATAGATCAAAGATGAAAACAGATAATACCTTTTCTTTTCAATTTTTTCCCTAACTCCCCAAACTTGTTAAGATAACACCTCTTTAAAAAGAAAAATACAAACGGGTTTAAAACACTGAAAAATAGGCCAAGCACAGTGGCCCACATCTGTAATCCCAGCACTGTGGGAGGCCAATGTAGGAGGACCGCTTGAGCCCAAGGAGTTCCAGATCAGCCTGGGCAACGTGGCTAGACCCTGTCTCTACAAAAATTTTAAAAACTAGTCAGTCATGGTGGTGGTGCACGCCTGTAGTCCCAGCTACTCAGAAGGCTGAGACTGAAGGATCACTCGAGCCCAGGAGTTCAAGACCAGCCTGGGAAACATAGGGAGACCCCTCTCTCTCCACAAAAAATTTAAAAACTAGCCAGGTGTGGTGGCAAACACCTGTAGTCCCAGCTACTCAGAAGGCTGAGGTGGGAGGATCACTTGAGCCTGGAAAGTAGAGGCTACAGTGAGCCGTGATCACACCACTGCACTCCAGCCTGGGAGACAGAGTGAGACCCTGTCAAATAAATAAACAAACAAATAATGATTAAAATAACTAAAACTAATTTTATGCTATTTTCACCTTGTATTTTGTAAAGATTTTTAAAATGAAAATTCCCAAATTGCTTTCCAGAAGGATTGTTCAAAATTATACCCACATTTCACTCATGTTCTCTTCCTGAACAGCAGCAATCAGGAAAAACTCCCTGGAAGAGGCAGGGCTTAGACTGAGATTTTAAAAGGGGGTAGGCCTCAGCTCTCCTTCCAGGTTTACACTGTGCATGTTTCCAAACTCAAAGAATTTACACTCTTCTGGTTGCATTGCTCTGTAAAGATCTGACCCACTACTATGTATTAAAAAGGGATGCATGATAATGAATTCAGCCCTCTCTGTAAAATCCAAAGGGTCCTATTGCAGTTTCCCCCATTTAATGGGTCATTAAAATATTCTTGGGAAGGACAAAGCTTTAGTTAACTATGAGAAAAACAAGCAGAACCAGCCCTGGATTCTGTCTTCAAAGATTTTACCATGTTGGCAGGCCTGGTAGTCCAGAGCCCAAGAAAATATCCCAGCCACAGATACCCTAGATGTAGACTAGCAGTGCTACAACCTCAAGGTCAGAAGTATGTCACTAGACCAGAGCCAAAAATAGGTGCTATATCATTAAGAGAGTAAAAATGCAAACCACAGACAGGGTGACATTATTCACAATAAGCATATAACCCACAGGGGACTCCTATCTGAATATGCAAAGAACTCTCACTAATCAATAAGAAAAAGGCAAAAGATTTAAACAGGCACTTCACAAAAAAAGTATATTCAAAAAATCAATAAACATTTGAAAAGATCCTCAATTCACTAGTTATTAGGGAAAGGTGAAATAAAACCACAATGAGACACCCCCACGCCCCCACCAGAACGGCTTAAAATCTAAAACATGTAATACCGAATGTTTGCAAGGATGCGGAGAAACTGCCATTTTTGTACACTGCCAGTATGAGGGTAAATCTGTACAACCAGGTTGGAAAACGCTGAGTAGAATGTACTCTAGCTGGATTTGTGAATATCATATGATCCAGCAATTCTACTCCTAGAAATTTACCCAACAGAAATGTGTAAACATGTTCACCAAAAGACACACGCAAGACAATTCATAGAGGCACTCACTATTCCTAACAGTCAAAAACTGGAAACTACCCAAATGTCCATCAGCAGAGAATGGCGATAAACAGTAGCATCTTCACATAATGAAATGTTTCGACAGCAATGAAAAGTAGCTAGCTACAACTACAAACAATGTGATTGAACCTCACAAACATATACTAAGTAAAATTATCAGACACAAAGAGTGTATATACTGTATTTAGATACATGTGAAGTCTGAAAACAGGCAAAACTATTCTGTTGTTAGAAGTCAGAATAGTTACTGCCCTGCCGGGAAACAGAACTCAAGAGGGCTTAGTAGCTACTGGTAATGTTCTGCTTCCTGAACTGCATGCTAGTGAGGCAGCTGTTATTTTGTGCAGTCCTGTGTTACACTGGAGTTAAAAGTTCCCCCAAAATCAGAAAGTGTTCAGCAAGTGGAAGCAAGTACACTGCTGGACTTGGCTGGGAACTTAGGGGATCCCATAATTTGTCACAGGCACAAGCAAAGCCAGCTTTCTTGCCCTAAGTAGCATCTCCCAGAGTCAGGATCCAGGAATGGTTTGGCAGGCAGGATGCAAGGCAGGATTCGGGAGTGGCTGAGAGTTTTCCCAGTGCCACCTGGTCCCACCTCCCCTCTCCCACTTCTAATGAACGGGCAGTACAGCTTCTGTTAGGAAAAGAGCCTGGGTCCCTAGGCGATGACTGTCACATCTAGGGAGAGGGCGATGCACTGGGGTCCTCACCTACACCCCCCTTGGCTGTCTCACCACTCTGAATTATAAATGCCCGGACTTCCTCATCTCCCACCCACACATCTTGTTAGAAGAAAAGAAACGAATCTCCCAGGGCTCCTTCTAACAAAAGTGTTCATTCAGAGTAGCCCTGCTTGAGGGCCCCTGGCCTGGAGGAGTGGGAGAGGCAGCCCTCCCCCTCCAGGAGAGTCATCTCCAGGGCTACCCAGGACTGAGTAACTAGGTCACCAGAGTAACCAAAGAGGCCAGGAGACAAGGGCATTCAAGCATTGGGCCAGGAATGGGAGGGTGATGTCCAGTTCATGTTCTTCTGGTTCCAGCATAGCACACGGTGCAAATGAACCATCATGCAAGAAAACACAGCTAGTCTCCCTTCCTCCACCAGCAACCTTTGGTTACTGATAATAATCAAATTCACTATTTTTTTTTTTTTTTAACTAAGGCTGAGATAATGTCAAAGGACCACAGGGAATAGGAAGGCCTAAACCAAGGCCTTAAAGAATGAGAAGAAGATTCATTCAAAAAAGCCTCCTAAGGGAGGAAGATGTTTTTCCCTCCTTTACTTTTCTACAGTAATTTTTATTTTGGATAAATAAACCCTGATAAATGAGAACCCACGCTTTCCCAAGGCCAGGCTGTGTTTTGGTGGGTGGTCCTCCGTCAGCAGTTGGAGTAATCCAGAGTGATCCCGGGCAAGTCGGAAGGGAGCAAGTCTGTGTTGAAGCCAAGAGGTATCTTTCCCTACAGCTTCTCAAGAGAGGGGATCCCCGTGGGTAATTGTGAGGCTGGAAACACCGAGAGGCTGACTCCCATGTTTATAGAGGTCATTGATGGGTTTGTGCATGGAAGGCAGGAGGAGACTGAGAGTGCTTTGTTATTGTTATTTGGTTTATTTTTATTTTTAAAAAACTGGATACAGCCGACTTTGAATACAGAAAATGAAAAATGAGGAGATTTGCATAACAGCGCTTGGACGTCTGAAGGGGCCCAGGGCCTAGCGGCTGGTGGGGCACCTAGAAACACTTCTGCCTGCAGATCGCGGAGGGTTAGCCACAGGAAGGGGTCGCCTAGGCTGGCCACAGGGCCTTTGCTGTGACTGAAGGACCAGCCTTGGCGGCACCTTCTTTCCCCTCTGCCCTGCACTCCGGCCCCGCCGGAGTCAGAGCTGACTTGCTGCAGGTTGGGGAGAGGACAGAGGCTAGGACGGTGGCGAAACCTCACCTCGTCGCAGTCCGGAAGGTAAACTTGGACCCGGCAGGCACTTCCTAAAGTCCAAGCTGCCCTCTCTGAAGAATAAACCTGATTTTCCTCCGGACGCGGACAAAGGAGGATTCGCTCACAACTAGCCTGTAACAAAGATTCCCTATTTTCGTGGTTAGGAAAAAAAAAAAAAAGGAAGCCCTCCGGGAGAGACATGCGCCCTAATATTTCTCCCAGATGGGCCGGTTTCAGCGCGTTTGAGAGTTTGCTCTCCTACCAGCCTCGGGTTCTAGGCCCCCCGCACCCTCATCCTGGCTCCCGCCCCTTCTCTCCACCCTCCCGGACCCCTAAAGGGGCGGCGGGGCCCAAGCCGAGGGCGCTGCGCCTGACCCCGAGCGGAAGGGCCCCAGTCTAGGTCCTAATGCGGGTGGCGTCTCCTTTGACAGGCGGCGTTTGGGGACAACAGCGGGGACGAGAGATAAGGTGACATACCAGAGCAGATTTGGTGCGCGCGCTGATACTCCTCTCCCGACAGGAAACGCGGAGCTATTTAAAAGACCCTATCGATTACTTTATCTTTCCTGGAGGAAAGCTTCTTGCGGAGAGACAAAAGATGTTCCCTGCCTAAAGACACAAGGCCACACAACGGAGGGTCTGCACAGGCGACGCACAATTCGGCGCGGGGAAAGCAAAAACACACTGACGCTTAGAGTGCACAAACGTGTGTGTTCCCAGAGCAGCTCCAGAGTGCGGCAGGGACGCTGGGGGCGGCGAGGGGCACCCACAGTATGGTCTTCTGTGCCCTTGGAAAGTTTTTTTTCACCGTATGCGCGTAAAACACGCACACACAGAGAAAGTGACTGTGCACTTAGGGCGCCTGTGTGTACCCGTGTCGTTTTAGCGAATTTAAAGCACATCAGGCCGGGCGCCATGGCTCACGCCTGTAATCCCAGCACTTTAGGAGGCCGAGGCGGGCCGATCACCTGAGGTCGGGAGTTCGACACCAGCCTGGCCAACATGGTGAAACCCTGTCTCTACAAAAAATACAAAAATTAGCCGGGCATGGTGATGCGTGCCTGTGATCCCAGCTACTCGGGAGGCTGAGGCAGGAGAATCGCTTGAACCCGGGAGGCGGAGGTTGCAGTGAGCCGAGATCACACCACTGCACTCCAGCCTGGGCGACAAGAGCGAAATTCCGTCTCAAAAAAATAAAATAAAATAAAATGAATAAATAAAGCACATCAACTCCACATTCAAAGCGGGTTACTGGTGGCTGTAGATGTATCCCATAGACACAGGTCTAAAATGTAAACGCTCCATTGTGCTCCTTTTAAGGGCTTGAATGTCTGCAACTGTCATGTGTACACTTAAAGTATGGGATGTGTCAACACGACCCTTTCTAGCGCGCTCGTTTCGTGTCTGAATCCCCGCATTTCGCCAATTTGCTTGGAGCGCAGAACGCCCTCCGCGAAAGGCGGCTGCTGATCCCGACTTTGCTCCGGTATCGCGCAGCTTGTTGGCCTCCGGGTCCCCCGTGCCATGCCCCCGGGAGGCTCTCCACAGACACCGCTTGCGCCGAATTATACGAGACTGAATGGGTTTTTTTGGTGTGTGTGTGCAACACAACAATTTGTCAGCTGCTGTTCACAATGCGCTCCGCCGGGCGGTGGAAACTTGGCTGCGGTAACGCACAGCAGGTTGGAGGGCACGACCCGGAAGGAAGGAAGAGGCGAGGAGGGAAAGGCGGCGACCCTAGGCCCGCTGGCCAGCCGTTTCCAGCATCAATTCAGCACTGAGCCGGCCGCAGCAGCACAGGGCTGGGGGCTCCCGGAGCTGCGGCCAGCCGGGGTTTCGGCCAGAGCCGCGGAGGCTGCCCGGTGGTAGGTGCGACTCTTCACCTCTCCGGGGAGCGGCGGCCGACGACCCAACCCACCCGCAGCGCTGCCGTCGGCCCGGCTGGTCCCCCGCGCGGGCACAAAAACAGGCGGCAGTTCGCCAGCTCTCTTTTCCCAAACCTGAACCGCCAAGCCGAAGGTTCTTCCAAAGTCGCGGTTCCCCGGGCTTCACACCCGCCGGGCAGGCGCGAACCAGCCCCAGGACAACCATTTTCCTCTTCACTGTATCTGAGTCGTTGTCCATCTGACTCGAATGTCACCTGATTTTCCCAGCTGTGACCTCCAGCGACGGGACTCCGAGGAACTGATTCCAGCGTCTCGATTCTCTCCGCCTCTCCGCCCGTTTTGGCTGAAGCGGTTTGCAGCCGTCGGGGCAGAAGGGGTGGGATGTGGCAGCCACCAGCCCCAGCCCAGAGAAGAAAAGAGGACGAAATTAACGCGAAAGGACACCGGAAGTCTGAAAGCGACTCCCTCGGATCCTCGGAATCCGAGGCAAACCCTAACACTAGTTTGAAAGCGGATCATATCCACTAATCCAGGACAAATTCGGGTTGGGAAACATACTCCCCAGAGCCTAAGAAAACTGACTTACAACAAAACAAAACTGACAAGGACAAAATGCAAAGGAGTTTGTGAAACGTAATTGCTCTCAGAAAATATGTGTATATATATACATCCTATAATATGTTTTAAATTTGCAAAAAAAAAGTCTCTAAGAGGATATATTTTTAAAACCAGTGGCAGCTTGGGAGGGAGTGGGGATTAGCTGAGAAGGGGAGAAGGAAGCATTTTTGAGGTGACGTAAATGTTTTTGTATCTTGATTATGGTGGCTGTTATGGGGGTGCACATCCAAGTGTCAAGACTCATCGAACTGTACACTTTTGTTCTAGGTACATTAGACCTCAATAAAGTGGATTTTAAACCTAAATAAGCCAGGTAACAGCTTTGCCTGGGTGGCTGGGGGAGAGGCTTGGGACACTTTACATTGATCTCCCTCTTAGGCATGTTCGTTTTGGTTTGGTTTTGTTCTTATGATGTATTATTTATTCAAAAATATATCATTAGCAGAGTGACTGATGTAAATGTAAAACCATTGTTAAGGAAACCAACAAAAGCGGGAACAAGAGACACTGGTGCATCCTGTTAGAGGGATAAGAATAAGCACTCGCTGTCCAAGCTCATAAAATATTTTGGAAATGAATGTCGTTCCGCTTTGTTTTTTTGGTTTTTTTGCTCATGTGTTTAACATCAACGAGAAATGAGGACCCAAAACTTATCCAGTGGTTACGTGTGGTGTGTGTGGCTGTCATCTCCTTGGGACTGGCTACTGAAGGCCACAGGCGTGGGAGGACCAAATGCTCCCTGGATGTTGAGTCCCAGCCGGTAAGCAGCACACAGTCCCGCTTGCAGCAAAGATGTGGTGGCCGGCTGCGCTGTGGGGGAAGGCCAGGCCCGGACAGGAACCTCAGATCTCACCGGCGGATGAGAGTGGTGCCCCCTGCAGCTGGAGTCCCTGCTGGCCTGAGAGGCTCCAGGCTGTGCCACCGTTGGGCAGACCCCACACTTCAGGGAGCTGCCAGGATCAGTGGCTACAAGAGTCCCCACCGTGTTTGGAGAAACTAGGTATGAAATATTTCCATTTACACCCCTACCCCGGCCCCAGACAGGAAAGTCACTTCAACCTTGTTAGGTCAGATTCCAGATCTGGTTCAGATGCAGGGCTATTTCAGAGAGATTTTTAGAGGCTGACTCTCAGGAGAGGGAAGGACAGTGGGCTGAAGGCCAGGGGTCAGGAAATCTAGGAACTGCTAAACTCCTCTGCTGGCCTGCGGGGAGCGCCCGGGTGGGGCTACCAAGGCCACAAGCCAGTTCCATCTTCCCACTTTGCCACCTTCTCACAGGGACCAGGCTCTGCATCCTCAGTGACCACAAGACTTGGGCCTGCCCTCTAGTTTGTCTATACCTGCCCCCTCCCTTGACTCATACTGTCCAAGACCCCAAGACCAAACCACAAGTCAGGAGAGATCTTGAGGGCAGCCAGTGCCACCAGGGTCCTGTTCCCAGGTACTACTAGACAAAGGCCACCCTTCCTCCCCTCTCTCTAGGGCTCCGCTGACCACCCTGCACAGTCTTCCTACACCACGGGCTCCGCTGCCACCCCTTCACAGAGAGTTCACTGCACCGCTGCTTCGGCTGCCTGTCTCAAACCATACACACACCTTTGATTCTTAAACTCCAAGATTAGGATGGGCCCCAGAAATCTGCATTTTTAATATGTACCTCAGAGGATTCTGGCCTAGATATTTCTACAGCCCCAAAAGTAACAAGGAACCTGTTCCAAAAAGTGTATTACGGAAACTGTCATGTTTATTCTTGACTTGCCCCCCAATTATTCTTCCCCTGAAGTTTTCATCACCAAAAAACCCCACATGTGAACCATATGTGTACATATGCCCATATTTAAAATACAAATTCTGCACCTGGTTTGCTATTTAAAGTATCTCAAAACATATCCATAAGAATACATATGAATGGAACTAATTCTTTCTCATGGCATATGGTATTCTGTTCTATTGGTACAACATAATTTTTTAACCAGTCCTCAGGTATATATACACTGGTTTTTTTAACATGTTTTGATTCTTAAAAAAATTAAAAACGGTGATGAAAATACTTTTCTTTGCATATATGTATATACCTATAGAATGGAATCCTAGAAATGAAAATATTTGTTCAAAGAGCTTATTCATTTTTAATTTTGGCAGTACCACATTGCTCCAAAGAGGTTTACCAGTTTACAATGTAGAAGCATGACGAGGCAACTATTACACTTTTTGATCTTCGTCAGTCTGATAAGTAAAAACATTTGCCTCTCTGTGTTTCAATTTGCATTTCTTTATTTCTTTTTATTTTTTCCAGCAAGGCTCTGATACTCTTGGTCATTTTTCAAATATTTTTGCTGGATCATTTTCTTATTGATTTACAGGTATTCTTTCCAAATTGTGGAAATCAGTACTTTGTCATGTATTTCTAGCATTTTTCCTGAGTACAGTTTTCTGTTGGATTCTATTAATGGTATTTTTGCTGTGCACAGATTTATTTTTATGCAATCAGGTTTATATAATTCATCTTTTATAGTTTCTAGGTCTTTTGTTCTCTTAATCCCCCTCTCAAATATAAAAGCACTCCAAAATTATTATTTTAATTATCTGTAGCACTTTTGTGTTTCATTTTTAACGTCCAAATGTTTGATCTATCTGAAATTGAATGTATTTGGTATAAGAAAAATCCATCACATTTTCCTTACGTTAACATCATTTTATTTTGAAAGCATATTGTCATATAGACCATCCCTCCCCCCACCCCAAATAGCATAATATTGCAATTGGCGGGGACTTCTCATCTTAACCAGTTTTACTTTGTTGGTTAGACAACTACCCACGTGCCTGTCTACCTCTGCCCACTGTCCAGGTGAGTTCAGGTAACAACCTGGGATGTCTCCCAGGATAGTGTCGCTGGAAAGGAACGCTGTGTACACCTCATACCACCAAGGAGACAGACACAAAACTGGGGACCAGACAGGAAAAGAGACATGCTCAAGATGAGCCAACTGCTGAAAAGGCAGGACCACACCCACCGCGGGCTCAGAGGCCAGCGCTCTTTCTGACACACGCCTGCCTTTTTCAGGGTCTGTGCATCTTGGGCTGTGCAACCCCAGCACCTGGTACATAGTGGGCACCCACTCAATGTAGGTGAAGGGATGGAGAAAATCAGGCCAAGAATCCAACAGTGACCAAGCTGTGGAGTCACTTGGCAGCTGGGTGAAAGCTACGGTCCACTCTTTTAGCCTCTCCCCTCACAGCCACACACACACACACACACACACACATACGCACAGTATCCACTAGCCATGTGGATCTGCTCTTTCCTTCTGTGGGCTCTAGGCCCTTCCTATGGCTGAGCAAGTTTCCATGGACAGCTCTTAAAGCAGCTTGGAGACTTTCTGTCTGTCCTAGCTGGCTAGCAGGGGGCTGGGGAGGGGTGGGGGGTGAGGGAAGGAAGCCAAAACCCAGCTAGGCAATAGAGAGTTAGTATTTCCAGTGCTCTGCTCAGACAGCCCAGAAAGCAGGATTGACTACATAGTTTGTGGGCTCAGCGCAAAATAGAAATGTGGAGACTCTGCTTAAAAACTTATGAAGAGTTTTAAGACAGCAACAGCGGAACATTAAACCAAGCTCAGGCCCTGTGAGACTGCACAGATGCCATGCCCATGAAGGATAGGGTTAATTATGGAGGAGGGGGAAGGGCCCTTTCAAGGACTCTAAAGCTTCAGACTGTAAGGTAGAAGTGGGCTGGAGGGGTATTCATAATAGACAAAATGTGGAAATAACCCAAATGTTTACCAAGTGATGAATGGACGAAGTGTGGCATAGACATACAATGGAATATTGTTCAGCCATTAAAAGGAACAAGATGCTGATACGTGCTACAGCATGGACGAACTTTGAAAACATTATGTTAAGTGAACGCTGCGAGACACAAACAGCCACATATTGTATGATTCCATTTGTATGAAATGTCCAGAACAGGCAAATCTATAGGGGCAGAAAATAGATTAGCAGTTGCCTAGGGCTGGGAAGGTAGGAGAGGGGATTGGAGTTGATGGCTAAAGACCACAAGTTTGTTTTTGGGGTGATAAAAATGTTCTAAAATTGTGGTGTTGGTTTCACAACTCTGTGGACATACTAAAAATCACTGAACTGTATACTTTAAATGGGTGGATTGTATGGTATGCGAATTATATCTCGATAAAGCTGTTATCAAAATAGGAGAGGGAAGGGAGAAGGGAAAGGAAAAGTGGGAGAGCGAGGGGAGGGGAAGGCGGAAGTGAAATGAACGCATGTTAAATTCCTCTCTCCCCCTCTCTTTCTCAAATGAACTTTATGCAGGAAATCTCCCTTGTCTATGAAGGTTGGGGAGACCTGGCATCTCAAATCCAACAGCCTGGTCCTCTCCCCTGGCTGCGGGGTGGGGGGTGATGGTGGGGGTCTTGCTCTTCCTCCAGTTGGTACGGTCTTGGGCGCAGCGACGTGTAATAAAAGAAAACAGTCTCAGCTGTGCAGTCAGCTGTGTGTTCGAATCCTAACACCCTGACACTGTCCTTTCCCATCTGTGTGACCCTGAGCAACTTACTCCACGTCTCTGAACCTCATTCTCCTCAGGCCTGCAGTCGGAATAAGAGGATCCGTGACGAGATCCGTGAGAGCGCCTGGCACACCCCGTGGGCACTGAACAAGCGTGGAAATGAGAAGGATTTGGTGCCAGCTGAGCCACCTGAATGAGGCGAGTCCCGAGGCAGGAAAAATCCGGTGCCGCGGAGGCCGCCTGGACTCTTCCGGAGCCAAGGGCGAGGTCGGCGGCCCTCAGAGTCGCCCCCCGCCCCCAACTCCCGGCCAGGAAGGAAGCCGGGCGGCGGAGGGGCCCAGCGCGGAGGCGGAGGCGGAGGCGGAGGCGGAGGCCGAGGCCGGGAGTCCGGCGCGCAGCCGGAGCTGCTCATCCATCAGCCGGACGAAGAGCAGAGTCGCGCTCTCGGCCCTCTGTTTGCTTTCTCGCCAATTATTGCAGCGCCGCAGCCCCTTTGTTGATACAGTAGTCCGAAAAAGTGCTAATGTTCATTTATCAGGGGGCCAGCCGGGGACTCCCACGAGTTGCGATTCTTCCCAAAATATAAACATGGGGCGAGCGTCCCAGACAGAAACTCCCATCTGTTTCCCCCGCGCGGGCCGAGAGCGAGGCGTTGTTGAAGATAAAGCCGCGGATAACGCCGCCTGTCTCCAATGGACGTCTCCCCAGCGCATTAATGACATTCCCGGTGATAGTTCCAGCTTATCTTTCAATTAATCATATATACCTTTTGCGACCAGCCCTGCTGATTGCACGAAAGGGGGGCCGGCTCCGGCTGCGCCGATCGCTTTTCAATTAATAATAATTTATTCACGGAGAATGCGCTCGAGCCACCCTGGAATTTGGATTATCTTAAAGCACCAACTCTTTAAAAGTCAAGGAAATACACAGATAGATTTTCGATCTCTTCTCTCTCCTTTTGTCTCTCTCTGCCTTTCTCTAGGCTGAAGGCTGTTTGTTTGTCCTGCTAGTTTGGTCAAAGTGCGGCGCAGAGAGGCGGCCAGGTTGGGTCAGCGGCCCTTGGGAAAAAAAGATGTGTCCCTGTTGGGGGCCAGAGAATCAAGTTTCCTCCCACCCAACCCCCAACTATTGCAATTTCTATTTAGATCTATTTAGAGGGATTTTTTTTTAACTCACTCGGAAACAGTGAGGACTGGAAAGAAAAGCTGCAAATGGCTCTCGGACTTTCCTCTAAGGAGACCAGCATGGGTCGCCCCAATTTCTATTTTGCACGTATTTGTCCGTTTTTGCCCCATCTCCTCTCTCCTGCAACACCAAGACCTTTTTGGAAGCCAAGAGAAATCATTACCCGATTCACAAAGAGCATAGAGAGTGTAACAGTCACTGATCTTGTTCAAATAGGGAGAGTTTTTTTTCCTTCCCTTTTTGTAACACCTGACCCACAGGACTGACAGTTCTAGGAAGCCCCCTTACCCGAAAATAGGAAATAAATCCTTGCCACCTTGATTTGCAAGGGCAATGCTAATTTTTTTCTTTCTCCAGAGCTCTCAAAAAAAAAAAAAAAAAAACCTTACTAAAAACAGGGATCCCGGATGTAGCCTCGATGTCCCCCATTAAACGGTAATATTTCAGGCGTCCGCTCACACTAATCTTTCAAACTGTCATCGCGAGCCGCCTGGCCAGCAGATTCACTTAACAGCGCTCCCAGGACCCTCGTTCCGAGCTCTTTTCAGCGAGACATTTAATTGAATCGGATGTGGCTCGTTTGCCAGACGTCACCGCCTCGGCGATAGGCATCCTCTCCAACGACACCCCCCCCCGCCCGCGCTCGAAAACAATCTTCAAAGGCAAGGCGGGCCCCCAAGCTAGGTTAATTTACAGCCATAACGGTAACGTGGCCAAAAGTCCAGGCGAGGAAGGGCCGCAAGGCCGCTGACATGCAGCTCCGTCCAAGGAGAATTTGGGTTGGGAGGTGAAGAGGTGGGGGGACGAGGTTTCCTGGGCCTTGAACGCCCCACATTTAAGAAAAGGCATCCTCCACAGACTAGACTAACAATTCCAGACCCCCAGTAGTCCCTGGCTCAGAAACTCGAGGCGTGATTTCGGCGTGGCAGCCCAGGCCTGTTACTGACGGCTGGCGCCTAGAAGCCGGGGTCAGGGCGTTGCGCGCCTCCTGGGCTGCCCTGCGGGGCTCACCTCTCTCCCCAGCATGGAGGCCCCAGGTCCTGGGAGTGTGGCTTTGATGAGGGACAGGAAAAGTCCCAACATCAGGCCAATGCTTGACTTCACTTGCGTCGGCGTCTCAGACGGCACACTGTCGGGTTTGAGCACCCAAGATGTACGTTCTGGACAGACACTATTTTGTCCCCATACATGGAGCGTTTCCTCCGCACCTTGGGCGCGCCTGCGGGAGCTGTGTCTTTAGGTAGTTTTTGGCCCTGCGCCGCCTTTATTCTACTCCAAGCGCCTCTTGCCAACCCGCACTCCGCAAAGAGCCAAGCCCTCCACATCCCCATTCTCAGCAAGTCCACGCGTCCCGCCCAGCTTCCCGCCCGCGGTTCCCTGTACCAGCTAGGGCCGTGAGAAGCCAACGCTTTTCCACTGACAAATCCTGTCATCCCCAGCTCTAGAAGGCGTCCTTAACCTGGGCCCGCTCTGCCTGCCCGGACTCCTGAATTGTAAGCAAAATAAAACTCCTCTCTGCAGTGTTCTGGGGAATGGAGAAGACCCCAAGCTTTCATCAGACCTCCCAAGGAGTGCGGGGACCCAGAGAAATGAGGCCACCCGGGCAGGATCTGGCCATGTAGCTGGCGCTCCTGAAACTCTGGCAGATTTGTCTGACTTCTGTGCCCTACTCTACTGACCCTGGGCTAAAAATGATCATGATCACCCCACTTGCCCTGCCCTTCCCCCACGCGCCTGACCGAGCCGCAGGGGTGCCCCACTGGAAGTCCGGCCCAGAGGCCTCAGAGAAATCCTGGCCTAGCTGGGCTCAGAGGAGCCCCGCCTCCCTGAGAGCTAAACCTGGGCTAGGACCCTGAAACCTCGAGGTTGGCAGAAGCCTGAGGGCCTTGCTGCCAGGCAGGGAGGGCACGGGAAGGAGGGAGGTGGGATCGATGGCCTCCAAACAGGGGAAACAAGGTGGCTGGTAGCTGGGGCACTCCACAAGACAGGTGTCTCCTGGGAAGCTGAGCTTACCAGCTGGGATTCCTGATTTATTTCATTATTAAGGGGAGAGGCATTTCCCTGGGAGGGTACTGGCAGTGACTGATGCCCCCTGGAGTTGTGCTGTGCATAACACTACTGTAGGAGGCAGCAACTCCTACCCCACCTGGCCATCACTCACCTTGCCCTTACTTTCGTTGACTCGCCCAGAAGCACCCAGAGCCTGCGGCATGACTGACCCTGTAGGCCAAGCCAAACCAAACCCCCGAATTGTCCAGAATCTCGCCCTGCTGCTATCCCCAAAGCCAGCCCTGTCCTCCAGGCTTCTCTTCCTATTCAGACTCTCCCTCATCCCACCACCTTCAGTAATAAAGCCTTCCTCAAATCACTCTCCTCCCCACCGCTTCCCACCCCATCCTTCTCTCTCCCATGCTGGTTTGGGTGCTGAGGAATATTTCTTCAAACCCACACCCATCCAGCCCTGCCCAGAGGCCTGACTCTGCATGCCTCTGGTAGGCTTTTCAGGCTCACATTAGGGAGCAAACGCAGGCTGCAGGAGCAAAAGGAGACCCTTCCAAATGCGTCGTGGCCCCTTTAAAAAAGCTGGGCAGGGCTTTTTTTTTTTTTTTTTTTTTTTTTTTTTTTTTTTTTTTTTGCCGTATGACTATATTAGGTGACACGAAACTGCTCATCGCTCCTGTCATCGAGGCCCCTGGCCCAATGGCAGGCTGAGTCCCCCTCCTCTGGCCTGGTCCCGCCTCTCCTGCCCCTTGTGCTCAGCGCTACCTGCTGCCCGGACACATCCAGAGCTGGCCGACGGGTGCGCGGGCGGGCGGCGGCACCATGCAGGGAAGCTGCCAGGGGCCGTGGGCAGCGCCGCTTTCTGCCGCCCACCTGGCGCTGTGAGACTGGCGCTGCCACCATGTTCCCCAGCCCTGCTCTCACGCCCACGCCCTTCTCAGTCAAAGACATCCTAAACCTGGAACAGCAGCAGCGCAGCCTGGCTGCCGCCGGAGAGCTCTCTGCCCGCCTGGAGGCGACCCTGGCGCCCTCCTCCTGCATGCTGGCCGCCTTCAAGCCAGAGGCCTACGCTGGGCCCGAGGCGGCTGCGCCGGGCCTCCCAGAGCTGCGCGCAGAGCTGGGCCGCGCGCCTTCACCGGCCAAGTGTGCGTCTGCCTTTCCCGCCGCCCCCGCCTTCTATCCACGTGCCTACAGCGACCCCGACCCAGCCAAGGACCCTAGAGCCGAAAAGAAAGGTGAGGAGGAAACACAGGCCCCCTTCTCCCCTCCTGGGTCGCTTTCGTCCCCAAGAAACTCAGGGCCAGGAGGAGGAGACACGCGCCCTTGGGCCGAGGGCTGGGCTGCGGCGGGGGGTTCAGAATGTAAGATGCCTGGTGTTGTCGCCAGGCTCCCGCGCCCCGCGTCCAATCGGAGGTTCAGAGGAAATGCCGGATTGAAAGGATCAGAAGCAAGAGACCAAAAAACGTTTCCCCCCGGCCTAACAAAGCCCCGGGCGGCTTCGGCTCTGCTCCTGGGTCTGGTAGGAAGTTGAGAAATCGGTTTATGGTAGACAGAACAGAGAGACAAGCAGATAATCTCTGTTTTTAAATCTCCTTTGGATTTACGAATCTTTTTAAAGATCTGATGAGAACCGCTAAACAGAAATTGAAATGTTGCTCACCAGACAGCTTTTGCGTACAATCGGAGGAGGGTCCTGGACCTTCTTTCTGCAGCCCACCCACGACCCGGGTTTCTGGTGCCTTTCTTTCTTTGCGCCAGGAAAGTGGAGTCTGGGATCGAGGGCCTTGATTTTAAAATGGGATACTGCGGACCCTCAGGAATCTGACTTCACTTTATTTTTTCAGCACAACTTGCCGGCGCGGCCAGGGCGGAGAGGTTCCCTCGTGGAAAAGTTAGGAAATGCTGCGCTACCGCGGGCACAAGGGAGTGGACGAGATGAGTGCGGGATCATCCCGCAGGCCATCCCAGGATCGGGGAGGGAGGCCGGCCCCGCTGCAGAAAGGGGCCTTCTGGGAGACCCCCCAGCCCAAGGCAGGAGCCCGGGCGATTCCCGGGAGGCCGCAGGCGCTGGGCGAAGCGCTGGGCGAAGGGCCGCTGCCAGCCGGGAGAGAATTCATAGGTTTGTTGAGGAGCAGAGGCCTGGGAACAAATTCGGGCGGGCACGGCGGCTAGAACTGATCGCTACCAATTCGAGGAAGCCAGCAAGGCAGGTTCCGAGGCCGCCTGCCCACCCGCAGCTTCTTGGACACTGCGCAAACCCTGCTGCGGCCAGGCTGGAGCCTCCGATCACCAAACCAACACTCCCTGGCCTTCTGTTTCTTGATTCCTTAATTTTGAGATAAGACCGTCCCTAGCAGTGAGGCCTCGGCCTCTGTTCATTTAACTTCTCAAACCAAACTAGCCCTAATTCAGTTCACCCCAGAGCATCACCTGGTTTTATTTTTATTTTTTTATTTTTTTATTTATTTTTTTTTTTTTTGCAGCCTGAAATTTTAAGTCACCGTCTGTCTCCCTCACCAGGGTGTGAACTGCCCCGAGGGCAGAGACCTCCCGTTTTGTTCTCCAGCGCCTTGAGCCAGCCTGACTTTCTACAAATGCTGAGTGAGACGTGTCGGTGGCTCCCAGTGCACTTGGCAGAGTGAGCCGCAGCCAGCTGGGCGCTCCAGGCAGGACACAGTGGCCTCCACGAGGATCCCTTACCATTACTGTGCGGCCGCGCTCCGTAGGTCAAGCCGCTCTTACCAAGCGTCTCTCTGCCTCTCTGTTCCCCCTCAGAGCTGTGCGCGCTGCAGAAGGCGGTGGAGCTGGAGAAGACAGAGGCGGACAACGCGGAGCGGCCCCGGGCGCGACGGCGGAGGAAGCCGCGCGTGCTCTTCTCGCAGGCGCAGGTCTATGAGCTGGAGCGGCGCTTCAAGCAGCAGCGGTACCTGTCGGCCCCCGAACGCGACCAGCTGGCCAGCGTGCTGAAACTCACGTCCACGCAGGTCAAGATCTGGTTCCAGAACCGGCGCTACAAGTGCAAGCGGCAGCGGCAGGACCAGACTCTGGAGCTGGTGGGGCTGCCCCCGCCGCCGCCGCCGCCTGCCCGCAGGATCGCGGTGCCAGTGCTGGTGCGCGATGGCAAGCCATGCCTAGGGGACTCGGCGCCCTACGCGCCTGCCTACGGCGTGGGCCTCAATCCCTACGGTTATAACGCCTACCCCGCCTATCCGGGTTACGGCGGCGCGGCCTGCAGCCCTGGCTACAGCTGCACTGCCGCTTACCCCGCCGGGCCTTCCCCAGCGCAGCCGGCCACTGCCGCCGCCAACAACAACTTCGTGAACTTCGGCGTCGGGGACTTGAATGCGGTTCAGAGCCCCGGGATTCCGCAGAGCAACTCGGGAGTGTCCACGCTGCATGGTATCCGAGCCTGGTAGGGAAGGGACCCGCGTGGCGCGACCCTGACCGATCCCACCTCAACAGCTCCCTGACTCTCGGGGGGAGAAGGGGCTCCCAACATGACCCTGAGTCCCCTGGATTTTGCATTCACTCCTGCGGAGACCTAGGAACTTTTTCTGTCCCACGCGCGTTTGTTCTTGCGCACGGGAGAGTTTGTGGCGGCGATTATGCAGCGTGCAATGAGTGATCCTGCAGCCTGGTGTCTTAGCTGTCCCCCCAGGAGTGCCCTCCGAGAGTCCATGGGCACCCCCGGTTGGAACTGGGACTGAGCTCGGGCACGCAGGGCCTGAGATCTGGCCGCCCATTCCGCGAGCCAGGGCCGGGCGCCCGGGCCTTTGCTATCTCGCCGTCGCCCGCCCACGCACCCACCCGTATTTATGTTTTTACCTATTGCTGTAAGAAATGACGATCCCCTTCCCATTAAAGAGAGTGCGTTGACCCCGCACGTGTGCTTCTTTCAGCTTGCGGCGCTTCAGAAGCAGGAGAGAGGTGGCCGCCCGGGACTGGTCTCAGATCTCAGGCACAGGCATTCCCTGAGCAAATTGATAACATTGATACTAATAAAACCTAACCCTTGCTGGAACCATACTGGTTCCGTGTCGGGCACTTTCTGAGATTGTCTCATATAATCCTCAATAATCCAAAAAAAAAAAAATCCTAAAGTTTAGAAGCTGAGGCCCGGAGAGGTTTAATGACTTACCTGCGAGCAAATAGCCAGTACTAGTCGAACTCTGGTTAAATTCAGGATGCCTCACTTCAGAGACCGCCTTCCCTGTGCTCCCAAGCTCCCCTCCTTGAATCCTAATGTGTGCCAGGCACGGTTCCAGGCACTGGGCATTAAATGGACAGCAAAAGAACCTGGGCCCTCTGTAGCTGGAGAGCACCGTGATCATCCCACTTAAAAGAACTCCTTAGCCTGTTTCCAGATGGAAAAGCCAAGAACCCAAGCCCTTGGCAAGCGTTCTCAGGCTCCTCAGATGCCCCCAGATGCCACGTCGGGGCCTCATCAGCTGCCCGTGGGACTGAGTGCCGAGGCTGGACCCCAGAGAGGTGTCCTGCGGATGGTGCTCACCTCCAGCTGTGGTGAGGCCCCATAAATTCACATGGTCAAGGGAGCCCCTAAGCCCTAACCTTACTGATGTCCTTTCCTTAGGGCATTTAATTTCACCATAGTTCTGACCAACAAATGTTACTAGTGTCCTGATTTTATAGATGAGAAAACTGAGGCTCAGCGAAATCAAGTTTAAACCCTGCTTGTTATGGGACTTGCCCACTGCATGCCTCGGTGGTGGTGGTGGCGGTGGTGGTGGTGGCGGCGGCGGCGGTGGTTGCTCTTGTTTGTCTGTAAAATGAGGATAACAAACACACCTTGCTCGCATCCAGGATCGCCAGTCAGCAGGTGCTGGGACCGGACCTCCAGCTCCTCTATCACCAGCCCCAGAGCCTGAGGAACTGACCCAGGATCTTTTTAAGATACGTCTTTAAAAGGGACCAAAGCCAGAGGGAGTTGAGGATTTGTTTTCTCACTGGATATGGGTTTTTCTGATATTTTGCCCAGGAAGCACTGAGTTGGAGGCCTGGGGCATTGGGGCATCCGGCTGAGAGCTCCCTGACACAGCCAAAGCATTGCTTGTGGCAGCCAGGAACCGAGTGCTTCTCAATGTTCCCCTGACTCCCAGTAAGGGTCGCCAGGCTGGCCTGGCACAACCAGGAGCTGTCCTACTGCCTCACCAGGAACCATGCAGCCCCGCCAGCGCCTGTGGTGTCTCTCTGGGTAAGTGCCACACGCCCGTGGAAGAGGGGAGGATGCCAGGAGGTTCTAAGTACAACCACTGTCTATACCCAGTGTTACCACTGGACACAGTAGGATACAAGGGCAGTGGAGTGCAGGCAGTCTACCATCACAGGGTTCTGGGCTGTGCTGTGGGAAGGAAGAGGAAAGGGCTGTGCTCAAGGCTTGGCTGAGTAGAAGAAGGGACCTGAAGGTCTGGGCCAGCTGGCAGCTAGAGAGAGCCATCAGGAGTGGGAGCCGGATGATCAGCTCAGCCCTGGCATTCCACCTCCTGGGCCTGTGACCCTGCTGCGAGTCTTTAACATGTTCCTGTCTCAGTCTTACGGAGGGACACACTGAGGCTCCTCCAGGTTGCCAGACCAGCTCCTAAGCAGGACGGTGCTCTCCTGCTAGGCAGCCCCAGCCCACAGCCCCAGCAGGCCTAACTCACACAACTGGGAAATTCTTCTATCCGAAATGACCCGTATTTGCTCTTAACCAGATCGCTGTGGCCTCCGTCCCGCACTCCTGTGGGCCTTTTTCACCTTACAGGTGTCTGCAGTAGCATTAGAAACAATATTTATTTCACTTAACGTTATACCACGAGGATTTCTCCATGATACTTCCCTCTTTATGTGTCATACTCTCCCTTGGGGGACCAGCTGAGTGACCCAGGATCTCCTGCAGCTTTCCCAAGGCGCTCACAAAGGCTAACAACGGCTGGCTGGCATCTGCCAGGGCTCACCAAATGCCAGCAACCCCAGCTAAGTGTATACAGGAGTTCTCTCACCGAACCCATCTTCATTTGCAGACCGGGAAACTGAGGAGGTTACGTGGGTGGTCAAGATCATCCAGTCTCTAAGCGGGAACGGGAGCTGGGAAACACACAGGACACATACTGGGGAGAGTGTTCCTGAAGCCAGAGCCCGCCACACTGTGGATGTCTCTCCAGTAAAGATGCAGACAGAATGGCTCCAGGCCGCGCTGAGCAGAACCCAGACTCTTGCCAGTGGGGTGAGGATCTCAGGCCTCACATCCAGGCTCATGATGGGGCAAGCTGTAGACGGCAGAACTCAAGGAGCCGGCAGGGACTGCCCTTGCCTGGCTGGGGCGAGGCTTTCCTGCGTGGATGCTGAGTCAGGGAGCGAGGACTCAGGCCGGGACAGGGTCAGAAGTATCCTAAAGTAACAACACCCCGTGTTTACATGGCGACCCCCACCCCAATTATATCGGTGATATTTGTTCTGTGTTCAGTTGCTAATTGTATAAACGACGCATTCAGGGTAAGAAAACTCAACCGGCTCAGAGAAAAGCAAAACAAAGGAGAAGTGTGGGGCGCCTCCGAGGTGGCAAAGCCAGCGGAGATGAGGGTGGCGCAGGCATGAGCTCTCCATGCCTAGGGCGCCAGGGAGGCACCTAGGGGACTCATTTTATTTTTAGTATTTTTTAAAATCGAACAAGAACACGCCGCAGTTAAAAAAAATGGAGATAAACAGCGATATTAAAAGGAAAAAATGGGGGAAGGAAGGTAGGTTTATTTAAAAAAGAAAGGGAAAAAAATTAGCTTGGTGGTTCCCGGCAAAGGCGAGCCGGGGCTGGGGGTCCCCAGCACGAGGCCACCGCCTCCCACCCGGCCCCCGCCGCACTGGCTCCGCCGTCCCTTCGTTTCCTTGGGTCATTCCCAGCCCGCAGGCACAGGTTCGGCCAAATCAGAATAGCTCCCGTCCTTTCATTTTGTTTAGATTTCACCTTAAGTCGACGCCACGGTGTGTATCTAAATACCTGTATTTTTAAAGGACGCGCGGAAGCCGCAGGTTTCACCGCTGACTCGGAAACATCACGCGGTCCCGCGCGGGAGTAGCACCGTCTTCCCCGCAGCGCCCGCCCCTCGCATCCTCCGGGAAGCATTCCGAGCTCAGGCCCAGCGCTTCTACGCCGCAGGCAACAGCCTTGTGGCCTCTAAGCCTTGCCGACTCCCCTACCAGGCTGAGCTCCTGGAGAAAGGGGCCTGTGGCCTGCCTTTAATTTATCACTCACAGAGTTTATCGCGTGCCAGGCACTGTTCTGAGCTCTTTACAAGTGAACCCATTGAATCCCTTTTTATACCTCTGGGTTATCGTGAGGAAACAGATGAAGGATTCATTTTAAACCCAGAAAGAAGGAGTACGTTGCCCAGGGTCACACAGCTGGTCAGTGTCAGAGCTTGGTTTCAAGCCCAGGCAGGCTGGTTCCAGAGCCCCAGTATGTAGCGTGGTCCCATCCCAGTTCAGGACTGGCAAAGAGTAGGCGCCAGGAAATGTTTGTCCATTAAAGAGTACAGACATGATATTAGCTAACAATTCCTGGATGATTTCTATGTGCCAGGCACAACAAATTACCAGAGAAGCACACTTATTATTCCCTTTGAGTCTGAGAGGAATCTCAGACGGGATGGTGGCAGCTGGGACTCCAGGGATGCAGCCCGGCCCTCTTGCTGCGACTCAGAGGAGAGCTCACCCCAGTGGTGAGCAGTGAAGAGACCCGAGGGCGAGACCCTCAGATCACCATGGGCTCCTCACCCTGCTGCAGCCCACAGCTGCGTGGAATAACAGTATGGATTATTGCCTAACATCTGTTGGTGCTTACTTTGTGCCAGGCCCAGGGCTAAATGCTTACCCTGCAAATCTCATTCTGTCATTTTCCAAGGAGGAAATTGAAACCCGGAGAAGTTAAAAACATCACCTACCTAAGGCCACTCCAGTAGTGTGGAGTGGGGAAGCTGGTGCTGGGATCCAGATGGTTCCAGAGAGCCCTAGCTCTTCAACCCACTCTCAGCAGCTCCCAAGCCTGCCCAAAGAGACAAACTGCCTGGAGGCCGGGACAAACCCAAACCCCTGCCTGCCCCAGCTGCCTTGAACTGGACTCCCCAGGGACAGGGCCTTCAAAACTGCATTGGTGTCCAGATGATTCTCATCATTTGGCAGGTTGGAGAACCGCAACCGCCACCAGCAGAGGCCCCAGACTGCACGGGCTCCAGTTCTTGAGGGCCTGCAAGAAACTGGAGTCAGATTTCCCCTCTCCAGGCCCTGCTCTTCTATCTCAGGGTCTCTGTGTGTTTGCTGTGATCCAATGGCTGAGGCACAAGCCAGGCAGCCCTGGGGACCCCGGGCAGGAAAGTGGAATGGTGGAGGCTGGGAGAGGGACTCTGGGACATGCCCGTCTCAGTCTGGACCCCAAAGCCATCCCTGTGGCTTGTGAAGCTCAGGTCCTGCCAGTGCTGCTTTGGAGAGAAGAGCAATTTGGGGGGAATATTCCGAGACAGTCCATTTCTTCTACCCAGATCCTAAACTCCACACCGGAGTCCTGCAGGAAGCAGACTAGGAGCAAACCAGCCTCCGTGGGGGCTTATAGTATGCCAGGCTCTCTGCGTGAGCTCACTGAAGCTTTGAAATCTGCTGTTCATTGTGGAGTCCATTTTACAGATGAAGAAAGTGAGCCTTAAAAGGGTTTTGTCAGGGCCGGGCGGGGTGGCTTACGCCGGTAATCCCAGCATTTCAGGAGGCAGAGGTAGGTGGATCACAACATCAGGAGATCGAGACCATCCTGGCTAACACGGTGAAACCCCATCTCTACTAAAAATACAAAAAATTAGCCGGGCGTGGTGGCGGGCGCAGTGGCAGGTGCCTGTAGTCCCAGCTACTCAGGAGGCTGAGGCAGGAGAATGGTGTGAACCCGGGAGGCGGAGCTTGCAGTGAGCCAAGATCATGCCACTGCACTCCAGCCTGGGCGACAGAGCAACACTCCGTCTCAAAAAAAAAAAAGGTTTTGTCGGGCCAGGCACAGTGGCTCATGCGTATAATTCCAGCACTTTTGGGGGCTGAGGCGAAGGATTGCTTGAGCCCAGGAGTTCAAGACCAGCTTGGGCAACACAGGGAGACCTTGTCTCTACAAAAAAAATCAAAAAATTAGCTGGGCATGGTGGTGCACGCCTGTGGTCCCAGCTACTCAGGAGGCTGAGGCAGGAGGATCGCTTGGGCCCAGGAGGTCGTGGCTGCAATGAGCTATGAGTGTTCTGCCGCACTCCAGCTGCACTCCAATCTGAGCAACAGAGTAAGACTTTGCCTCCAAAAAAAAAAAAATTTTTGTCACTTTCCCTATTCCTGCAGTTAGAAAGTAGCCAAGCCAAGTTCCATGACCAAATGCCCTTCTTTCCAGTATACCCTAAACTATCCTCACCTATCTTGAACTCCAGCTCAGCAGACGTCTTGAAATGGACTCATATTAGCCTCACAGCACTCACCTCACCCCCTGCCCCTGACTGGTTTTCTCTGCCTTCAGCTTTTCAGGTGAGATCTTTAAAATAAGTGGCTATAGGCTGAAAGTGCCTCCTGCAATTAACCAGTTTACCCAGGCCCTGGACCGCCAAACAGCTACTCAGCTGCTTAAACTGGCTCATAAGTACAGACCAGAGACAAAGCAAGTGAAGAAGCAGAGGCTTTTGTCCCAGGCCAAGAAGAAAGCTGCTGGCAAAGGGGACAGCCCCACTAAGAGACCATCTGTCCTTTGAGCAGGAGTTAACACCATCACCACTTTGGTAGAGAACAAGAAAGCTCAGCTGGTGGTGATTGCACACAACGTGGATCCCATCAAGCTGGTTGTCTCCCTGCCTGCACTGTGTCATAAAAGGGGGGTCCCTTACTGCATTATCAAGGGGAAGGCAAGACTGGGGCGTGTAGTCAGTCCACAGGAAGACCTGCACCACTGCCGCCTTCACACAGGTTAACTCAGAAGACAAAAGAGCTTTGGCTAAGCTGGTGGAAGCTATCAGGACCAATTACAACGACAAATATGATGAGATCCACCGTCACTGGGGAGGCAGTGTCCTGGGTCCCAAGTCTGTGGTTCACATCGCCAAGCTTGAAAAGGCAAAGGCTAAAGAACTTGCCACCAAACTGGGTTAAATGTACACTGTTAAGTTTTCTGTATATAAAAATAATTAAAACAATACAAATTTTCCTTCAAAAAATAAAATAAGTGGCTATATATGGAAAGGAGTCTGCATTTTCAATTAATGCAACCATTCATTATTCATTATTGTCCTTCTGTGGCCCTTCATAAATTCCCATGCAATCTCAGCAATAGGAAACATGTATTGCTAACAATGTTAGCTTAGCTTTCTCCTTACAAAAAATTGTTTTAGGGATGGGGTCTTGCTCTATTGTCCAGGTTGGGCTTCAACTACTAGACTCAAGCAATCCTCCCACCTCAGCCTCACAAATAGCTGGGACTACAGGTGCTCCGTCATGTGTAGCCTCTTCCTACAAATTAAAAAGAATAGCTTCCCCTTCCCCCAACTCCAGGCAAATTTGATGCTTAATTATCACCATATTTGTTCTCTCTGGTGCCTATTTTCACATCTTTCCATGATCCAGATTTCCTAACCACCTAGTGTAAACTCTTCAAAAGCCTTTCAAAAAGATTTGAGGCTTAAACAGTGTAAATAAATAGATGATGGTTTGAAATATCCCTAAATGTTTTCCAGATTCAGTGCACTCTCAATCAAAGTGCTAAGAGTGCATTTGTGTATTCTGTAACGTCACAGCTGAATGGAAATTTCACATGGAAGTGTAGAGATCTAAGAATAGCCAAGAAATTCTTTTTTTTTTTTTTTTTTTTTTTTTTTTTTGATGACAGGGTATCACTCTGTCACCCAGGCTGGAGTGCAGTGGTGCAATTATGGCTTACTGTGTCCTCGACTTCCTGGGCTCAAGCTATCTTCCCACCTAAGCCTCCTGAGTAACTGCCACCACAGACGCACACCACCATGCCCAGCTTATGTGTGTGTGTGTGTGTGTGTGTGTGTGTGTGTGTGTGTAGAGGTGGGTTTTCCCTATGTTGCCAGATTGGTCTTGAACTCCCGGGCTCAAGCAATCCTCCCACCTCAGCCCCCCAAACTATTGTGATTTCTGGTGTGAGCCACCGTGCCTAGAGTCCAGTCACACAGGCTGGAGTGCAGTGTCATGATCTTGGCTCACTGCAGCCTCAACCTCCTAGGCTCAGGTGATTCTCCCACCTCAGCCTCCCAAGTAGCTGGGACTACAGCTGCATACCACCATGCCTGGCTAATTTTTTGCATTTTTAGTAGAGATGAGGTTTCAGCATGTTTCCCAGGCCGGTCTCAAACTACTGGACTCAAGCAATCCATCTGCCTCAGTCTCCCAAAGTGCTGGGATTATAGGCATGTGCCACTGCACCCAGCCCCAAGACATTCTTAAATAAAGAAATAAGGAAAATGAGGTGGGGGGTTCTTTCCTATCAGTTAGCAAGGCTTGTAAAGCTATGGTAGTTAACACTGTGATACTGACACAAGGGCAGAAACATAGATCAATGAGAGAGAACAGAGTGCCTAGAATCAGAAGTATACATATACAATCCATGAAAGGGTTAGTTTTGTTTTGGGGGAAGTGAGATTTGGTTTTTTAATTAAAAGAAGTTTTTTTGAGACAGCGTCTTGCTCTGTCACCCAGGCTGGAGTGCAATGGCACGATCGCAGCTCACTGCAGTCTTTACCTACCAGACTCAATTGATCCTCCTGCCTCAGCCTCCCAAGTAGCTAGGACTACAGGCGCGCCACCACGCCCAGCTAGTTTTGTTGTTGTTGTTGCTTATTGTTATTGTTGTTGTTTGCAGAGACAGGGTTTTACCACATTGCCCAGGCTGGTCTTGAACTCCTGGGCTCAAAGGATCCTCCCACCTTGGCCTCCCAAAGTTCTGGGATTACAGGCATGAGCCACCACACCTGGCCCAGAGGTATTTTTGAAGTTCAGTGGGGAAAGGGTGAACTTTTCTATAAGTGGTTCTCCATAAGATTTAGAAAAAAAAGAGAGAGAGAGAACATCATTCACAAAATCAGATCAAGGTTAATTAAAGGCCCACCTATGAAAAGCAAAACTATGTAACACTTAAAAGACAACATAGAAAAATATTTTATGACCTTATGTTAGGAAAAGATTACTGAAACATGACTCCAAAAAGCACAAACCTTAAAGGAACAGCTGGACTACATTAAAATTAAAAATCTACGCTTAAGCCCAGGAGTTAAACCCATACTCCCCAAGACACCACACATAGAGTGAAAAGGCAAGTCAAGCCACAAAATAGAAGATATTTGCAATATATATAGCCAACAAAGCATTAGTACCAGAATATATCGTGAAATCCTAACACTTCCTGGCCACTGCACTCCAGCCTCTCTGACTTCCTTACTGTTATTCCGACAAGCCTGGCAATTCCTGCCTCAGAGTCTTTGCACTGGCTGTTCCCTTTGCTTGGACTGTCCTTCCCCCAGAATGTCTGCCTGGTGAATTCTTCATCTGCTTCCAGTCTTTACCTAAATGTCACCTTATCATGAGCCCCTTTCTGAGTACCCTATTTTAATTTGCACTCCTATGCACATACTCCTGGTAGCCCTACCTTGCTCTGATGTGTTTTTTTTCCATTAGACTTTATCATATCTAACATATTCTTTTGTTGAATGATGTATATCCCAAGCACCAGAAAGAGGGCCTGGCACTTGTAGGAGCTTAGAAAAAAATGATGCTGAATAAACAAATGAAGACAAATTACCGAAAGGGGGAAAATGGGCAGGAGAAATGAACAGGGATTTCAAGGAAAAGGAAGTACAAATGGCCCCAAAATATATAAAAAAATATACTCTGTTTATTACTTAGAAAAACAAAAAGTCATGATGAGACAATACACTTCATATAACAGATTGGCAAAAATTAGAATTGGGATAGAGTAGGCATCAGTGGGAATTCTTCTGGTAGGGGTGTAACTGAGGACAAAGACTTTAGAAGCCAGTTTGGCACAACTTAGTAAATTTGAATACGAGCCTACCCAAGATCCAGCAATTCCTCTTCTAGGAATATACACCAGGGATAGTCTTGTATATGGGTACCTAGAGACATAAGTAATGAAGTTCAAAACAGCCTTGAGTGTAAGGGTATGTCCTTGAAACCACCAAATTGCCTATCAACAGTTGGACAGAGTTATAATTAAGTTGTAGAAAATTCACAGAGTGGAATATTATACAGCAGTGAAAATGAAAGTGCCACAGCCACACTCAACAACATGAATCAATCTCAAAGATGAATCAATGCTCTAAGGTGAGCAAAAGAAGCAAGTCACTGAAGAATATAAACAATGTGATTTATTTTACATAATAGTCAAAATAGGCAAAACAAAATGATGTTTTAGTTAGGGATGTGCACCTGGATTTCAAAACTATAAAGAAAAACGAGGGAATGATTAACTCAAAATTCAGATAGTGGTTGCCTCTGGGGGAGAGAAAGAAAATGCAATGGGAAGGAGATTTCAATAGGAGCTGTGGGGCACGTTATTGTCTATGTCTTGGTCTGGGTGATGGGTACTCGTTCATTTTATTATTCTTTAAGCTATATATGTACATGCTCTTTATTTTTATTTTACTATTTAACTTTTAATTGAGGTAAAACTTACAGTAAAGTGCATAAGTCTTAAGTGTTCAGCTCCACCTAATTTTACAAACTATAATACTCTTTTGTTTATGTATGTAGCATACTGTATTTTACAATTTTTTTTGAGATGGAGTTTCGCTTTTGCTGCCCAGGCTGGAGTGCAATGGCATTATCTCAGCTCATCGCAACCTCCACCTCCTGGGTTCAAATTATTCTCCTGCCTCAACCTCCCGAGTAGCTGGGATTACAGGTATGCGCCACCACACCCGGCTAATTTCTGTATTTTTAGTAGAGACGGGGTTTCTCCATATTGGTAAGGCTGGTTTCAAACTCCTGGCCTCAGGTGATTCGCCCGCCTCCGCCTCCCAAAGTGCTGGGATTACAGGCATGAGCCACCATGCCTGGCCGTATTTCACAATTTTAACATGCACTTCCAAAATTAATCATGGACTTTCACTACTTCACTTAGAATCAGAAGGCTCCACTTAAGATATATACATGCACGCATACATACATATATATATATGTACACACACACACACACACACACACACATATATATAAACATTTTAAACAAGGTCTTGCTGCCACCCAGGCTGGAATGCAGTGGTGCAATCATAGCTCACTGCAGCTTCAAACTCGTGGGCACAAGCAATCCTATGTCAGCCTCCTGAGTAGCTACTACTACAGGTGCTTACCACCACACCAGCTAATTTTTAAATTTTTGTAGAGATGAGATCTCGCTTTGTTGCCCAGGCTGGTCTAGAACTCCTGAGCCCAAGCGATCTGCCCGCCTCGGCCTCCCAAAGTGCTGGGAGTACAGGAATGAGCAGCAATATAACATTGTCAGAAAAAATTATGACCCTTGTGCCTAAACAACTCATAATTCATTTTTCTCCCTTTCAAAAGTTAGTACAGAAACGCATTTATAACCAAATTTATGAGATTAAATAAGCACATTTTCATCATTTACTCAAATGTTCATCCTTGTTTTCAGTAGATTCAGATGACCTGGAATTCCCCACCCCAAGCCCACCCACCCATTGTCTTCTGAAAACAATCACTTCCAGCTTGTGAAATAGTAAAATTTCACTAGGTCAAAGGTTCTCAAACATTTTGGTCTCAGGAAGCTTTTATATTTTTTAACAATTATTGAGGGCCTGGAGTGGTGGCTCATGCCTATAATCACAGCACTTTGGGAGGCCGAGGTGGGAGGATCACTTGAGGCCAGGGGTTCAAGACCCACCTGACCAACATGGCAAAACTTGGTCTCTAATAAAAATACAAAAATTAGCCGGGTGTGATGGCACATACCTGTGATCTCAGCTACTCAGGAGGCTGAGGCAGGATAATTGCTTGAACGCTGGAGGTGGAGGTTTCAGTGAGCCAAGATTGCATGACTGCACTCCAGCTGGGTGATAGAGGGAGACTGTCTCAAAAAAATAAATAAATCATAATAGGCCAGGCATGGTGGCTCACACCTGTAATCCCAGCATTTTGGGAGGCTGAGGCCGGCGGATCACCTGATGTCAAGAATTCGAGAGCAGCCTGGGCAACATGGCAAACCCTTGTCTCTACTAAAAATACAAAAATTAGCCAGGCGTGGTGGTGCACACCTGTAATCCCAGCTACTCGGGAGGCTGAGGCAGGAGCATCACTTGAACCCAGGAGGCAGAAGTTGCAATGAGCCGAGATTGCACCACTGCACTCCAGCCTGGGTGACAGAGCAAGACTCTGTCTCAAAAATAAAAATAAAAAATTATTGACAACCCCAAAGAGCTTTTGTTTAGGTGGGTTATATCTCTTGAGATTGATCATGTTAGAAATTAAAAAGTGAGAATTTTGTAAACATTAATATTAATGTTTATTAATATGCATTATTAATACTAATCAATTTGTGACTAGTTACTAATTCATTTCAAAATTATAATACACTCATTACATGAGCTCTGAAATGAAGAATGAATGAGAAGCAAAGATAGATGTAAATAAGTAAGCAAATGTAAGCAAATCCTGACTATAAAGTGTAGGGTTTAAAAAGGGGGAAGCTGGCCAGGCACAGTGGCTCATGCCTGTAATCCCAACACTTTGGGAGGCCGAGGCAGGAGGATCCCTTGAGCTCAAGGAGTTTGACACCAGCCTGGACAACATGGCAAAACCCTGTCTCTACAAAAAATACAAAAATTAGTAGGATGTGGTGGCGTGCACCTGCACTCCCAGCTACTCGGGAGGCTGAGGTGAGAGGATCACCTGAGCCTGGGAGGTAGAGGCTGCAGTGAGCAGTTCACTCCAGCCTGGGTGACAGAGTGAGATCCTGTCTCAAAAAAAAAAAAAAAAAAAAAAAAAAAGGCAGGGGTTGCAGAAAGCTAGAATTAAAATACCAGACAACAATAACTTCTAAGTCAGGAGGAATTAAATGGAGTTAAAGTGTGTTAGTTTCCAGAAAGAGGGTGGAGGTTTTGAATCATTGTAGATTTTTCCAGCAAGGCTGTATTTCTTGACCTGGCTGGCTGTTATATGGGTGTTACTTTATTACTAAGTAAAACCGTGAATATGTGTTTTTAGTAAGTAAAACTGTGACTGTGTGTTTTATGCCTCATGCTGTATGTATAGCTAACAGTTAAAAATATGCTTTGAAATTTTTCACAAAACGTCAAAGGAAATGTCAAAGGACATACAGTGACAAATCAAAGGATATACAGCGACAAGGTATCCAGAGATACCTTACGCACAAACAAGCAAACAACTACTTCTTTTCTTACCCTTTCTACATAAGTGGTAGATTTTCATCTTACTGTTTTTGCATCTTGCCTTTTTTTACTTAATTTTATTTCTGGAGATTGTTCCATATTAGTTTCTAAAGGAAGTCTCATTCTTTTTATTATACCTACATACTATTTCACTGCATGGATGTACTATAATTTGTTTAACTAGTTCCTGTTAAAACTATTTCCATTTTGTCTTACAAACGATGCTGCGATGAAAAACTTTATTGTCATTTTGTATAATTACAAGTACATTTATGTAACAGATTATGATTTTTTTATTAAGGTTTTTAATGATGCCAGGCACAGTGGCTCACGCCTGTAATCCCAGCCCTTTGGGAGGCCAAGGTGGGCGGATCATGAGGTCTGGAGTTCGAGACCATCCTGGCCAACATGGTGAAACCCTGTCTCTACTAAAAATACAAAAAATGAGCCGGGCATGGTGGCACGCGCCTGTAGTCCCAGCTACTTGGGAGGCTGAGGCAGGTGAATCGCTTGTACCCGGGAGGCTGAGGTTGCAGTGAGCCCAGCTCGTGCCACTGCACTCGAGCCTGGAGACAGACGGAGACTCTGTCTAAAAAAAAAATTTAAAAAAAAGATTTTTAATGATGATATTCTGCTACAGTCTTCAAGAATTTTTTTTTATTCTGGCTACTGCTATATTAACACAAAACACTTCTTCATCATGTGTTTTTAAAGGCTCTTTCAAGTTTTTAAAGGGTCTTTAATAACTTGAAAGAAATAATCCCTTCGTGGACTATTTCTTAATTACAGAGTATTATGCTACATTTTGAGGGGTTTTTAATACTGTCATATATTTTATCATTTATCTCTAGTTATATGAAATGGGGCTGAGTATAATGGCTCACGCCTGTAAATCCAGCACTTTGGGAGGCCAAGGTGGGATTGCTTGAGCCCAGAAGTTCAAGTCCAGTCTGGGCAACATAGTGAGACCTCGTCTCTGCAAATAATAATAAAAACATTAGCCAGGTATGGTGGCACACACCTGTGGTCCCAGCTATTCAGGAGGCTGAGGCAGAAGGATCACCTGAGCCCAGGAGTCAGAGGTTGCAGTGAGCTATGACCACACCACGCACTCCAGCCTGGGTGATAGAGTGAGAATCTATCTCAACCAAAAAAAAAAAAAAGGGAAAGAAAGAAAGAAAGAGAGAGAGAGAGAGAAAGAAAGAGAGAGAGAAAGAAAAAGAGAAAGAAAGAAAGAAGGAAGGAAGGAAGGAAGGAAGGAAGGAAGGAAGGAAGGAAGGAAGGAAGGAAAGAAAGGAGAGAGGAGAGAGAGAAAGAGAGGGAAGGAGAAAGGAAGGAGGGAGGGAAGGAAGGAAAAAGGAAAGAAAAGGAAGGGAAAGGAAAGGAAAAGAAAGGAGGAAAGAAATGGTATTGCTTAATGGTATGGCTTAAATTTCTAGGGTAGCAGATGACAGCATCTGACTGGCTAAACAAGCAAAAAGGAGGAATTTGTTGAACGGATCCTACTCAATCCAAGGAGCGGGATCCAAACAGCAAGGTTAGGGGATGCAGAATCAGCACAGCCCAGAGGCCTCCCTGGGGGAGGAGCTCACAGCCCTCCTCTTTAGAGAACTCCATTAACATCACGTGGCCTCACTGAAGCTCCAGTCACTGTCCCGTAACTGGGAGAGAGCAGCTGACAGGCTTAGCTTAGGTCCAGCTTCCCCCTTGGGTCAATCAACTGGGCCAGAGAGGAGCTCAGGGCCCACCCTGGACATTGGGTCTCTTCCCAGAAAAGGGGACATCAGGATCCAGCTGGCCCTGCCACCAGTATGACACCAGTGGGGCGTGGAATCCTTAAGTGCACCCTGGGGAGCCCAAGGAGAGACTTGCAGGGACATGATTCCTTCCTCTTCTTGAAAAACAAGAATGACAAAATCCAGAACACTGACAGTAACAAATGCTGACGAGGATGTGGAGTAGGAGGAAGTCTCATTCATGACTGATGGGAATGCAAAATGATATAGACACTTGGGAAGAGAGTTTGACAGTTTCTTACAAACACAAACTAAATGTGCTCTTACCATACAATTCAGCCATCATCATCCTTGCTACTTAGCCAAAGGAGTTGACAACTTAGGTCCACACAAAAAGCTGCACACAGATTATTATAGCAGCTTTATTCATTAATTGCCAAAAACTTGGAAACAACCACAGTGTCCTTCAAGGGGTGAGTGGATAAATAAGCTCTGGTACATCCAGACCACAGAATATTATTCGGCACCAAAAGAAATGAGCCATCAAGCCGTAAAAAGACATGGAGGAAGCTACATGCATATTACTAAGTGAAAGAAGCCCATGTGAAAAGGCTACATACAGTATGATTCCAACTCTATGACATTCTGGAAAAGGCAAAACTATAGCAACTGTAAAAAGATCCATGGTTGGCCAGGCACGGTGGCTCACGCCTGTAATCCCAGCACTTTGGGAGGCCAAGGCGGGCGGATAACGAGGTCAGGAGATTCAGACCATCCTGGCTAACAAAGTGAAACCCCGTCTCTACTAAAAATACAAAAAAAAGTAGCCGGGCGTGGTGGCGGGCGCCTGTGGTCCCAGCTACTCGGGAGGCTGGGGCAGGAGAATGGCGTGAACCTGGGAGGCGGAGCTTGCAGTGAGCTGAAATAGCGCCACTGCACTCCAGCCTGGGCGACAGAGAGAGACTCCCTCTCAAAAAAAAAGGTCCATGGTTGCCAGAGGTTAGGGGGAAGGAAGAAATGAATAGGTAGAACACAGAGGATTTTCAGAGCAAGGCAATTATCCTGTATGATATTTTAATGGTGGATACGTGTCACTATACATTTGTCCAAACCCATAAAGTGTTTTAGTAAGCCAGGCAGGCATGGTGGCTCATGCCTGTAATCCCAGCCCTTTGGGAGGCCAAGGTGGGTGGATCACCTGAGGTCAGGAGTTCAAGACTAGCCTGGCCAACATGGCGAAACCCTGTCTCTACTAAAAATACAAAAATGAGCTGGGCATGGTGGCGTGCACCTGTAGTCCCAGCTACTCAGAAGGCTGTGGCAGGAGAATCACTTGAACCCGGGAGGCGGAGGTTGCAGTGAGCCAAGGTCGCACCACTGCACTCTAGCCTGTGCGACAGAGTGAAACTCTGTCTCAAAAAAAAAAAAAAAGTATTAGTACAACACCAAGAATGACTCCTAATGTAACCAAAACTACGGATCTTGAATGAAAATGATGTGTAAATGTCTACGGCCATACCACCCTGAACGTGCCCGATCTCATCTGATCTCAGAAAATGATGTGTAAATGTAGGTGTGTGGATTGTAACCAACGTGCCACTCTGGTGTGGGGTGCTGATAGTGGGGCGGGCTGGGGGAATGTGGGGGATGGGAATATGGGAGCTGGCTGTACTTTTCTGGTCAGTGTTGCTGTGAACCTAAAACTGCTCTAAAAAACGAAGTCTATTAAAAAAACAGAGAGTGTTCCTTATTACAAAGTTACACATTTTACTGTGGCAAATTTAGAAAAATACAGAGAAATAAGAATTATCCATGATGCCGCTTCAAGAGAAACAGGCAACATTTTTCTCTTTCAGTGCTTTTTCTAGGCATATATCATCTTTCTTTTTCTTTTTTAGAGATGGGGGCTCACTATGTTGCCCAGGCTGGTCTTGAACTCCTTGAACATCCAGACAACAAAATAGTATTCACCACTAAAAAGAAATGAGCCATCAAGCCATAAAAAGACATGGAGGAAGCTAAATTCCTGTTACTAAGTGAAAGAAGCCCATCTGAAAAGGCCGCTTTATGATCCCAACTCTACGACATTCTAGAAAATGCAGAACTGTGGAGACAGTAAAAAGACAAGTGGTTGCCAGAGGTTGGGGGGAGCTCTGGTGGGGCTCAAGTGATCCTCCCGCCTCAGCTTCCTGAGTAGCTGGGATTACGGATGTGTGCCACCACACCTGGCCTCTTTTTTTATTAAAGGAAAAACAAAACAAAACAGGCTTTCCATCATGAAAGTCTTTGAGAGCTTGAAGCCAGACTGGTTAGTTTCAAATCTCAGTTCCACCACTTTACAGCTGTATTACCTTGGGCAGCTTACTTAACCTCTCTGTGCCTGGGTTTCCTCAACAGCAAAATGGGGCTAATAATAGTACTCACCTCTGCAGATTGTATGAAGGACCGAGAACAGCGCCTGCACATAGAAAGCACCCACCGTTGTCATCTTTCCATGACGCCCAATATTCTTCTACAACACAATGATGCCATTTTTATTGGCCAACTGCAATTCTTTTATTCAGATATAGCATAATTAGGTTAATTCATCTCCCCACCTAAAGCATTTGGGGCCCTTTTGTTTCTCTTACAGTTGACGCTGTGATGAACATCTTTACAGTAACTATTACATCATTTTTAATGGCAAAAACTGCAATTACTTTTGCACCAACGTAATGTGCAGTAAAACTGATAGGCAGAGTTTGAAAACTTGGGCTTTGTTTTGCCAAGTTGCCCTGGAGAATGCTGTACCCGACAATACTTTCCCCGCACTAGGGGAGGCTCCTGCTCCACTCAGGCTGTTACTCCCTGTGTGAATACATTTCCATTTGGGCCCACCTGGCAAGCAGCAGCCATCCCTGACTTCTCATCAGTCACCAGTCATCCTTCCAGCGGGTAGAAACTTCTCCCGATCTTATTCCTGGGAGCGCCTTCCGTCGGCTCCAGGCAAAGCCAGTGGAAGCCAAGCCCATTTCTGCCACATCATAGAAACTCTCTGCCCCTGAAGTGCAAGCCTGGACCCTCTTGAAAACTTTTCCCAAAAACAGACCAAAGAAAATCCTCATCCATCTTCCAACCAAGTGGCATGTTCCAGCGTCAGTTCCCAACCTTATGGTATTAATAATCCCTTCCGTGTTGATCATTAGCGGCACTGCGTCCGGAATTGGTAAGTTCTTGGTCTCACTGACTTCAAGAACGAAGCCGCGGACCCTCACGGTGAGTGTTACGGTTCTTAAAAGCAGCCTGACGGGAGTTTGTTCCTTCTGATGTTCGGATGTCTTCTGAGTTTCTTCCTTCTGGTGGGTTCGTGGTCTCGCTGGCTTCAGGAGTAAAGCTGTGCAGACCTTCGCGGTGAGTGTTACAGCTCACAAAGGCAATGTGGACCCAAAGAGTGAGCAGCAGCAAGACTTATTGCAAAGAGTGAAATAACAAACCTCGCACACAGTGGAAAGTGACCCGAACGGGTTGCCGCTGCTGGCTCCGGCAGCCTGCTTTTATTCTCTTATCTGGCCCCACCCACTTCCTCCTGATTGGTCCATTTTACAGAGAGCCAATTGGTCTGTTTTGACAGGGTGCTGATTGGTGCGTTTACAATCCCTGAGCTAGACACAAAAATTCTCCAAGTCCCCACTAGATTAGCTAGATACAGAGCACTGATTGGTGCATTCACAAACCTTGAGCTAGACACAGAGCACTGACCGGTGCATCCACAATCCCCTAGCTAGACATAAAGGTTCTCCAAGTCCCCAACAGATCAGCTAGACACAGAGCGCTGATTGGTGCATTTACAAACCTTGAGCTAGATACAGAGTGCCGATTGGTGTATTCACAATCCCTTAGCTAGACATAAAGCTTCTACAAATCCCCACTAGACCCAGGAGCCCAGCTGGCTTCACTCAGTGGTCCTGGACCCGGGCCGCAGGCGGAGCTGCCTGCCAGTCCCGTGGTGCTTGCGCCGGCACTCCTCAGCCCTTGGGCAGTCGATGGGACCGGGCGCCGTGGAGCAGGGGGCGGCGCTCGTCGGGGAGGCTGGGGCCGCGCAGGAGCCCACGGCGTCAGGGGCAGGCTCAGGCATGGCGGGCTGCAGGTCCCGAGCCCTGCCCCTCGGGGAGGCAGCTAAGGCCCGGCGAGAAATCGAGCCACCGGCACTACTAGGGGACCGGCACATCCTCTGCAGCTGCTGGCATGGGTGCTAAGCCCCTCACTGCCCAGGCTGGCGGGGCCGGCCGGCCGCTCAGAGTGTGGGGCCCGCCAATCCCACGCCCACCCAGAACTCTAGCTGGCCCGCAAGGGCCGCACGCAGCCCCGGTTCCCGCCCGTGTCACCCTCTCCATACCTCCCTGCAAGCTGAGGGAGCCGGCTCCGGCTTCGGCCATCCCAGGAAGGGGCTCCCACGGTGCAGCGGCGGGCTGAAGGGCTCCTCAAGCGCGGCCAGAGTGGGTGCAGAGGCCAAGGAGGCACCAAGAGCGAGGGAGGGCTGCCAGCACCCTGTCACCTCTCAGTATCTTTACGGCACACGTACACAGATAAATGAGGGGCCTTGTTTTCTTTATGCTCTGACCAGTATCCCCAGCAGGGAGGTACTCTTTGCCATAACTCAGGTGGCTGGAGTCCCCACATGCTGGCCTTTCCTCATTCAGCCCACCTATGCCTGGGGTCGCATTGAGGTGGGGGCCTCTTGGACTCCACAAAACACCCTATGAGGCAGATATTGTTGTTCCCTTTTTAAAAAAAAATTTTTTTTTGAGATGGAGTCTTGCTCTGTTGCCAAGGCTGGGGTGCAGTGGCACAATCTCGGCTCACTGCAACCTCTGCCTCCCAGGTTCAAGTGATTCTCCTGCCTCAGCCTCCCAAGTAGCTGGGATTACAGGAGGCCCCCACCACACCTGGCTAATTTTTGTATTTTTAGTAGAGACAGGGTTTCACCATGTTGGCCAGGCTGGTCTCGAACTCCTGACCTCGGGTGATCCTCACACCTCGGCCTCTCAAAGTACTGGGATTGCAGGTGTGAGCCACCACGCCCAGCCAAAAAAATATTTTTATTGTGGTAAAACATATGTTACATAAAATATACCATTTTAGCCATCTTTAAGTGTACAATCTAGTGGCACCAAGCACACCTACAAGTTGTGTAAATGTCATCACTCTTCATCTCCAGAACTTTTCATCTCTCTTTAATAAATAACTGCTCTCTTTAAAAAATAACTCCCATTACCCTCTCTAGCCCCCAGCAGCCACCTTTCTACTTTCTGTCTCTACGGATTTCCCTAGTCTAGATACCTCATATAAGTGGCATCCTATATTATTTGTCCTTTTGTGACTGGCCTGTTTCACTTAGCATGATGTTTTTAACGTTCATCCATGTTGTTGCATGTGGCAGAATTTTCTTCCTTTTCCTAGCTGAATAATATTCCATTGTTTGGATAGATCACGTTTTGTTTATCTCTTCCCCTGTTGATGGTCAGTTGGGTTCCTTCCACCTTTTGGCTATTGTGAGTAATGCTGCTATGAACATTGGTGCACAAGTATCTATTCATGTCCCTGCTTTTGATTCCTTTGCGTCTATATCTAGGAGTGCGATTGCTGGATCATATGGTAATTCTGTTTCACTTTCTGAGGAGGTTGTTCTCATTTCACAGATAAGAAAACTGAGGCTCAGAAAGGTGATGGAACTGGCTCTGCTTTACAGTAAGGGTACTGGGACTCCAGCCAGGCCTGTCTCACTCTGAAACACATGCTATTTCCAGCATGCTCTATGGCCTCAGGGTTGAGAGGTGGGGCTGCGATCTGGATACATGTATGGGGTGGACATTGGTGGATCCAGTCTAATGAAGCTCCAAACTACACCTCACATCTGCTCACTTTTTTCTGTTTCCACTGCCACTGCCCTGGTCCAAGCCACTTTGAGGTTTCACCAGGATTCCAGTCACAGGCTCCAATCTCCCTGCTCCCCTCTGGCCTCTACAGCCAGTGGAATCCTACGAAGACACAAGTCAGATGCAATCACATCACTCCCCTGATTAAAGCCCTTGGGTGCTTTCTCCTTAAACTTAGATCCAAATTCCAAGGTGTGCCGCGCCAGCATCTGCTTCTTCAGCTTCAGCTTAGACCCTCCTCTTCCTGCACGAGGCTCACAGTGAAACATCTTCTGCCTCAGGACCTTTGCCCGTGCTGGGAGGCCCTTCCACAGGCTCATTGCCCCCGGCCCCTTCTCAGCCTCCAGTCATCAGTTAAGGATCATCTCCTCAGAGCGGCTTCCCTGGCCATCCTACGCAAAGTAGCCCCTGCTTTCCCATCTGACTCCCTGTAACTCCTGCCTTGGCAGTCCATGATTCCAGAAGAGCCTCTTCTCAAGCATGAGGGAGCATCGGCCCTCAGACCCAGCTTACACAAAGGAGGGGGCTGGGGGCTGGGTGAGACCACCTGGGCCACCAGCCACCCTTGGGCAGAGGATGGACAGCCCTTACCTCAATGTTGCTGAGACCCCAGCTCCTCCCCGTCCACTCCAGTCCACTCAGCTGTCTCAGATAAGATTTCTGAGGTTAGAGCTGACCAGGTCCTGTGCCGCTTAAACTGGTCGGGGCTTCCCGTTGCCCTCAAGGGCAAGCCAAGCACTGGAGGCTGCCCGGGCCTCCATTCCCAGCCTCAGCTCCCTGGGCGCCTCACCTTTGCCCTAGCCTTGGACCCAGCAACTACAGAGGGTCTGCAATGTGCAAGTCCCTACTACACCGAGGCTCGGGGAAGCATTAAAGACCTGACCACCTACCCAGTCTGCCCCAACTCAAGTTCCCTGCCTGCTTAGGTCCATTGCTCTGCCTTCCCAACAAGGCCACCATGAATCTTGTTAATGTCTTTGTGAGCTTGCCAACAAAGGTCTGGTAAGATGGTGCAGATCCAGGGCAAATCAAGGGCAAAATGAGAACACCAGTCTTGCAACAGATGCAGGAGGTCATCAGGAACCTCGTGGATCCCAACTCAGTCATGGGCAATGGGGAACTGGCCGGGGATGGGAGTGGTCAACCATTGATGAAGAGAAAAATGACAGAGAAAACAATGAGACAGAGACAGCCTCACCCGAGAATGATTTGACACCCCCGAGGAAAAGGCAGCCCTGGGGAAACCTTGGCACCTGCACTCTGAAATCAAATGCAAAGTGAAGCCTGTGGCTGACTTGATCATTAAAAAACTATACCTTTCCCCCAAATCAGCATTTGCTTCCATCTTGAGTTGTTCCAAGGATTAAAACATAACAACTTTTGTTGACTGTAAGATGAATTTATTTTCATGAATTTTCATGAATTTTCTTTAAGACAAAGTCCCAAACTAATCATTTTTTCTTCCCTTAAAATATGCTTTTACATTGGACTCTATTTTATTTTTAAAATTATTTTTTATTTTCATTTATTTATTATTATTATTATCATTTTTGAGATGGAGTTTCACTCTGTTGCCCAGGCTGGAGTGCAGTGGCACAATCTCGGCTCACTGCAACTTCCGCCTCCCAGGTTCAAGCAATTCTCCTGCCTCAGCTTCCCAAGTATATGGGATTACAGGCACCCACCACCATGCCCAGCTAATTTTTGTATTTTTAGTAGAGACGGGGTTTCACCATGTTAGCCAGACTGGTCTCGAACTCCTGACCTCAGGTGATCTGCCTGCCTCGGCCTCCCAAAATGCTGGGATTATAGGCATGAGCCACCGCACCCAGCCCCAACTCTATTTATTTTAAATGGCTCTTTTTCTGGCATGAGTTTTCCATAGAACTAATGATCCTCTCTTCTCATTGTCTCATATGCAACCACATTCTTGTATTTGCAGTTTTCCCTTTCTACCTAGTGAGCTCCTCTTCATCCATCAAGGTCCGTGTCATGGACCCACCCTTTCTGAAAAGCAGCCTTCACTGTTAGAGAATTGACTTCGTAACATGGCAATTATTATTGCATCAGATTACTCCCTGTGCCCACAATTCTTAATACAGAGCAAGCAACCCAGTAGGTGGTCACAGGTGTTGAATGAACGAGTGAATGGTGAATGAATGAAACCTGCATGTAGGAAGCAGCAGCTGCAGATTCGTAGTCTCCCATACTTCTTTTCTTTAGCAGTTGTGGCATTTGTAAATCCTGTCCTGATCCTGCCTCTGCTGCTAAACTGTGGGCTCCATCATATGAAGGCCGTGTCTGCATGCTCACCCTGCGTAAAGCCTGCCTCCCAGCAGGCAGTGAGTAGGTGCTGCCTGAATGAAGGAATGGATTTATTTATTTTTCATTCAAGATAAAGAAATACACTTCTGGGGACAAATTTTTCTTTTTTATTTTTTTGAGATGAGGTCTTGCACTGTCGCTGAGGCTGGAGTGCAGTGGCACTATCTTGGGTCACTGTAGCCTCAACCTCCCCCAGGCTCAAGCAATCCTCCTGTCTCAGCCTCCCAAATAGCTGGAACTACACGCATGCACCACCATTCCTGGCTAATTTTGTTTTTTATTTTTTTGTAGAGACGAGGTCTCACTACATTGGTCTGGAACTCCTGGGCTGGTTTCAAACTCCCGGGCTCAAGGGATCCTTCCGCCTCAGCCTCCCAAAGTGCTGGGGTTACAGGTGTGAGCAACTGCTCCTGACCCAGAATTTTTTAAAAATATGCCTGTTTGCAGTTGACCTGTCACCTTTTCGAACCCTCTTCTTCTGCTCCTCCCTGTCAGTCCTGAATTTTGTTCAATATGAATTGATGAAACATTTTGAGAGCACTGGGGACCTGACCGCAAACAAGATCCCTGCCATCATGAATCTTAGGTTCTGGTAGGGGGACAGATAATCAACAAATTAACAAATATATAAAATGAGACCATTGGAAATATTAGAGTAATCAGTACTGAGAAGAGAATTCAGCTAGCGGATGTGATAGAGGGGACTCTGTGAGGGCCACTTAGACCAAATGGTCTGGCAAAGCCACTCTCTGGAGGTGACATTTGAGTTAATTCCTGAATGTTCAGATGGAGCAGCTGGAGGAAGATCTGAGAAGAGAGTTTAAGACAGAGGGAGCAGCTCGTGCAAAGGCCCTGAGGTGAGAATGGCCTTAGCATGTTCAAGAAATAAGAAGTGTCGTTGGAGTGAGCACTCGGGTGGTTGGTGGGTGGGGGAGAATGTGACATGAGTCGGAGAGGTCAGCCTTGTAGCCTGGGCAGATTTCCACTCCCCCGCATGGTGCTTACATCCATGCACACACTTCCCTGCCCCTTGACTTTGGGCTCGCCCATGGGACTTGCTTTGATGCATGAGATGTAGCAAGTACGACCCAGGCAGAGATGTGACATTTGCTTTCACAGTGGAACTTGCTCTCTCGGGCTTCTGCCATTACCATGGGAGGAGCTGCCCTGCCAACCCCACCAGTCCAAGGAGGATGAAGACACCAGGAGCAGGCCTGGACCCAGCCCAGCCAACACCAGCCAAAAAAAAATCCAGCCAACCCAAAGATGTGCAAAAGAGAAAAACTGATGGTTGTCAACCACTGGATTGAGGGGATGATTTGTTTCCCAGCATTATTCTGGATATTGTCAGCTGATACAAAGTCATGGGAGGAAGCTGAGATTTTCTTTCAAGGGGAATGAAAAGCCAACGACACAAATGCTGCCTTTGATGGCCTTTGCCCAAGTGTCTCCATAGCAGATGTGGTGGTCAGGAAAACAGTTCATACTGTATTTGTTCTTCTGTGGGGCGGAGGCACATGACATGATTCACTTTCCCACTGTGGCTGATTACCAGCTTGCCTGATTCTGATGAGACAGAACACACACACACATATGCACACACGCGTATGCATGTTTTTTGTTTTTGTTTTTGTTTGAGATGGAGTCTTGCTCTGTCACCCAGGCTGAGGTGCAATGGCACAATCTCGGCTCACTGCAAGCTCCACCTCCCGGGTTCACTCCATTCTCCTGCCTCAGCCTCCCAAGTAGCTTGGACCACAGGCACCCGACACCACGTCCGGTTAATTTTTTGCATTTTTAGTAAAGACGGGGTTTCACCATGTTAGCCAGGATGGTCTCGATCTCCTGACCTCGTGATCTGCCTGCCTCAGCCTCCCAAAGTGCTGGGATTACAGGCATGAGCCACCACACCCAGCCCAGACTGATCTTTTCAAAACCAGAAATCTGGCACCATCCCTCCCCTCCACCAGGGCCTCTAGGCTTTCTTGTTTCTTGCAGGGGACTCTGAACTCTTTCTTTGGGCAACAAGGCCCTCCGGAGCCCCATCTCCCACTCCTGGTCACCAGCTCCAGCTGCACCCGCCTTTCCTCAGCTACTTCCTGCAGATCTCCCCCTTCTGCTCACACCTGGCCTGTGTCTCCTCCTCCTCCATCAGGACTCAGCCTAAATGCTGCTCCTCAGAGAAGATCTTCCCAAGCCTGAGTCAAAATTGGATCCTTCCAAGTCCTTTTATTTATTTTTCATTTATTTATTGAGACGGGGTGTCGCTTTGTCACCAAGGCTGGAGTGCAGTGGCACAATCACAGCTCATTGCAGCCTTGACATCCCGGGCTCGGGTGATCCTCCCAACTCAGCCTCTCCAGTAACTACAGGCATATGCCACCACGCCTGGCTAATTCTTTTATTTTATTTTTTGTAGAGACAGGGTTTCACCTTGCTGTCTAGCCTGGTCTCAAACTCCTAGGCTCAAGCAATATGCCCACCTCAGCTTCCCAAAGTGCTGGGATTACAGGCGTGAGCCACCAAGGCTTCTACTCTTTTACTCACCAAGCCCGGATGCCCAAGTCTTTTAGTTGAGCCGCACATTCTAGCTTGCTACTACACACTTGCAGGTGCCTTGCTTTCCTGTCTCCTTTCTAGAAGGTAAGCACCATGAAGGCAGAGACGATGCAATCACAGTCGATGCCTACTTAGCAGTTACCAAGTGTCAGACTGCACCTGCTGCCCCTGCACCAGGACATTTAAACCTCAGGACAACCCTACAGACAAACACTATCGTTCTCTTCATTTTCCAGACAAGGTCCACAGTCTTAGTCAACAAGACACAGAAATTAAGGAGCAGAGCTAAGACTGAACTCAGGCAGGCTGCATTCAGAGCCGAGACTTTTATCCAGAGGACTCACCTGCCTCTATTTGGTCCACCACTGCCTGGCACACAGTAGGTGCTCAGTAAATACATAGCAAATGAAAGGATGTTCTCTAGAGGGGCAGTCACAGGGTTAAGAATTTGGTGTCCCTGATGGGAAGGGTAATGATGCTGGAAGAGCACAGCCGCATCATTGAAATAAAACACAAATGAAAATCAAAAGATAACAACATCCAACTATTTGGGCTGTCTATGGCCCAATTGCCCACCTGTTCCCTGTGCCGCCCTGTCCCCATTAAGTGAAAAGCTCTAGGAGTTTCATCTGGTTAGAGCTGAAACCAAGTCCTTAATAGTGTTTACAGATGAGGATAGAGCCACCTGGAGCAGGAGGGCTTTCAACCTGACAGTTTCCCCGCAAGGAAATGAACGCGCTGGTCCTGCAGGAATCATCTTCAAAGCCAGACAACCTGGCTTAAGCACAGCATTTAGAAGAAACGAATCACGCCCCCAACTCCCACCAACCAGATGGCTGGGCTGTCTTTCTCTTGTGGAATGAGGGGCCTGCTTCACACAGCTGTCCAAGCTGTGGGCTGAAATGAAGATGCTGGAATTCCTCCCCTCTGCCCTTTCATCCTGCAGCCTTCTGGGGCCTGTGGTCCTGAGTCAGATGTGGGTTGAGCCACTGGGGCTGTGGCAGGTGAGGCCCTGCCAGCAATTAGCCCCCAGGCCCAGACACTTGCTCCTTTTTATGTTCCTAATCTTTTTACCAGAAACAGGAGAGGTTTCGTCCTGAGCTGTGCAAGTGAGGAGCGTCACCCTCTGAGAGGGCACTGGATGCCACACGCTTTCGATGTCAAGGTCCCTTTTGAAAATGGCCCTACTCTGTACCAACAAGTTCCAGAGACACCACCAGGCTACTAAAGAAAATGAAGAGCATGAACAGTGCACTCCTAGACACAGGTGAAGAAAGAATTGCGACCACAAAAGAAAAAAATAGATAAGTTGAACTCTTAAAATTAAAAACTTTTGTGCATCAAAGGACACTATAAGCAATGAAAAGGCAACCATAAAATGGAAGACAATACTTGCAAATCGTGTATCTGACAAGGGAGTGATATGCAGAATATATGAAGTACTCCTACAACTCAACAACAATTTCTTTTTTTTTTTTTTTTTTTGAGACAGAGTCTCACTCTGTTGCCCAGGCTGGAGTGCAGTGGCGCAATCTCGGCTCACTGCAAGCTCTGCCTCCCGGATTCAGGCCGTTCTCCTGCCTCAGCCTCCCGAGTAGCTGGGATTACAGGCGCCCGCCACCACGCCCGGCTAATTTTTTGTATTTTTAGTAGAGATGGGGTTTCACCGTGTTAGCCAGGATGGTCTCGATTTCCTGACCTCGTGATCCACCCGCCTCAGCCTCCCAAAGTGCTGGGATTACAGACGTGAGCCACCATGCCTGGCCAACAACAATTTCTTAAAAACTGATTTTAAAATGGGCAAACGACTTGAATAGACATTTCTCCACAGAGGATATACAAATGGCCAGTGAGCATATGGAAAGATGGTCAGCATTACTAGTCATTAGGATAACGCAAATCCAAACCACAACGAGGTTCCATTCTATGCCCATTAGAATGGCTACTATCAAAAGAAAGAGAGAAGGCAAACAAGCAGGGAAAGAAAGAAAAAGAAGAAAGAGGAAAGAGAGAGACGAAGGAAGGAAGGAAGGAGGGAGGGAAGGAGGGAAGGAAGGAAGGGAGGAAGGAAGGAAGGAAGGAAGGATGGAAGGAGGGAAGGAAGGATGGAAGGAAGGGAGGGAGGAAGGGAGGGAGGGAGGGATGGAAGGAGGGAAGGAAGGAACGAAGGAAGGAAGGAATTAAAAAAAGAAGAAGAAGAAGCAAAAGTTGGGCATGGTGGTGCATGCCTACAGACCCAGCTACTGGGGAGGTTGAGGTGGGAGGATCACTTGAGGCCAGAAGTTTGAGACCAGCTTGGGCAACACAGGAAAAAAAAAAAGTTAAAGGAAAGAAAGAAAGAAAACGCTGGCTAGATGTGGAGAAATCGGAACCCTGGTCCCTTGCTGCTGGTAATGTAAAATGGTGTGGCTGTTGTAGAAAAAGTTATGACAATTCCTCAAAAAAAAATGACATACAATTGCCATAAGATCCAGCAATTCCGCTTCTAGGTATATACCCCAAAAAAGTGAAAGCAGAGTGGATATTTGTGCACCAAGATTAACAGCAGCATTATTCACAATAGCCAAAAGGTGGCAGCAAACCAAGTGTCCACTGACAGATGAATAGGTAAATAAAATGCAGAATGTGCATACAATGGAATATTATTCAGCCATAAAAAGGAAGGAGGTTTTTTGGGTTTTTTGTTTTGTTTTGTTTGTTTGCTTTTGAGAAAGGGTCTCATTCTGTTGCCCGGGCTGGAGTGCAGTGGTGTGATCACGGCTCACTGCAGCCTCAACCTCCCAGTCTCAAGCAATCCTCCCACCTCAGCCTCCTGAGTAGGTGAGACTACAGGTGCACACCTCCACACCTGGCGAATTTTCTGCTTATTTTTTATAGAGATGAGGTCTCACTATGTTGCCTAGGCTGGTCAGAATTTTTTTAAGACTTGTCAAGTGAAGCAGTGGGAGTGGAGGAGAAAAAAAGAACTCTGTAACTGGTGGTGATTGGAAGGAAAAAATTTTTAATGCTTTCTTCCTGAACAAATAGCTCAGATTGAAATGGAAGAAAATGTTAACATGTTAAAATATAGACAAACCTTGAGGACATTATGCTAAATAAAATAAGCCAGTCGCAAAAAGATAAATACCCATAGGATTCCACTCATATGAGGTACGCGGAGTAGTTCAATTCATGTAGACACGAAATTGAATGGTGACTTCCAGGGGCTGGAGGGAGGAGGGATTGGGGGGTAATAGGTGTACAGCTTCCATTTAGAAAGATGAAAAACTTCTGGATATGGCTGGTGGGTGCATGCCAACTGATGGTTGCATGACAGTATGAATGTACTTCAAGAACTGAATGCCACAGGATGGCACGCTCGAAAATAGTTAAAACGAGAAATGTTATGGTATATATATTTTATAGAAAGAAGGAAGGAAGAGAAAGAGAAAGAAAGAGAGAGAAAGAAAGAGAAAAAGAAAAGAAAAGAAAGAAAAAGAAAGAAAGAAAGAAAGGAAAGAAAGAAAGAAAGAAAGAAAAAGAAAGAAAGAAAGAAAGAAAGAAAGAAAGAAAGAAAGAAAGAAAGAAAGAAAGAAAGAGGGAGGAGGGGGAGGGGAGGGGAGGGCTCTGCCCGTTCCCATTTCCTATAGGTGGAGGGTTTTCCTCACAGGGATGGAGTCCCCTGCAGTTCTAGGTTTTGCATGGGACCGAGTGGACCCTCAGCGCCTCACTCCTCAATGGCTATAGGGTAGCCCTCGGGCTGCAGGTGAGAGGTGGGCAGCCTGGGCGCAAGGCCCGCTCATAGGTTGTGCTTGTGTGCACTTGGACAGTGCTCACAGAGGGGTGCTCCCTGCAGCAGCGGCTGGGGTGGTCTGAAGACGGGTGAGGCATACGGGACGTCTGCTCTACATGCACATCACCTGTGTCCACTTTCAACCTCCCACGCCTTTGATATTAGATCTGTTGTTGTGTTTATCTTATTTACAGAGGCTTTGCGGGCAGATGGGGTTAGAACTGCTGGAGAGGAGGGAGAAGGGCCGACAGCAGAAACCAGAGCGTCCTGTGAGATGAAGAAAAGGCCGGGAACCTGTAAGAATTCTTTAGTGTTTGGGAAGCAACTTGATTGGGTCCTAGAAAAATGGGGTCTAGGGGGAGACATAACTAGTTATGGAAAAAAAGATGCTTTCCCCCAGATTCTGAGATTATGAACCTGGACCCAAATGCCAGGCTGCCCTCCAGGCATCCCGGGAACAGCTCTCCCCACTGCTCAACACAGCAAATGGGAGATGTACTTCCCCTGGGGACGAAGTGTCCGCCCCGAGCCAGAGCGGCTTCCTCCCCCAGCCCAGCTTCCCAAAGCGGTTTGCAGTGAGAATCTCCCCAACCTTCGTGTCACCCTGTCCCCAGCAGCCACACACTGACCTGGCCAGTCCCTTGACCTTTTAGGTTTTTATCCTTAAATGAGGATGAAAAGCTTTTTCAGGCAGACTTGTGAGCCACAGGGGACGTGCTGTGTGCAAACATACTGAGCCCATGCCCAGCACATGCAAAGCAGCCAGGGGGAATTAAAAACGTGCTGGTGGAGTTGGAAATCAGAGCTCAAGCCACGCCTATTGTCCCACCGCCACCCTCTCTACCATGTCTACTCACTGCTTATGCTGTTATTTATTTTATATTTTTATTATAATGATGATTTTTTGCCCATGACAAAGCCCTCAGGAAACCCTGAGGACATGTCCCTTTATTTTATAGTTTTCTTTAAGTTCATGTTAATGGACTCACTGCTTTTACTCACCTAATTCTAAACAGTAATATCAGTGAAATCACAGCTTCGATATGCCAGCTTTATTTCCCAAAGGCATTTGAAAAAAAAGTACAAAGCAATTGAAAGTCAAATGTTTTCTGTGAGTCACCTAAAATTCTCTCTTGCAGCCCAGGAGCTTGTGAATCATGCCCTGGGCGTTGCTGCCTTAGTGTAGCTTCCAGCTGTGTGGCCAGGGCCGTAGGTGCCATAAGCCAGGCACATTGCCCTTCAATGACTTTGACTTCTGACCTTGACATAGACAGGCAGGGCAGCTTCCTGGGCAGCGGGTGGGGCCGGCTGTCCCCATATTTGTGCTGTTACAGCCAGCTTTCCCCTCAAGGGATTAAGGCTCAAGAGACACAACTCTCTGCTGGGGCCAGCATCCCTCAACCTTCGAAGCCCGGACCACAGGGCGAGGCTCGGCGCCTTGCGGAGACACTGCCCAGGGTGAACCAGCAAAAGAGGCCAGTCTAGTCATCTCAGCTGCAGCACTGGGTTCTAACCAGTGTGGTCACCATCTCCTGGTTGGGCTCCACTGCCTCCTGCCAGCCCAGACACTGGCTGTCTCTCGCCCTCGCCCTGCAACCCATTCTCCACACTTCGATTTTTTTTTTTTTTTAATTTTTTGGTCTTGCCGAATTAAGCAGAATCTCCACAGTGTTTTGGAAACACAAATCTGTCCCCTTGATGTCCTCATTCAACATTCTATCATGCCTTCCAGTCACTAGACCCAAGGCCATAAACTAGTTTTGTTTGGCCCAGGCAGGGCTAACTTTAAAAAACGAGCACAATGTATGTGATCTTTATGAATATTTATGTCACAGCTGTAAAGATTATACCAGGAGCTCAGAAAATGGCCTCCTGTTCCTCCTCGGCATAGCCAGCAGGGCTCGGGGAGTGGGGCTCTGTGCTGGTCCCAATGGACTTCTCTTTTGTCCTGCATCATCTTGGTTCCAGGTGGCCTGGAGTGCACAGGACTCACACTGCTGTATGGAGCTTCAGACTGTCCGTGGGACCGAGCCTTTCCCTGAGGCCTCTGAGTGGCAGCTCTCTCAACAGCCTCTGAGTTCCTCCCCTATATAAACTGCGAAATTTACAAATCCAGGTCATGAACCTCCTGAGAAATTGGATCCCTGTTCCCATGTGGCAGCAACTAGAGAAGCTCCGTGGCAGCTTGACCTGAGGTATCTTCATCCACTACACCACAGTCCCCACCACTCCCTATTGCTCCCCAATAAAATGATGGTGCCAATTAAAAAAAAATTTTTTTAGAGACGGGGTCTTGCTCTGTCACCCAGGCTAGAGCACATTGGCATGATCATAGCTCATTCTAGCCTTGAATGCCTGGTCTCAAACGATCCTCTCTCCTCAGTAGCTGGGACTACAGGCGCATACCACTGACCCCAGCTAGTTGTTTTTCTTATAGCAGTTTAGAACAGAGAAAGATTTCTATATACATGTCTTGGAGAATTAGAGATAGATGAAGAGGGTCCTTTGTTTCAAGGAGAACAGCAAAGAGTATATTTCTTGGTGAAAAGAAACATCCAGCCTGCCACATGGCCTGCCTGGTCCCTGTAGGCCTTAGATTTGCAGCCCCTGATCTGAGGAAAAAATCTAAATTCCTCTGCATGGTATAATGAAGTTGTATGATGCAATGGTTAGGATAAAGTTAGGCTGCTACAACAAAAAGACCCAAACTACAATTACCTAAACAAATGAGAAGGTTCTATCTTTTTTGTGTAAAATTTGCTCTGATTTGTGGCTTGATGGTATTGGGAATCCAGGCTCTACTTATCTTCTGCAATTCATTCTTAACATGTGGCAGCCATGTCTCTAACAGAATCATTGGGTAAAAAGTAATTTTTAAAATGCAGGAGCCACCTCCTGGTCTTAGATGGCTCCTTCACCCCAAGAAGGGAAGGGGAGCACTCTTGTTCCTTTTTTTTTTTTTTTTTTTTTTTTTGAGACAGAGTTTCACTCATGTTGCCTAGGCTGGAGTGTAATGGGGCAACCTTGGCTCTATGCAACCTCCGCCTCCCGGGTTCAAGCGATTCTTCTGCCTCAGCCTCCCAAGTAGCTGGGATTACAGGAATGCGCCCCCACACCTGGCTAATTTTTATTTTTATCTTTTGAATTTTTAGTAGAGACAGGGTTTCTTCATGTTGGTCAGGCTGGTCTCGAACTCCTAACCTCAGGTGATCTGCCCTCCTCGGCCTCCCAAAGTGCTGGGATTACAGGCGTGGGCACCACGCCTGGCTCGTGTTCCTTTAAGGGCACAATCCAGAACTTTCACTCATCTCATTATCTGAAATAGTCACCTTGCCATACCTACCTAGCTGCAAGGGAGGCTGACAAATGCAGGGTTAAGCTGATATTCATGTTAATGCCCATCAGGAAATTCAGTTACTCTATATAGAGGAGAAAAGGAACAATCCCTGCCACATGACAAGCCCTTCCCTCCAGCCTCATCTCCCACCTGCTGCCTCCAGAAATTTACTCTCTGGCAGCACTTAACCACTTGTAGATTCCCAGCAGCCATGATCTATCTCACCCTGCACCTTAGCATGTGCTGCTCCCTCTGCCGGGAATACCCTTCCCAGTCTGACTCCCTGTAAGTCCTCCTCATCCTTCAAGTCTCAGGTCAAGGGAGGCCTCTTCCATCCTGCCTCTGCCACCTGCCCCAGCTGAGCTCAGCATTCCCTTTACAGGACTTATTTTATACTTGATGGGAGCTCAGACCCTAGGGCCAGACTGCTGAGGCTACGTTCTGCTCTTACAGGACCTTGTGACCTAGGGCCAGTTACTAACTTATCTGGACCTCAATGCTCTCATTCATAAAATGAGAATAGTAGGACCTACATCACAGGGTTACTAAGCCAAATAAGAAAAAGAGCTGGATGCAATGGCTTATGCCTGTAATCCCAGCATTTTGGGAGGCCAAGGTGGACAGATCACCTGAGGTCAGGAGTTCGAGACCAGCTTGGCCAACACAGTGAAACCCTGTCTCTACTAAAAATACAAAAATTAGCCGGGCGTCATGGTGCGCACCTGTAATCCCAGCTACCTAGGAAGCTGAGGCGAGAAAATTACTTGAACCCAGGAGGTGGAGGTTGCAGTGAGCCAAAATCATGCCACTGCACTCCAACCTGGGCAACAGAGTGAGACTCTGTTGAAAGAAAGAAGGAAGGAAGGAAGGAAGGAAGGAAGGAAGGAAGGAAGGAAGGAAGGAAGGAAGGAAGGAAGGAAAGAGAGGGAGAGAGGGAGAGAAGGAGAGAGAGGGAGGAAGGAAGGAAGGAGAGAAGAAAGAAAGAAAGAAAGCAAGAAGGAAGGAAGGAAGGAAAGAAAGAAAGAGAGAGAGGGAGAGAGAGAGAGGAAGAGGGAGAGAGGGAGAAAGGGAGGGAGGAAGGAAGGAAGGAGAGAAGAAAGAAAGAAAGAAAGAAAGAGAAAGAAGGAAGGAAAGAAGAAAGAAAGAAAGGAGGGAGGGAGGGAGAGAGGAAGGAAGGAGAGAAGAAAAAGAAAGAAAGAAAGAAAGAAAAGAGAGAGGGAGGGAGGGAGGGAGGAGGGGAGGAGGGGAGGAACGGAAAGAAAAGAAAGGAAGAAAGAAAGAAAGTAAATCTCTTAGCATAGTGCCTGTCACATAGTAGGTACTTGATAGACATTAGCCATTATCATCATTATTATTATCTGTTGAGTATTTATTCTGTGGCCAGCCCTGTGCCAAGGACAAGGAACCCAACAATCAGTAAGGGTCCCATTGGAGCTCACACTATGGAGGGCATGTGTGGTAGATTCGTTTATCATTGCAATATATTCATTGCGTCCCCCAGCCCACCCCCTTGGCACTGGGCTCGGCCCTGTGACTTGCCTTGGCCATGGGATGTTGGCAATAAGATGGCAGCAGAGGCTGGGGCAGCATTTGCACCGTTGGGCCTGTGCTCCTGCGTTTCTGCCACATCTGGAGAAGAGCAAGCCCAGGCTGGGCCACTGGTTCTAGGAGGCAGGGAGAGACCTAGGGAGTGAAGCCAGCTGGCTGAGATCAGTCCTTCCCCAGCCAATATGCAACTGGATGACAAAAGCCACAGCGCGAATGTAATTCTTATTGCCATGTGCCTCTGTGGTTCTTATTTTTATTTTAATGGTTTTTTTTTTTTTGAGACTGAGTCTTGTTCTATTGTCCAGACTGGAGTGCAGTGGCATGATCTTGGCTCACTGCAACCTCCACCTCCCAGGTTCAAGCGATTCTCCTGCCTCAGCCTCCTGAGTAGCTGGGATTACAGGTGCACACCACCACGCCTGTCTAATTTTTGTACTTTTAGTAGAGATGGGGTTTCACCATGTTGGCCAGGCTGGTCTTGAACTCCTGACCTCAAATGATCCGCCCACCTCGGCCTCCCAAAGTGCTGGGACTGCAGGCGTGAGCCACTGTGCCTGGCCACCTCTGCGGTTCTTTAGTTGTTGTTAGGCAGCATTACTGTGGCCATAGCTAACGACACAGAGAGAAAGAATCATCAACAGGCAAGCGTAGCCTGATGTGGCAAATGTTGTCATGGCAGTAACAACAACTAGAGGAGCTGGGATATGGGCCAGGCAGTCTGCCTTTAGAACTCAAGCTTTTAGACTCTGTGGCCTCCCTCTCCTCCTCCTCTCCTTCCTCCCATTCCTCTTCCCTGCACCTAGTGCTCGATAAACACTTAGTGAATGATGTGGCCCCAGCAATGATTTTCCCACTGGAGCTCAAGGGCCTCCTCTAATCGTGTCTCACCGAGGGGCTTGTCAGCCTTCACTGGTTATCCATAGCTTGTCCTTATTCCTCAATCTATACAAAAAGTCCTGAGGGCTGTGACCACCCTGGTGTCTCTCCACCGGGCCTTGGCCACATGAAGCCTGTTCCCACCCCTAAATGCCACCCAGCCCAGCCCAGCAGTCCCTGACCTCTTATCTCCAGCACAGCCCTCGGGTGAGGGGATTGGCCACATCCTACAGCCACAAAGCAAACAGGGCCCGTGGCTGACCAGTCCTGGAGCAAGAAGCCCTGGTAGGAGAGACGGGGACCTGACATGTGAGTGAGCCAAGGGAAGGTGCAGAAAGGTCCTCTTCAGGAAGAGACCGTGGGGTAGTGCAGAAAACACTCGCTTTGCACCTTCTGACCCAGGTTCTCATCCCAGCTCTGCCATTATGAAGGCAAATTGTTCCACCACTCAGAGCTTTGATATCCTTGACTGTAAAAGGGGTTATCAAAGACCACCAAGCCCTGTGGTTGGAAGCATAAATTGGATAGAGTCTCAGCAAATGTCAGCTCCCTTCCCCACTTCCCTGTGGGTCTCAGCCTCAAGCAGGAATGTGGACCTAAGGCCTCCAAAGCTGAGATTCCTCCCAGACAGGTGTGGAACTGGAGGTCAGGAATAGCGTGATCAGAGCACAGGCTTTGGACTCAGACAGCCCTGGGTTCTGCTCACCAGAGGCATGACCTTGGCCCAGACACACTGCTGAGCACCTGGCTCTGCTTGCATGTCACTGGGATAAGAGGTCCTCCTGAGTGGAGCTGCTGTGAGCGGTGGCCGCTGGGACACAGAAGCACCCACTGAATGGGAGTTGGTAAAGGATTTGGAAGTCATTGAATGGGTTTGCATAACGTGGTTTCAACAGAAAGATATGACATGTCTGCTGTGTGCGCCCCTCCTTGCAAGGGGGCTTGCCAAGGGCATACGACACTCTGCTATCACCGTCCCTGGGTGCCGGGAAGGAAAGGTGCAGTGGCGAGGTGGCCCTGGACAGGGGCGGGTCAACAAACCTTGCTCTGTTGGATTCACCCACCACACAGCTGGAAAGGAGGGGCTGGGCCAGCGCTGCCTGCTTTCATGTTGTTCTATATTTACCACCCGTCGGTCTGTCTGTCGGGCGGGTGTGCGTTGATCCCTGCCCAGCGCCTCCCTGGCTCCGAGGGGCGCTGTTATCACTGGACATGAACGCTTTATCTCCCTGCAAGGCCCAGGCGGCATTTTGCTTTCAGGTTGAAACCTCCACCAGTCAAATTTCAAAAGCTTTCTACGTGACAGCCGGTGGCTGCAGCCACCTTCCTGGTCTCATTGACTTTGGTCTCTGCCTCTCTACAGTGGCTCAAAGGGAGCTTTCTGAAACCTTTCTCCCTCTGACAACTCACTCTTCATTCACTCATGTACTCAGTGTTTATTGGGACATTGTGCTGGGTGCTGGGGATATAGGACCTAATGAGATACATAAGGTTCCCACCCTTCCTAGAGATGACAGTGAAAAAAATAGTGACCTGTGGTCGTGAGTGCCACCATGTGAAAAGAGATGCAAAGGAACAATTAAAGGGGGGTGGCACTTTTAAATGAGGCAATAAACTTACGGTATAGCTGGCACACTGGGGACTCCCACAAGCCCCCCATGTGGGGCAGGGTAGGAGCTCCACTGGTAACCTGGGGAACTCCCCCAGGCTCAGTTCTCACCCTTGTCCCATTGACTGGGAAGTCTTTTGATCAGCAACCTGGGGGCAGATGCTTGTCTTAGGGGGACTTGTGTTATCCAAGCTCAGTTATGAGTTGAATTGTGTTCCCCGTAAAGATATGTTAAGGTCCTAACCCCTAGATGAGGTCATTAGGGTGGGTCCTAAACAATATGACTGGTCTCCTTTTAAAAAGTGTAAATTGGGCCAGGAGCAGTGGCTCACGCCTGTAATCCCAGCACTTTGGGAAGCGAGGCAGGTGGATCACCTGAGGTCAGGAGTTCGAGACCAGCCTGGCCAACATGGTAAAACCCCGTCTCTACTAAAAATACAAAATTTAGCTGGGCGTGGTGGCAGGTGCCTGTAATTTCAGCTACTTGGGAGGCTGAGGCACGAGAATCGCTTGAACCCAGGAGGCAGAGGTTGCAGTGAGCGAGATCGTACCACTGCACTCCAGCCTGGGTGACAGAGCGAGACTTGGTCTCAAAAAAATAAAAATAAAAAAGTGTACGTTTGGACACAATGACAGACTCACACAGAGGCAAGACGACGTGAAGACAGAGAGGGAGAAGACAGCCACGTGACGACGGGGGCAGAGATTAGAGTGATGCAGCTTCAAGCCAAGGAACACCAAAGATTGCTACAGCACCAGGAGCCGGGAAAGGCCGGGAGGGAATTCTCCCCGGAACCTTCGGAGGAAGCGTGGCCTCTTCCAACACCTTCATTTCAGACTTCCAGGCTCCAGAAACAATAACCTCCCTTGTTTTAAGCCACTTAGTTTTCGGTACTTTGTTACGTGTAGCTCTAGGAAACTAACACAAAAGCTCACAGGCTGATGTGGAAAACCTGATGTGACTTATTGCTTGGTTGTGGAAAACGCATCACCCCATGAACCAGATCTCTCAGCATCAGATCAGTAAATTCTCTCCCTGAACAGGAGCCCCATGGGAAGCCAATTCATAGCCACTCATTCATGCACCATGGACTCACTGAGCAACTACCACTCCCAAGGTATGTGCTAGGTGCTGGGAACACATCTGGAGGCTAGGAGGCCAGAAGGTAGGCTGGTGCAGGCCTGGGACAGAGGTAGCAGGACCAGGGCACTGTGTGCTGTGTGCTCCTGGAGAGGTGTTTGTGGAGGAAACGGGGCCAGGGGCAGAGATGGAGAGGACCCACTCCTTCCTGGTGGACAGAGCTGGGGGACTCAGTGGAGCCTCTGGGCAGCCCTTTCTAATCCTCCCAGGTGGACTGATCCACAGCTTGCTTCTCTAGATGGGCCCAACACGATGGCTGAGGTTTCTGCTTCACAAACTCCAGGCCTATTGCAATAGCTGGGCCTCACCGAGATTGTCCCAGGTGAAGTTGGTTGAAGTTGGAGGTGTCCCCAGAACTCTTCATTCACATTTAGCAAGGTGTTACTGCTGTAATCCAGGTGTCACAAAGGGCTCACCCTAGGGCCATCAGGTGGGTCTCCTGTGTGCATGGTGCAGTGCTTTTGCCCCAGATCCCTCCACTCCCTCACATTTTTACTGCCTGCCTTACCCAGATGAAAGCATCAGTGATCTCTGGCTTCCTCGAGTAATTGATGATTTTCCATTTATCTATTGCTGTGTGACCAACCACCCCAAATATAGTGGCATGCATCAACCACCATTTTCATCTTTTGTAGGTCAAATAGTCAGATGAAGCACAATGTGGATGGCTTGGGTTTCTATTCCATGAGTCTGCAGCCTCATCTGGGAAGACTGGAACGACTGGGGGCTGGAAGTGTCTGGAGCCTGGGCCGAAATGACTCAGAGACTGGACTCAGTTGGAACTGTCAACAGGAACAACTTCATGCGGCCTCTCCACCTGGCTTGGGCTTCCTCACAGCATGGTGGCCTCAAGGATAGTTGGACTTCTTACATGACAGCACAATTCTCAAAGGCAAGAGTTACAGCAAACCAGGCTGAAGCTGGATAGCCTTTTATGAGCTAATCTTGGAAGTCATATAGCATCACCTCCATTGCACCCTGTTGGTCAGAGCAGCCCAAGCCCTTCTAGATTCAGGGGGAAGGACTTAGAGTCATGGACACAGACGTAGACCTGCACTCCATAGGAGGAATGTCAAAGGATTTGCAGCCACGTTTTAAAACCACCACAGTGAGTTACATCCACTAATAGGAAACCAGATTTCCCTTAGATCTAGTTTTGGGAATACACTTCACTTGACTGTCAACACTCGGCGCTTCCATCAAGTACAGGATGAGGTCCAAATCCCTTGGCATGAAAACCAAAGTCCTTCCTAGCCTGGTTCCAGCCTGCATTCCAGCATCCATCCTTGGTTGTCTGCATTCCCGCAAGTTGGCTAAATGCGCTCACACAAGCATGCCACTGTGGTTCTGAGGACTGTGGCCCTCAGGGGGACACACTTTTGTTTCCTTTCTTTTCTTTTTTTGTTCTTTTTTTTTTGAGACAGGGTCTCGCCCTGTCGTCCAAGCTAGAGTGCAGTGGCACAACCAGGGCTCACTGCAGCCTCGACTTCCTGGGCTCAAGTGAGCCTCCCATCTCAGCCTCCCAAGTAGCTGGGACTATAGGCACATGCCACCATATCCAGCTAAGTTTTAAATATTTTGTGGAGATGGGGTCTTACTATGTTGCCCAGGCTGGTTTGAAACTCCTGGACTCAAGTGATCCTACCACTTCGGCCTCCCAAAGTGCTGAGATTACAGGTGTTAGCCACTGCACTGGACCCAGACAGCCTCTTCTTACTCACCAAAGTTGCCACTGAGGCTGGTGGCATCCCATATTCTTCTAGAAGCTCAGAGCTCCTGAAGGGGACACCACGAACCCATCTGGAGCTCTGGATTTCCAGCTGAAGGATGCTTTCCCCTTGTCCTCCGCTAATGACTCAGCCATCTGTCTTCCTTTCCTGAACTCTGCTCCACTGGAAGCTGCACAGAGGCCCCATCTGCGGCTTCAAAGCCAGTGGATTGAGTGGCCCTAAGCATAGGAATCGGAGCTGCCTGTGATTCTCTGAAGTTCCCACCCAAATTCATAACTACTCACAGAGCACAGACAGCTGAGCATTGTCTGCCCCCTTGAAAGGGCCGCCTTTGAAGCCGGCAGTGGGGCACTGAACAGGCGTTCTCTGGAAGGGCTGGAGAGACAGCCAGAGGGCCATGCTACTGCTGGCAGGGACCTGTGATCCCCACCAAAACAGATGAGCAGAGGGATGGGAGGTCCAGGAACAAAGCCCCTTCCCACTTCAGTCAGTTCTTCCCTTCCCCCTCCCTTCATTCATGCACTCATTCATTCAACTAGTATTCACAGAGAGCCCAACTTAGACAGGCTCTGCTGGGCCTGGCTCTGAAGGTTACCAGATGACCAGGACACATCCCCCTCTACCTCATCCTCATCTGAGGATCATCTGGGCCCTGCTACTCCCTAGTCTGAGTTCATCTGGGCCCTGCTACTCTCTAGCTGAATCTCCCTGGTATAGTGGGCCGAGTGGTGGCCGCCTAAAAGATAGGTCCTCATCAAATCCCTGGAACTTGTGAATATGCCCTTATTTGACAAAAAAAAAGGGGGGGCGGGTGGGGGGTCTTTGTAGATACAATTAAGTTAAGGATCCTGAGATGAGATCATCATGGATTAACCAGGAGAGCCCTGACTCCAATGACAAGCATCCCTTACAAGGGACACAGAGGGAGACTTGAGACGTACGAAGAAGACCATGTGAAGGCGAAGGCACAGAGTGGGTGATGTTGCCATGAGCCAAGGGACTCCTGGAGCCACCAGAAGCTGGAAGAGGCTTGAAGGACTCTTCCCTAGAGCCTTTGGAGGGAGCCCGGCCCTGCCCACACCTTGATGTCCTCCAGGTCTGTAGGAGAACACACTTGTGTCGTTTTAAGCCACCCAGTTTGTGGACAGTTGTTTCGGCAGCCACAGGAAATAAATACACTGGACCAGCCTCCTCACCTTTCCAAGGCGTGGCATGGGGGCCGCAGCGTGGCAGGGAGGAGGAAGCAGGCGAGCGTGCAAGGAGGCTCTTGGGGCCCAGCCTGGCAGGTGGCAGGAGCTTGGGAAAAGCTTGCTGTGGTTTGGCTCTGAAGACAGTCTCACCTCTAGTAAATTTCTAAGTGGGGCCCTGAAATGTGAAAACACAAAACTGGATTCTAATCCTGTTTAGAGGTTTTTAAAGAGGCTGCTTGTGCTAGCTGCCACCTTGTAACCACCCACATTCCATGGGATGTGGTTTTCAGATCTTTAGTCTCCCGGACAAGAATGAATTCTATGGGGATCGGCACATATAAAGTCAATAGCATGAGCCTGTGCTTAAGCTTATGCACCTAAAAGGTATTCAGTGCATCAAGCCTGGGTAAACTGATCCCAGGGTCCAGTTGTGAAGACTTCTTTTTTTAGTTATATTCATCTGCAGGAGCCCCTAATGTGTAGGGTTTTTTAAAGACTTTTTATTTTGAAATAATTATAGATTCATAGGAAGTTGGAAAAATAGTACATAGGAGTCCGTGTACCCTTCACCCAGCTTCCCCCAGTGGTGATGTCTTACATAGTCCAACGTCAAAAGGAAATTGAGGCTAAGCGTGGTGGCTCAAGCCTGTAATCCCAACACTTTGGGAGGCCGAGGCAGTCAGATCATTTGAGATCAGGAGTTTGAGACCAGCCTGGCCAACATGGTGAAACCCTGTCTCTACTAAAAATACAAAAAATTAGCCTGGCTTGTTGGCACACACCCCAGCTACTCAGGAGGCTGAGGCAGGAGAATTGCTTGAATCTGGGAGGCAGAGATTGCAGTGAGCTGAGATTTCACCACTGCACTCCAGCCCGGGCAACAGAGTGAGATTCAGTCTCAAAGGAAAAAAAAAAAGAAAGAAATTGACATGGTTTTGATAATGTGAGCTGGACCACCCACCTGAATCCATTCCCTCCAGGTTTTTTACATGCATTCATATGTGTGAAATAGTGTGTCGGAGGGTCGTTCTATGTAATATTATTCTGTGGACTACGTTTGTGTAGCCACTACCACAATTAAGATCCAGACCAGGCTTGGGACGGTGGCTCTAAGCCTGTAATCTCAGCACTTTGGGAGGCCGAGGCAGGTGGATTGCCTGAGGTCAGGAGTTCGAGACCAGCCTGGCCAACATGGTGAAACCCTGTCTCTACTAAAAACACAAAAATATAGCTGGGCATGGTGGCCCATGCCTGTAATCCCAGCTACTCGGGAGGCTGAGGTAGGAGAATCACTTGCACTCAGCAGGTAGAGGTTGCGGTGAGCCGAAATCGTGCCGCTGCACTCCAGCCTGAGTGACAGAGCAAGACTCTGTCTCAAAAAAAAAAAAAAAAATCCAAACCAGTCCCATTCTTACACAGGAACTCTGTCAAGCTGCCTCTTTACACTCAGCCCTCTGCACCTCTGGTCCCCTGGCAGCCACTACTCCGTTCTTCATCTCAGTAGTTTTATCATTTCAAGAATGTTATAGATGGGTACACGTGACACAGAGATGGGAACAGTAAACACTGGGGATTCCAAAAGTGGGAGGGAAGAAGGGGGTAAGGGTTGGAAACCCACCTATCAGGTCCTATGTTCACCAGTTGGGCAGCGGGATCATTAGAAGCCCAAACCTCAGCATCACACAATATACCCATGTAACAAACCTGCACATGATGTACCTCCTGAATTTAGAGTTTTTGAAAAACGAAATATGATTCCAAGTGAAAGAAGCCAATCACGCAATATTGCATACTGTATAATTCCACTTATATGAAATGTCCAGAATAAGCAAAGCTACAGAGACGCAAAGTAGATTGTGATTGCCGAGGGATGGGGTGGTTGAGGGGGGAATTGAGGGATTAAAGGGTTTCATCTGGAGGCGATGAAAATGTTCTAAAATTGACTGTGGTGATCGTTATCCAACTCTGTGAAAATACTAAAAGCCACAGCATTGTACATGATAAATGGGTAAATCATATGTGAGTATATACATCAATAAAGCTGTTTCTCAAACAAGAATGTTATAGAGATGGTCTCTGATGGTATGTAACCACTTGAGATTGGCTTTTCTCACTCAGCATCATTCCGTCATAGTCCCTCTCAGCAGTTGCCCAGAGCAGTAGGTGGACCCTCCGCATTGCTCAGTAGTATTCCAGTGTACAGACATCCCAGAGTGTGTTTAACCATTCACCTGCTGGATATTTGAGTTGTGTCCCTTTTTTTTTGGCTATTAAAGCTGCTGTGAACATTTGTGTACAGATGTTTGTATGGACATACATTTTCATTTTGCCAAGATGAATACCGAAGTGAATGTTTCACTTTAAGTGTCTCTGTTATCCAGCACACCTCTGCTAAGAAATGACTATCTGCATCTGGGAGCAGTGGTTCATGCCTGTAATCCTAGCACCTTGGGAAGCTGAGGTGGGAAGATCGCTTGAGGCCAGGAGTTTGAGACCAGCCTGGGTAACATAGTTAGATCCTATCTCTACAAAAAATAAAAATGAAAAAATTAGCCAGTCATGGAAGTGTATGCCTGTGGTCCCAGCTACTCAGGAGGCTGAGGTAGGAGGATCGGTCGAGCCCAGGAGGTAAAGGCTGCATTGAGCTATAAGTGCACCACTGCACTCCAGCCTGGGATGGCAGAGAGATTCTGTCTCTATAAAATAAAAATAAAAGAAGTTACTCTCTGCAAACGCTTTAAATTTTGTGTTTTAAGGAACCATGTAGTTAGTCAATTTTCTAAATGGAAATCAGGCCAGGTATGGTGGCTCACGTCTGTAATCCCAGCACTTTGGGAAGCCGAGGCAGGTGGATCACCTGAGGTCAGGAGTTCGAGAACAGCCTGGCCAACATGGCAAAACCCCATCTCTACTACAAATTCAAAAATTAGCTGGACATGGTGACACATGTCTGTAGTCCCAGCTACTCAGGAGGCCAAGGTTGGAGGATCGCTTGAGCCCAGGAAAGTGAAGGCTGCAGGGACCGTGATCATGCCACTGCATTCCAGCGTGAGCAACAGAGCAAGACTCTGTCTCTAAAAAAAAGAAAAAAAATTACCACATTTTTAGATTATATAATTCTGATTCAAAGGTAAAATACAAAGAGGGGAAAATATATTTAACATAAAATTTGAATAAAATATTTTCCAAAATCTTAAGGAAGACTTACTTCCATAAAAATAATTTTTATGTCAGGCTTCAGGCTCAGTGGGCACCCGTGAGTCCTGATTTAATGAGACAAGCTTCAAATTCTAGGTTTTTTTTAAATGATTCTTCATCATTGATTGATTGATTGATTGATTGATTGATTGATTGATTTTTAAGAGACATGGTCTCATTCTGTTGCCCAGGCTGGAGTGCAATGGTGCAACCATGGCTCCCTGCAGCTTTGACCTCTGGCCCCAAACAATCCTCCCGCTTTGGCCTCCCAAAGTGCTGGAATTACAGGCATCAGCCACTGTGACCAGTTTCCTCTTCTTTCTGTTAAATGACATATCATCCCTTGAATGCAAGAGTTTCAGATTCTTAGTAATCATCATTGCCAAGAAATTTTGCTTTTACAAGTAAGTGACTTTTAAAAAGGTTTAAAAATTGTGTTTTTCTACCTTAAAATTTTTACAATGGTCAAAACTACACATAAAGGATCACCCTTTCTTTCCTTGGCAATTATGATATAGGAACTTCTTAGGATTTCTAATCCAGTCCAACTTTCTTTTTTTTCCTTTTTGAGACAGAGTCTCACTCTGTCGCCCAGGCTGGAGTGCGGTGGTGCAATCTCGGCTCACTGCAACCCCTGCCTCCCAGATTCAAGAGATTCTTGTGCCTCAGCCTCCCGAGTAGCTGGAGTTATAGGCATGCACCATCACTCCCGGGTAATTTTTTTTTTTTTTTTTGTATTTTTAGTAGAGACAGGATTTCATTATGTTGACCAGGCTGGTCTTGAACTCCTGACCTCAAGTCATCTGCCTGCCTTGGTCTCCCAAAGTGCTGGAATTATAGGCGTGAGCCAGTCCGATTTTTTCATACTGAGTATGTCACAATAATGCTGACACTCTAACTTGTAGAGCACACATGATTGACTGCAATGGTTGCCTGCAGGTGGCACAGTTACCCCTGTACCCCTACAGTCACCCAAACAGAAGCATCTGTGTGAAGACAGAGCAGGCAGCCCGGAGCTGGGCCTGCCCAGGCACCTGCCCTCATCCTTCCCTCCAACCCCTAGGGGGCCTCCCTTCAGTCTGTACCCGCTACTCCTGGGCACCTGCAATGCAAGCTCACCAGCCCCTGTGGCTCTTGCCCAAACCAGACAGCATAATGCCTGGCGGCTGGCTACTGTCCTCCACATCCAGGCAGCAAGCAGCTCTTTCTTGATGGCACTCAGGACCCCGCCTAGATCAGGGCATACCACCAAGGCTCACGGTGCTCCTGAGGCCGCTGGGGCACCACAGGGTGCTTCTCAGGTCCTGTCACTCAACTGGGCCTCCCCAAAGTGGGCTCACAGCCCAGGGGCTCCAGTTGCCCCAGGCTCTGCTAGGCTGCCCAGAGGACTCAAGGTGTGGATATCTCAGGCACACCTGAGTGTTGAGCTCAGCACACGTGTATGCTGGGCACGGCATGAGTGTAAGGAAGCGCTGGCATACAGAATAAAATCCCCTGGCTAGGAAGCAAGCTACTGCTGACTCCACCGAAGCCCCTGCACGCCCCTCCCAGTACCATCTCCCCTCGCCCCTGCAGAGGCAGACACCATCCTGACTTTGGTGTCTATTCTTTTCATTCGTTTCTTTCTATTTTACCACATGCGTATATATCCATTAAAATATGTAATTGTTTTTCATGTTTAAAACTTTATGCAAGGAATATTATTCAGTGTTAAAAAGGAAGGAAATTCTGACCTATGCTATAACATGAGTGAAGCTTGAGGACATCAGGCTAGGTGAAATAAGCCAGTCACAAAAAGATAAATACAGTATGATTCCACTTATCGGAGCCGAGTAGTCAAAATCATAGAGACAGGAAGTGAAATGCTGGTTGTCAGGGCCTGGGGGAAGGGGAGAGTGGGGAGTTGTATAATGGGGACAGAGCTTCACTTTCACAAGATAAACAGTTCTGAGGCCGGGTGCAGTGGCTCACGCCTGTAATCACAGCACTTTGGGAGGCCGAGGCAGGCAGATCACCTGAGGTCAGGAGTTTGAGACCAGCCTGGCCAACATGGCAAAACCCTGTCTCTACTACAAATATAAAAATAAAAAATAAAACTAACTGGGCATGGTGGTAGGCACCTGTAGTCCCAGCTACTTGGGAGGCTGAGGCAGGAGAATCGCTTAGAACCTGCGAGGCAGAGGTTGCAGTGAGCCAAGATCGTGCCACCACACGCCAGCCTGGGCAACAAGAGCGAAACTCTGTCTCAAAAGAAAAAAAGAGTTCTGGAGCTGGATGGTGCTGATGGTTGCGTAACATCATGAGTGTATTTAATACCACTGAAATAAATACACTTACAAATGGTTAAGATAGTCAATTGTATGTTATATGTATTTTACCACAACCAAAAAATGTAACTTTACACAAATAGTAGTCAACTATGAGAATCGTTCTGCGGCTGCTTTTTTTGATTGACATCGTGAGATTGATCCATGTTGATACACACAGATGCCAAACATTCCTTTTCCTGCTGCATTGTAGTCCACTGAAGAAATACACTCCAATTTCTTCATCCTTTAGATGTGCATTTCAGTTGTTTCAAATATTCGCTATTACAGACAATGCATTAATGTTCTTCCTGTGTAGACGTGCACTTACGAAGCTGCCCAAGAGAGGCTCTAAGCTATCAGTCCTCAAAGTGTGGTCGGAGGAACCCTAGGGAGTCCCTGAGACCCTTTCAGGGGCCTGTGAGAACCTCCCTTTTGTTTTTTTCTTTTATTTATTTTTTTTATTTCTGAGATTTTGGTGCACCTATCACCCGAGCAGTGTACGCTGCACCCAATTTGTAGTCTTTTATCCCTCACCCCACTTCACCCTTTCCCCCAACCCCCCAAAGTCCAATGTATCATTCTTATGCCTTTGCGTCCTCACAGCTTAGCTCCCACTTATGAGTGAGAACACACGATGTTTGATTTTCCATTCCTGAGTTACTTCACTTAGAATAATAGTCTCTGATTCCATCCAGGTTGCTGTGAATGCCATTATTTCATTCTTTTTTCGGCTGAGTTATAGTCCACGGTATATATACCATTTTCTTTATCCACTCGTTGATTGATGGGCATTTGGGTTGGTTCCACATTTTTGCAATTGCGAATTGTGCTGCTATAAACATCCGTGTGCAGGTATCTTTTTTGTATAATGACTTCTTTTCCTCTGGGTAGATACCTAGTAGTGGGATTGCTGGATCAAACAGTAGATCCACTTTTAATTCTTTAAGGAATCTCCACGGTTTTCCATAGTGGTTGTACGAGTTTACACTCCCACCAACAGTGTAAAAGTGTTCCCTTTTCACCACGTCCACACCAACATCTATTATTTTTTAATTTTTTTATTATGGCCATTCTTGCAGGAGTAAGTTGGTATCTCATTGTGGTTTTGGTTTGCGATGTTGAGCATTTTTCCATACGTTTGTTGGCCATTTGTATATCTTCTTTTGAGAACTGTCTATTCATGTCCTTAGCCCACTCTTTGATGGGATTGTTGGTTGTTTTCTTGCTGATTTGTTTGAGAGAATCTCCCTTTCTAACTACATATCTGTGTGAATAAAGCCAGATATGCTTTTGCGTATTTGCGTATTTTAACCAATACAGCTGCAGATGCATTAATGAGACTCCAGTGACTTCTACTGAATAAGATACTAAGGAGATTTCCAAAAATGCAAAACAGTGCCTTCTTCTCATTAATTTTTTCATTTTGAAAAAGCATGGTTATTTTTTACTAAAAAGATGTTATGTTACATTGTGATTGATTTAGCACTGTTGTTTAATTAGTAAATAAATACTTTTAATATTTCTCAGTTTTAATTTCTAATAGGGTAAATATTAATATCCAATAAACAAAAACTCTTTTGGAGTCCTCAGTAATTTTTAAGGGAATAAAGGATTACTGAGACCAAATTTTGAATACGCCTGCTCTCAGGTACCTACCTCGGTGTGGAAAGACCAAGGTATGGAGCAGACACAAATTCAGCCTTACTAGATATTGCCAAATTAGTCTCCCGAGTGATCATCCTGCACAAAGACAGCAGGTTTTGTGTGTTTGTTTTGGGGATTTTTTTTTTTGGCTTGTTTGTTTTCTGTTTTGTTTGTTTTTTTGTTTGCTTGTTTTTGTTTGTTTGGTTGGTTTTTTTTGGTTTTTGGTGTTTTTTTTTTGAGACAGAGTCTCGCTCTGTCACCCAGGCTGGAGTGCAGTGGCACGATCTCAGCTCACTGCAACCTCTGCCTCCCGGGTTCAGCTGATTCTCCTGCCTCAGCCTCCCGAGTAGCTGGGATTACAGGCGCCCGCACCACACCCGGCTTATTTTTTTTGTATTTGTAGTAGAGATGGGGTTTCACCATGTTGGTCAGGCTGGTCTAGAACTCCTGACCTCAGGTGATCCACCCGCCTCAGCCTCCCAAAGTGCTGGGATTACAAGCATAAGCCACTGTGCCTGGACTGTTTTTTGTTAATTAATGGCTAACACATAAAAATCAAGTGAATTACCCCCCAAAATTCAAGTATCTGGCTTTTCTAGAAAAATCTGAAAATGTGATGTCACTGGGCCCATGTCTCTGCTTGGCCTGAGGACATCTGTGTTGTGCCCTCGCCTCGGGCAGGGAGGCCACTGGAGAATTCTCAAGGAGGCCATGGCATGTGCCTCTGAAAGAGAGGGGCTGACGCAGGGCACCAACTTGAATGAGGAAAGTCCGGCTGCATTGGGCCCAGTCAGAAGCTGCCAGAATGACCCAAGCAAGGCACAGGGAGGCCCAAGGTAGGCAGAGGCCAAATGTACAAATGGGAGCCTTGGACATGACCCCCAGAAGAGAGAAAGATGAAGGAGACATGAAGAGGCTGAGTTTCTTTTGGGGAGCCCTAGGGGCCAGTAGCAAGAGTAGGAGAAGCTTCCACGTGGTCACTTGGTTGCAACCAAAATGGGGAATGCAGGTGGCAGAACTCACCTGGGGTTGGTAAAGGTTTTAACATCCAATTTCTTTTTTTTTTCTTTTTTTTTTTCTTTTTTTTTTTTTTTGAGACAGAGAGTCTCACTCTGTCACCCAGGCTGGAGTGCAGTGGCAGGATGTCGGCTCACTGCAACCTCCACCTCCCGGGCTCAAGCAATTCTCCTGCCTTAGCCTCCCAAGTAGCTGGGATTGCAGGCGCCGCAACCACGCCTGGCTAATTTTTGTAATTTTAGTAGAGATGGGGTTTCACCATATTGGTTGGGATGGTCTCAAACTCCTGACCTCAGGTGATCCAGCCGCCTTGGTCTCTCAAAGTGCTGGGATTACAGGCGTGACCCACCACGCCCGGCCAACATTCAGTTTCTTTATTCTTGATCACTGGCCTGACTCACGTAGGCATCCTTCACTTATCTACTATGCTCAGGCAGACCTGGTCTGGGTCAGTGCCTGCAGTTAAGCTGAGGAACAGGCTTGATGTCAAGGAGGGCCGAATCCAGCCAGGCACAGTGGCTCACACTTATAATCTCAACACTTTGGGAGGCCGAGGCTGGAGGATCCTTTGAGCCCAGGAGTTGGAGACCAGCCTAGGCAACATAGTGGGACTCTGTCTCTACAAAAAATTTAAAAATTAGCCAGGTATGGTGGTGGCATGCACCTGTAGTTCCAGCTACTCAGTAGACTGAGGTGGGAGGATCGCTTGAACCTAGAAGGTTGAGGCTGCAGTGAGCCATGATGGCACCACTGTGGGTGACAGAGCAAGATCCTGTCTCAAAAATAAATACATAAAAATTAAAAAGAAGGGCCAAATTCCAGATTTGGGGGCAATTTTTATTCCAGCTCTGGATTTTGAGCAATATTTATACCAGTTCACAGTCTATCAAAATGATGGTGGTAAAAGTAAGCCACAAAGGCCAATGCCTGGGCCCACTGCAGGAAGAGCTCCGGACAGACATGTTTATACTTTTGACCATACTGATGTGGAGGTCTCCTCTCTGGAAGCCTAACTGGGGGGATGGCTGGCCTGCCAGTTTCATCTCTCTTAATCTCTCCCTCTTCCAATAAGGCACACAGGGGTTATAGTACTAAGGACCCATTGGGTTGTAAGTGACAGAAACCCAAGTAAAAGAAATTAGTTTTTGGCTGACCTAAATAGGAAGACCAGAGATTTGATGGGTTTCAGGCATGGCTGGATCCAGAGGCTCAAATTATGTGAATAGGATGCTATCTCTCTGCCTCTCAGCTCGGCTCTCCTCTTAGACAGGCTCCCTTAAAGATGGTATCACCGTAGCTCCAGGATCCCTTCCTGGCAGCTTGGTGACCCTAGAGAAAGAGAATGCTGTTTTCCTCGGAATTCATGAGACAACCCAGGACTGATGCTCAGTTGCCTAGTTTGGTTATGTGAGCCAATCACTCTGACCCTGACCATCCAGGTCACCTCTTCAACCCTGGCATCAGGGGTTGTGTCAGCTCTGTCCCCATGTGGACTGAGTTGGGGAGTGATGGTTTCTCAAAAGAAAACTAGATGTTGATCCCAGATGAAAGGGAATGGGTGCTGGGCAGACAGATACAGTAGATGCCCACTGCAGGGCATTGGTCCCTCAACCCCTGGCTTCTGTACCCTGTGGGGAAAAGTAAGGGTCCTTCTCCCAGGCCATCCCTACCAGAACCAAATAATCTCATCTCTGCTTATCTAGGCCCACTTCCCTAAAGAAAGGAGGGAAGTACTTCTGATTAATCAGGGGGATCCACCTCAAACCCTGCCTCACACCTATTTTACCAGTTATGTCACTGCTACAAAATGGGGGAAGAAAGCAATTCCAAATGTACTAAAATATGCACAAGAAAAAATATTAACTTTGTGAGTGGCGTCTTTCAAGCCAGATGGAATTGGAAGTGTTTGTAGTTGCAGGGTTGATAAAATTCTGGATCATTAACATGATCTGCTCAACATTATCTCTGCTGTCCCCTTTCCAGGTTTTTGGTTTAGAAAATGGTAAATAATTTGGGTTCGGTTGTTGCATTTATCTGCCACATTCCTTATAGGTCCCGGGATCATACAACCACATTTGTTCCAGAGAGTAGCAGACGGCAGTGCCCGCACTTGCCGTCTAGGAGTGTTTGAAGTCAACATGATGCTGTGTAACGTGAGCGGCAAGGCTGAAAGATGGATGTAAACTTTATCACAGGAGCTTTCCTTCCTGTGTAAATCTATTCTCCAGAAGGAAAATGTTTGCAATCTCTTTCCTGACCCAGCGTGTCCTCTGGGGTGAATCAGTGCTCTAGGTAGGAAGAAGCTGGAGGCTCTGGAAAATGCTTCTCTGCCTGGGAAAGACTTAATGTTTGAGGTTCCGAACCTCAGGGTGGCTTGCCTGACTCTAATTCACTCTATTTCCCTTCTTCTCTCTTGCTTGACACAGTGAACTCCAGAAGTAAAGAATGGACCACTTCTTAACAATGTACACTACTCAGGTAAGGAGAGCACTAAAAGCCCAGATTTCACCATTACACAATATATCCATGTAACACAACTGCCCTTGTACCCCTAAATCCATAAAAATAAAAAATTACCTAAAAAAAAAGAATTGACCATTTTTATCTTCTAATGTGGCTACAAAAGAAAAAGGAAAGAATTTACCACTCTAAAACCTACAAACAACCTAAATGCCCAGCTGTGGGGAGGAGAGGGGGTCAACCCAAATACACTCCACCCATCAGGTTCCTTCACCTATTCTGTAAATATTGAGCACCTGTTGTGTGCCAGCGATTATCTCTGGGTATAGTGGTTTTCAGGCCATTTTTTTCCTTCTTCAGAATTTTTTCAGTTTTCCAAATTTTCTAAAATGAGCAAGTATCACTTTTATTATCAGAAAAAAAAACCTGATGTTCATTCAGTAAGGACAAAACCAACCAAAGAAACTGACTTTCTGAGAGTGGTATAGCAGCATGCTCCAGCTATCTAGTGCTGCCTAACAAATCACCCCAAACTTAGTGGCATCAAGGAACAACATCCATTCATCACAATTCTCTCTCCCACTTCTGGGGATTGGCTGGGCTCAGCAGGGTGCCTCTTCCTTGAGGTCTTTCCTGTGGTTGTAGTCAGATGGTAGCTGGTGCTGGAGTCAATGAGGAGCTTGCTCATGTGTCTGGCATTTGATGCTGGCTGCTGACTGGGAGCTCAGCCAAGCTACAACACCAGTAAGTGGTCTCCCCATGTGGCCCAGGCTTCCTTCCTCACAGCGTCGGTGGCTGGGTTCCAGGGGTGAGTGTCCCAAGAAAGAGAACCAGGGGGATTCTATATTGCCTTCTCTCCTGGTCCCAGATATCACACAGCATCACCTCCACCACAGCCTATTATTAGAAACAAGTCAACCATATTCAAGGTGAGAAAACTTAGACTCCACCTTTTGAGTGGACTGCTAATAAACTTGCAGACATCTTTTAAAAGGACTGCACAGTGCTTTCCTGAACCAAAGTTCCCAAGCACCCCAGTGGCACTCTAACACCAACCAGTCATCCTACCCATTGGCCCCTCAGTCCCCGTTTTCTGCATCTTCTCAGCACTGAACTCCACCTTAGACCCTCTGCTCTCAGCAGAAGACCTTGTCTCCTCATAAAAGGGAAGCCAAGACAGCAGATCTCCCCGACAGATGCCCTTGGTGCTGAACTTGAACCTCGTTTCCATGTTGAATCCTCCATTGAGTCGAGACACCTTGCCTCCTCCATGACCTCGCCCAACCTGTTCTCATCCTTCCTCTTCCCTTCCCTCACATTCTTGGAATGTGCTAGGTTTCTTCCTCTTAAGTAAACCCATCCCTTAAGCCTGGGGTAGGGAGATCACTCAGAAGGAGTCTGTAATAAGCCAGCCAAGGTCAGCAGGAAGCAAAAAGGAAGGGGAAGGCCAAAAGTAAACTCATTTTTGAAGTAGAAAGGTCATCCTCCAGAGGTGATGATATCGGAAATAAGGAGGTTTGAACACGACTTTGAGGTTCCAGCTTCTGTGTCCCATGAATCCTTGCCTGGGATCTTTCTTACTAGGTTTGGGAGACAGCTCCCTCTGTCCCCTTAATGGCCATGTATCCTGTTGGGAAGAGGCTGAGGAGAAGCTGCTTCTAGACATCCACAGAGATAGCAGGGCAGGAATGGAGGCCTGGGTCTGTGAGTCCCTGAGGCAGGACCTGGTCCCAGAGCTGCCCAGGATTCCGCCGCTCTCCCTTTAACCTGGAAGACCCTCCAGGATGTCCCCAAAATATCCCTTCCACTTAAAAAAAAAAATGCATTGCAGGCCCAGTGCGGTGTCTCGTTCCTGTAATCACAGCACTTTGGTAGGCCGAGGTGGGCGGATCACCTGAGGTCAGCCTGGCCAACATGGCGAAAACTTGTCTACTAAAAATATAAAAATTAGCCGGACATGGTGGTGCATGCCTGTAATCCCTGCTACTTCGGGGACTGAGGCAGGAGGATCACTTGAACCTGGGAGGCCTCCACCTCCACAGGGAGGCCCAGTGTAGTAAGCCGAGATTGCACCACTGCACTCCAGCCTGGGCAACAGAGCAAGACTCTGTCTCAAAAAAACAAGAAAAAAAAATGCATTGCAATAAAACATACACAACATAAAATAAAATTTACCTTTTTTTCTCAATAGAATTTAATATAGGGACTAGTTAAACAGAGCAGCAAATGGCCATGGCAAACAATCCAAAAGGCAAAACAAAAGTGAATATTGAGCTCACAGAAAGAGTTACTGCAGGGAGCAGCTGCCACTCCTGCAGGTGAATGGGCAGCGGGGAGAGGTCAGGGTCATCAGAACCCAGAAGCCTGGATCTGGGGAGGGGCTCTGCCTGGAGGCTGTTAGTGCCTCTGATCTGTTAGAGGCGGGTTCTGGGAGTGTGAGAAGTGAGAACAAATAAAATCAGAAGCAGCTGCAACTGTGAAATTGACGATGCTATTCATCTTCAAGTGTGCAGCTTAGCGGCATTCACGTCGCTGTGCAACCGTCACCACCACCCACCCAGAGCGCTTTTACCTTCCCGAACTGAAACTCTACCCATTAAACAATAACTCCCCACTCCCTTCTCCCCCGGCCTCCCGCTCACCTCTGTTCTACTTTCTGTTTCTATGACTTTGACTTTATAAGCGGAGTCATACAGTGTTTGTCCTTTGTGTCTGGCTTATTTCACTTTGTGTAACACCTTTAAGGTTCACCCATGTTGTAGGATGTATCAGAACTTCCTTCCTTTTGAAGGCTGAATGATATTCCACTGTGTGGATAGACCACACTTTGTTCATGCATTCCTTCCTCCGTTGATGGACATGTGGGTTTCTTCCAGCTTTTGGCGGCTGTGAATAATGCTGCTATGAACATGGGTGTGCAAACATGTGTTTGAGTCTCTGCTTGCAATGCTTTGGGGTATGTACCCAGGAGTGGAATTGCTGGACTGTGTGGTAATTCTATGTTTTTTGAGGAACCCCCATTCCGTCTTCCCTAGCAAATCCCCTTTTCTCGCTTTATTAAATGTGCTTCCTTTCTCAGCCTCCTCCTCACTCAGGCTCCCTTCTGCTCAACTCATGAGACTTTTTGACAGAACGGTCCACACTGACAGGCTTCACAGACACATGTCCCTTTTCGAGCTGTCCTCTGCCCTCCCCATGCACCGAAACTGCTCTGGGCACCCCAGAGGGCACCCCCAGAGATTGATAGCACAGCCTCTCCTCAGACCTCAGCCTCCTGGGCCTTCCCTCGCCCCTGACATCCAGACACTCCCCTCCTCCTCTCCGCTTGCCTGCAGGGCCACCTGGCTCCCCGCCCCCTCCAGGGTTCCTCTGCACCTTCCAGGGCCTTTTCTGCTAGTTCCTTTCGCCCACTGCCCTTCATCATCATGTACCCCGGAGTCAACCTCAGAGCCCTTTTCTCTTCCCACATGCACTCTGCAAGAACCTCATCCACCCCTTGGGCACTGAGCAGAGGTAGACGCCCCCCAGCTCTGTCCTTCCCGACCCCTGCCCACTTGATTCTGAGCTCTGCACCCTCAGCCACCAGTGGCCTTTCCACATGGACTTGCTGCAAATGACCAGTCTGGCTGAGGGCCCTGGGGGCCGGGACATGACACCCTTCTCTCAGCCCTCATCACAGTCTGTGAGGTAAGCACTTGCCTTCCATCTGTTTTGTTTTTGTTTTTGCTTACTTATTATTATTATTATTATTATTTTGAGACAGAGTCTTGCTCTGCCACCCAGGCTGGAGTGCAGTGGTGCTATCTCAGCTCACTGCAACCTCCACCTCCTGGATTCAAGCCATTCCCCTGCCTCAGCCTCCTGAGTAGCTGGGATTACAGGTGCCCATCACCACATCTGGCTAATTTTTGTATTTTTAGTAGAGATGGGGTTTCACCATGTTGGCTAGGCTAGTCTCGAACTCCTGACCTCAAGTGATCTGCCCGACTCAGCCTCCCAAAGTGCTGGGATTACAGGCGTGAGCTGCTGCACCTGGCCTGCTTACTTATTAATTGATTTATTTAAATGAAATAGCACATGAATCCATTATCATTGTAAAAAGTCATACGTTAGGCCTGTAGAGTTATAAAGAAAATCCTCCTTCTCCCACGCCCCCACCAGCTACTGTCTCCTTAGAGACAGCACCGCTAATGTCAAGTGGGTTATATTGTCCTATTGTCCATTTTACACATTTACACACGCATATACCCATATGAAAACATACTGCTTTGTTGTAAATGTGGATGATCTTACATGAATGGCTTCATTCTTAAAGTTGGGTTCTGGTGTCCTTTGTTCCCAGAGCGGTGTGTCCTGGAGGGCTCATCATGGCTGCACAGACGGTCTTCTCAGGCTTCCTCACTCTGCCTTGTACCCCACAGCATGGATGTCTCAGAAAGTACGGAGGGGGCCAGGCGCGGTGCCTCACGCCTGTAATCCCAGCACTTTGGGAGGCCGAGGCGGGTGGATCACGAGGTCAGGAGTTCAAGACCAGCCTGGCCAAGATGGTCAAACCCCGTCTCTACTAAAACTACAAAAAAAAATTAGCTGGGCATGATGGCAGGCATCTGTAATCCCAGCTACTCAGGAGGCTGAGGCAGGAGAATCGCTTGAACCCAGGAGACGGAGGTTGCGGTGAGCCGAGATCACGCTATTGCCCTCCAGCCTGGGACACAAGAGTGAAACTCCATCTCAAAAAAAAAAAAAGAAGAAGAAGTAGAACAGCTTCTGAAGAAAGTGTATCTCCTCAGGAACCTAGGAGAGAAGTTGAAAGTGACAAAGAGTAATAAATCAATACAAAACAAATATGGAAGAAAAATGTCATTTGTACTTATGACTATATGATATTAATTTTTGTTTGTTTGTTTTCATTTTTGTAGAGATGGGGTCTTGCAATGTTTCCCAGGCTGGTGTCAAACTCCTGGGCTCAAGCAATCCTCCCACCTCAGCCTCCCAAAGTGCTGAGATCATAGATAGGTGTGAGCCACCATGCCTGGGCAATATTGTATATTATTTTCACTGAACACAAACATACCATTTTATACATGAAACAGTTGTTCAAATGATTTATATTTTGTGGAGGTTTTTGATGAGTTGTGCATCTAGTTGTTTAAGACTGCATAGTGATATTTAGGGGAAATGGATTGGAATTTTTGGATGAAGAGGAAATTTATTTAAAACCCATTTAAATAAAGGATTGCATAGCCTCTGGCTCTCAGAAAATTCACTGTCCTGCAAGTTTCAGGATTTGGATAAGGAGGAATGCTTGTTCCCGTTTACCCACACCTTTGTCAACACTGAATAATTACCAGTCATTTTCATCGCTGCCACCCTGGTGGGCAAGAACTGCCCTCTCATTGTTTCAGTCTCCCGTTGGGGATTTTGAGTTGCCGTAGGGGATCCTTTCATCCTTCATTGACTGTTTCTATTTCCTGACTCCCAACAACTGGGTACCTTTGGGGCTTCCCAGTCAACAGATCATCCTGCCTTGAACAGAGTGAGACCCAGCCTCTGGTCTGTGCCCCAACTCCCAGTAATCCCTGCCCACCAGGGCTTCCCAGACCTCAACAGCCTCTCTGACAAGCACCTTGCAGAACTTGCCAAGGGCACAGGACCCATTAAGACGGGGGTCCCCAACCCCTGACCTCAAATCAGTACCAATTCATGGCCTGTTAGGAACTGGGTGGCCCTGCAGGAGGTCAGCCGCCAGCGAGCATTACCGCCTGAGCTCTACCCACTGTCGGATCAGCAGCGGCATGAGATTCTCATAGGAGCGAGAACCCTATTGTGAACTGCGCATGCGAGAGACCTAGGTTGTATGCTCTTTATGAGAATCTAACTAATGCCTGATGTTACATCCGGAAACTATCCCCACCCCCACTTCTGTCCATGGAAAAATTGTCTGCCAAAATGGTTGGGGACCACTGCATTAAGAGAAGCAGGCTGGTCTGCGCATCCTCTGGAAGAAGAGTCCAGCACAGAGGGTGATATTTAAAAGGCACAGTGGCGTTGAGGTGATGAAAATGTTGACTGTGGGGATGGTTGCCAATTCTGTGAATATACTAAAAACCATTGAATCGAACATCTTACATGGGTGAATTGTATGGTATGTGAATTTTATCTCCATAAAGCTGTTAATAAGAAAAAGAAAATTATGGCCAGGCGCGGTGGCTCATGCCTGTGATCCCAGCACTTTGGGAGGCCGAGGCAGGCAGATCACGAGGTCAGGAGATTGAGACCATCCTGGCTAACAGGGTGAAACCCTGTCAGTCTCTACTAAAAATACAAAAAATTAGCCGGGCGTGGTGGCGGGCACCTGTAGTCCCAGCTACTCGGGAGGCTGAGGCAGGAGAATGGCGTGAACCCAGGAGGCAGAGCTTGCAGTGAGCCAAGATCACGCAACTGCACTCCAGCCTGACCAATAGAGCGAGACTCTGTCTGAAGAAAAAGAAAGAAAGAAAGAAAGAGAAAAGAAAAGAAAAGAAAAGGAAAGGAAAAAAAAGAAAAGAAAAATAAAATGTCAACCCAAGACTTGCAATATGCTGCTGCTTTTTTTTTTTTTTTTTTTTTTTTTGGAGATGGAGTCTCGCTTTGTTGCCCAGGCTGGAGTGCTATGGCATGATCTTGGCTCACTACAACCTCCGCCTCCCAGATTCAAGCAATTCTCCTGCCTCAGTCTCCCAGGTAGCTGGGATTACTGGCACACGCTGCCAGGCCTGGCTAATTTTTTATGTATTTTAGTAGAGACGGGGTTTCACCGTGTTGCCCAGGCTGGTCTCGAACTCCTGAGCTCAGGCAATCTGCCCGCCTAGGCCTCCCAAAGTGCTGGGATTACAAGCGTGAGCCACCATGCCCAGCCGCAATATGCTTCTTTGATTACAACCCCACCTTCTCTTTCCACCATCCTGTGTAGCATCTCCAGAGTGTTTGCACAAATCATGAGATGCTGACCATGGACCACCAAGATGATGGACTGGATGTTGAATGTGCACTACAGTTAGCAAAGAGCCTGACTAAATAATCTAGGCTGGGAGAAAAAGTGTGTATATATAAAGATAGTAACCGAGCATTATTAAAGCAGTAGGAAAAAAAGTTAACTGAAATACCCTTTGAATTATGGCATTGGTTAAATTTATCATGGAGTATGACAGAATCATTAAAAAATGATGTTGTATTAGAAAAAAAATCTAAGTATCTGTGTGAGTCCGTTTTGCATTACTATAAAGGAATACGCGAGACTGGGTACTTTATAAAGAAACGAGTTTTATTTGGCTCACAGTTCGACCTGCTGTACAGGAAGCATGGAGCAGGCATTGCTTCTGATGAGGCCTCAGGAAGCTTCCACTCATAACAAAAGGTGAAGAGGAAACAGGTGTATCACATGGCAAGGAGGGGGCGGTGGAGCGGGTTCCAGATACTTTTTTTTTTTTTTTTTTTTGTGAGGCAGAGTCTTGCTCTGTCGCCCAGGCTGGAGTGCAGTGGTGTGATCTCAGCTCACTACAACCTCCGCCTCCCAGGTTCAAGCGATTCTTGTGCCTCAGCCTCCCAAGTAGCTGAGATTACAGGTGTGCACCACCATACCTGGCTAATTTTTGTATTTTTAGCAGAGACGGGGTTTCACCATGTTGGCCAGGCTGGTCTTGAACTCCTGCCCTGAGGGGATCTGCCTGCCTTGGCCTCCCAAAGTGGTGGGATTACAGGCATGAGCCACCGCGCCTGACCTCTCTTTTTAACCAGATCTCTCATGAACTCATCACCACAGGGAAGGCACCAAGTCATTCATGAGGGATCCACCCCCATGACCCAAACACCTCCCACTAGATCTCACCTCCAACACAGGAGATCACATTTCAACATGTGATTTGGAGGGGATGCACTGCCAAACCATATCAGTGTCCATCAACAGAGAACAGAGTAAATTATTATTAGTAGTAGTAGTAGTATTTTGAGATGGAGTTTTGCTATTGTTGCCCAGGCTGGAGTGCAATGGCATGATCCCAGCTCACTGCAACCTCTGCCTCCCAGGTTCAAGCAATTCTCCTGCCTCAGCTTCCCAAGTAGCTGAGATTACAGGCGCCTGCCTCCATGCCCTGCTAATTTCATATTTTTAATAGAGACGGGGTTTCACCATGTTAGTCAGGCTGGTCTCAAACTCCTGACCTCAGGTGATCCACCTGCCTTGGCCTCCCAAAGTGCTGGGATTACAGGCGTGCCCCCACGCCTGGCCAACAGAGTGAATTATTTACAGTGCGTCTCAGTGGGACACCATGTAGGCATTTGAAAGAATGTGGCAGCTCTGGCCGGGTGAGGTGGCTCACGCCTGTAATCCCAGCACTTTGGGAGGCAGAGGCGGGCGGATCACGAGGTCAGGAGATCGAGACCATCCTGGCTAACACAGTGAAACCCCGTCTTTTCAAAAAAAAAAAAAAAAAACTTAGCCGGGAGTGGTGGCAGGCACCTGTAATCCCAGCTACTCAGGAGGCTGAGGCAAGAGAATCACTTGAACCCGGGAGGCGGAGCTTGCAGTGAGTCGAGATCACACCACTGCACTCCAGCCTGGGTGACAGAGCAAGATTCCATCTCAAAAAAAAAAAAAAAAGAATGTGGCAGCTCTGTGGAAACTGAAATGGAGGATCACTAAGATACACTGATGACAGGGCAAGACTGTGTGCACAGGAATCTTCCATTTGGATAATTTTATGTTCACACATGTATACACATATATACATATAAACTCACAGATACTTGAATACGGGGGCAAAGTATTTAACAATTGGTAGAGAAGGGCGCCACCCGTTAGCACAGAGGCTGGCGGGTGTGCTGCATCCTACCCGAATGCTAAGCCGGAGCCTGCTTTTGTGGATATAAAAGAACATGTTTAGAAGGAGATATAAGAAGCTCGTGGCAGTGCTTGTGTATTAATTGAAAGCTTTTGATGGAAAAGGAGATTAGCTAACCCAACGAATACTCAACTCTTACAACTCAACAATAAGAAACCAAACAACCTGAGATACCATCTCACACCAGTTAGAATGGCGATCATTAACAAGTCAGATGCTGGAGAGGATGTGGAGAAATAGGAACACTTGTACACTGTTGGTGGGACTGTAAACTAGTTCAACCATTGTGGAAGACAGTGTGGCGATTCCTCAAGGATCTAGAACTAGCACCATTTGACCCAGCAATCCCATTACTGGGTATATGCCCAAAGGATTATAAATCACGTGCTATAAAGGCACATGCACACATATGTTTATTGTGGCATTGTTCACAATAGCAAAGACTTGGAACCAACCCAAATGTCCATCAATGATAGACTGGATTAAGAAAATGTGGCACATATACACCATGGAATACTATTCAGCCATAAAAAAGGATGAGTTCATGTCCTTTGTAGGGACATGGATGAAGCTGAAAACCATCATTCTCAGCAAACTATCGCAAGAACAAAAAACCAAACACTGCATGTTCTCACTCATAGGTGGGAATTGAACAATGAGAACACTTGGACACAGGAAGGGGAACATCACACACCGGGGCCTGTTGTGGGGTGGGGGAAGGGGGGAGGGAAAGCATTAGGAGCATGATGAGTTAATGGGTGCAGCACACCAACATGGCACATGTATACATATGTAACAAACCTGCATGTTGTGCACATGTACCCTAGAACTTAAAGTATAATAAAAATGAAAAAATAAAAAAAAATCAAACAACCTAATTAAAAAAATGGTCAAAATATTTGAAAAGGGCCGGGTGCATTGGCTCACACCTGTAATCCTAGCCCTTTGACAGGCCGAGGCAGGCGGATCACTTGAGGTCAGGAGTTCAAGATCAGCCTGGCCAACATGGCAAAACCCCGTCTCTACTGAAAATACAAAAATTAGCCTGGCGTGGTGGCACACACCTGTAATCCCAGCTACTCGGGAGGCTAAGGCAGGAGAGTGGCTTGAACCCAGGAGGTGGAGGTTGCAGTGAGCCGAAATAGCACCACTGCACTCCAGCCTAAGTGACAGAGCAAGACTCCATTTCAAAAAAAAAAAATTTGAAAAGACATATCTTAGTCCATTCAAGCTGAGATAACAAAATACCACAAACTGGGTGGCTTACAAACAACAGAAATATATTTCTCACAGTCCTGGAGGCTGGGATATCCAAGAGTGAGATACTGACAGATTCAGTGTCTGGCGAGGGCCAACTTCCTGGTTCCTAGATGACACCTTCTTGCTGTGTCCTTGCATGGTGGAAGGGGTCGGGGGTCTCCCTGGGGCCTCTTTGGGCCTCTTTTATAAGGGCACTAATCCCATTCATGAGGGCTCCACCCTCATGACCTAATCACCTCCCAAAGGCCCCACCTTCTACTACCCTCACCTTGGGGGTTAGGATCTCAACATATTAATTGGGGCAAGGAGAGGAAATCACAAACATTCAGACCATAGCAAGACACTTCCTCAAAGAAGATATGTGGCCAGTAAATAAGCACATAACATCATTATCATTAGGAAATGCAAACTAAAGCCACAATAAAGACTACAACACACCCACCAGAAGGACTAATTTTTTTTGAGACAGAGTCTCACTCAATTGCCTAGGATGGAGTGCAGTGGCATGATCTCGGCTCACTGCAACCTCTGTTTCCTGGGTTCAAACGATTCTCCTGCCTCAGCCTCCCGAGTAGCTGGGATCACAGGCATGTGCCACCACGCCCGGCTAACTTTTGTATTTTTAGTAGAGACGGTGTTTCACCATGTTAGCTAGGCTGGTCTCAAACTCCTGGCCTCAAATGATCTGCCTGCCTCGGCCTCCCAAATTGCTGGAATTACAGGCATGAGCCACCGTGCCCGGCCGCACTATGACTCCCTATTATCTTTTAGGGGAGGAATTTGTTTTGGTTAAACATATTTCTTAGTTTTTCCACAATGAACATATATTGCTTTTGTAAAACAAAAGGTATCTGAAACGGGTCTCAATCAATTTAAAGGTTTATTTTGCCAAAGTTAAGGACATATCTGGAAGATAAAAACACAGAATCACAGAAACAGTCCGTGGTCTGTGCCTTTCTCCGAGGATGATTTTAAGGGCTTCAATATTTAAAGAGGAAAAGCTGGCTGGAAGGGAAAGAGGGAGGGTGTATGGTCATCCACAGGTTGCAAGGGAGAAGGAGCAGGCAGGGGGATGGTCAACTATGAATTATCTGGTGCTCAGTAAATTAGCACTTTACATAAGGGTAAGGTGAACATAGAGTAGCCGCCTGTGGAGATATTTAACTTTTTATCTGTAGCTATCTGCTCAGGAACCAGAGGAAAGGCAATTTCTTGCACGACTCAAATTTCAGCTTAATTTTTTTTCTTTCGGCTTAGTGAATTGGAATTACAATTCACTATGGGGTCTCAATATACCCTCTCGTGTATCTGTCTGACTTCAGGTCAATCTCTGACAAGCTGTTGGCTCTGCAAGGCAGGCGGGATCTTACTCTTCTGTCCACAGGATGCAGCAGAGTGTAGCTTTAGCACACACTCAATAAGATATGGGAATGGATGGGAGGACGAGGTCCCTCAGGATGGCAGCAGGAGTCTGCAGAGTCTGACAGATCACACCCTCTTGGTCCTTTAATCCATTGCTTCTGAAGCCTGTTCAGGTGGCAATGGGGAATGCCACGGAAAAGCCATCTCTTGCAAACCAAGAATGACTTCCTTAAAAATTATGAAATTTCTGCCAGGAGCACTCTTGTTCTTCGTGCCATTCAGGGTATCAGATTAAAACAGATTCACCATTTGCTCCTTCTTCCATCACATTCATTTGGTATTCTATGGATTCATTTTATCTAGGGGTACTCTTTGCCAGCAAACAAGATTGCAGGGGAAGGAGGGGAAGAGCAAAGATTTAAGAATAAGAAAAAAGAACATTGCACATTAAGCTAATTCTACCCATTAACTTTTTTTTCCATGGATCGGGAAAGATGGCCACCTGCCCGGGCCTGTTCTGCCCCTCTCAGTCCTTTGCCATTTGGGAAACTGTGCTCCGTCCTTGGGTCCTGATTTCTCACCCACCCCAGCATCCTCTTCTTCTTAGCCTAAGCGCTGTTTTCCTAAAGTTAAGCCCCAGACAGAAAGGGGTAGTAGGCCGTTTTGCTTTTGTTTGGGAGAGAATGCGGCAGCCGCCAGGGTCACTGTGTGAGAGGTACTGAGTGAGCTCCTGGCGTGTGTCTTGTCGTTTGATCATCCCAGTACCGCTAAGAGGTCAGAACTGTTGTGGAGGAGGCGATCCATTGCTGAGGGCATATGGCCAAGAAGAGCACAACTAGAATTCAGGTCTCTGCCACCAAAGGCCACAGTTTTGACTGAGACACTGTGGCCCATTAAAGATGCAAGTTGACCAACACTACGAGCCCTGAGGTTTCTGGTGTGTAGCAGCCTGGGCCTGCTGTTGGGGACTGAAGGGACATTGGGGTGATAACACCCACCCCTCCCCTCACCCCCAGGCTGAGCCCTTCATTCCTGACAACAGGGCTGAGACTCCTGTCTGCTATCTCTTAGATTAGCCCACAGCTATTTTTATTCTGCTCTTGCTCAGGGAAGAAACACAGCTTGGGCAAACCCTCCAGCAGGGCCCCAGGGAAGACCACCATTAGCCAAGGAAGAACACAGAGCTTGCTTCACTATCTTTTCTCAGCCACCTACATACACTAACACAATGTATGGATGCCTTCTTTTCAGAACAAGGTTGACACGAATCTGTCAAAATAAAGCGAATGCTCATCTCCTGGTTTGGTGGGAAAGAGGTTTCAAAGAGATGGGCTGGATGAAGGGAAAAGAGACCCAAGAAGGAGAAAATAGGAAGCGTGCTAGGGAAGCCAGGAAGCCCGGGAAGGCCCAGGCTGTGGGGTGGGGAGCGATCAGGAACGTGGGGCGGATGAGGAGCACCAGCCACAGGGCGGTGGAGCTGATCAGGGTCTGGAGCTTGCCTGGGAGGCCTGCATTGCACATTTAACTTTTGAATTATGGCTGAGCATCCTGTAGATATGGTCAAAGTGTAGGAACATGGATGACCTTTCCTTTGATACAAAGGGAACAAGATCTGAAGCATTTAAGCCTGAATAGGAGAGGAGTTGCCAGAGAGGTAAGACGGAAGCCAAGAGAGCGTGGCACCACATAGCCGGGGAGCTTTCTGGAAGAACCAGTGCCCAACAGGGCCAAAGATTGTGAGAGGTAAGAAAAGGGTGGGTATGGGCGGGAGATGGGCTCCAGGTTGGCAGCCTGAGGTCACTGAGCCCCTACACTCACCTCTTGCCACGCAGCCTTGCTTGCCCTCCTCAGATGTGCCAGTGTGCCCCTGCCCGGCCTTTGCTCCAGCTGCTCCCTCTGTGCAGAACCCTCTCTCGACTGTCCCCAGGACGCACCTCCCCTGCCTCAAGTCTTTGCTCAAATCCTACCCCAGTGAGACCAACCTTGACCACTCTGCTTAACACTGCAAACCTGCTCCCACCTCTCCATCCAGATCGCCATCAATAAGCTCCACTCTTCCCAAACCACTCATTTCATGTATTAACTGTTTATCATCTGCCCAACATCCCCTACACACCAGAAGGTCCATGACAACAGAGAATCTTTGTTTTGTTCACTGTGTAGCTCTAACACAAGTACCTGGTACATAGTAGGTGCTCAGTAAATACTTCTTGAATGAAAGATCTCTTGATGACTGCTCTATACCTTTAACTCCTTGACTGTCAGCTAATCAAAATGTAACAGATGAGCCGGGCACAACGGCTCATTCCTGTAATCCCAGCACTTTGGGAGGCTGAGGTGGAAGGATTGCTTGAGCCCAGGAGTTTGAGACCAGCCTGGGCAACAAAGTGAGACTTCATCTCTACAAAAAATAAACAAAATTTAGCCAGGCGTGGTGGTGCACACCTGTAGTCCCAGCTACTCAGGAGGCTGAGGTGGGAGGATCGCTTGAGCCTAGGAGGCAGAGGTTGCAGTGAGCCATTGTCGCACCACTGCACTCCAGCCTGGGCAAAAGAGCAAGACCCTGTCTAAAAAAAAAAAAAAAAAAGGTAGCATCTGAGCTTGCATTACTATTTAACAGTGAAAATTATGGCCACTTAGGAAACATATCCAAAAACAAAATATAGGTAAGCTTCATACATTTATGTTTTAAAAAATCTGGCCAGGCGCGGTGGCTCACGCCTGTAATCCCAGCACTTTGGGAGGCCAAGGCAGGCGGGTCACGAGGTCAGGAGTTCAAGACCAGCCTGGCCAAGATGGTGAAACCCAGTCTCTACTAAAAATACAAAAAAAAAATTAGCCGGGCGTGGTGGCAGGTGCCTGTAATCCCAGCTACTCAGGAGGCTGAGGCAGAGAATTGCTTGAACCTGGGAGGCGGAGGTTGCAGCGAGCCAAGATTGCGCCACTGCACTCCAGCCTGAGTGACAGACCGAGACTCCGTCTCAAAAAAAAAAAAATCTGATACCTACATATAAATATATACTGCATATACACACGCAGTACATATATATATATATGCAGTGTGTGTGTGTGTGTGTGTATATATATATATATATATATATATATATATATATATATATATCCATAAGAGCATTTCAAATGGACCGATGAAGATTACCACACCCACTGCAAGAAGGCAGAGCAAATGTGGACACTGCCCTCTCATGGTTGAGCATGGAGAGGGCCGCATTCTGCTTTGGGGAAGGATTAACCCTGGTGGCTGGTGGAGGTTGCAAGATGTTGTTATCAATGACATTTCAAAATGGGTCACATTCAACTCTATTTTCAGGAGGAGGCAAGTAAAAGAGGAATAAAGTGTCAAAGGGAGCAATTTTAGGGCATACAGAGCCCACGCAATTCCATATTGTGAGGAGGATGTTGACAATTAGTGGGAAGCAGTAAAGAAAAATGTTAAGACAAGAAAATCTGAACTTGATAACATCCATCTGCTGCACTTACAGCTGGAATCTGAGTGGGAATTTCCCATCTGTGCTTTATTCTCAGCTTTAATTTGACTATAAATAAGACACATGTGTGCACAATCTGCACCGAGTGTCTTTTGGGGCCAGGAATTGTTTAAGGATGATATACAGCCTACAAAATTATGTGTGTGTGTGTGTGTGTGTGTGTGTGTGTGTACACAGTGTGGATCTATACTTAGATCCACACTTTAACTTGGAATCCACTCATTAAGCTGGTCTGAGATGTGCAGCTAGTTTTTTATAACTTGGTCCCATGATGATCTGCCACTTTATAACTGAGGCCTTAACTCTTGACATCCTCTGCTCAAACACCTCTAACAGAATGCTGGTGCCTGGCCCAGCTTTTCCTGAAGCACCGCTGCTGTCAGCTGCAGGAAACCTCAGTGCCCAGGGCCCAGGGGGTGGCAGCATTTGGAAAGGCCATGGCAGGCCTGGTCTGAAGACAGCTAGCTACACTTGCTGCTTTATATTCTCATTGGATTCTCAAGTTGACTCTATGAGGACCCATATGGATTATCACCTCCATTTTACAGATAGGAAAACTGAGGCTTAGCAACATAAAGTAACTTGCCAATGGTCCTGTGGTCCATTAGCAGTGGAGCCAAATCTCAAAACCAAGTGTTTGAGCCAAGGATCAAAGTCCATGTTCTTCCCACTTTCCCTTCAGCCTCCACACTGCCCTTCCCAGGTCCTCTGGGGCTATAAATAGTGGGGGAGGCTGGGATTTCAAGCTTGAGGTCAGCCAGGCCTGCAGCACAAAAGACACAGCACCTCTAGGACTGGCCTAGCCTGGGCCCTCTCCCTCTGGCCTGGACAGAACTCAGGCTCACACAGTCTCAGCTTCTCACTAGCTTCTCCCTCCTTGGTTATACTTAGCTCTGGACATCAGAGAGAAAGGCATGTGCCAGCCCGAATCACTGCACACCCCCAGGCCTGGCCAGGCTGCTGTGGTAGAGAATGGCATTGCAGCCTTTTCAGATGTTGGTGTGAGCCACTTCCAACAAGGGCTGTTTTCTGTTCTGTTTCTGTTTTTTTGTTTTTTTTTTTTAAATACAGACAGGGTCTTGCTATGTTGTCTAGCTGGTCTTGAACTCCTGGGCTCAAGTGATCATCCTGCCTCAGCCTCCCAAAATGCTGGGATTAGAGGTATCAGCCACCACACCTGGTTGAACAGGGGCTGTTGGACCCTCCTTCCTGATAGTCTGTGAGATTTTATTTCCGTGTCTCCTTCTGTTCCTCCTTGAGGGAGGAACCATGTCTGGTTCACCAATGTATTTGTCATGTTCAGCAGCGTCTATAACACCCTGTGTGTGGCAGCTGTTTAATAGTTCCTTGTTGTTGGGTGGGGACAGAAAGAAAATAACAATGCTAATTCGTTGTTGAATGAATGAATAAATAAATAATCTAGGTTCATGTCCTAAAAATCTGGACATCAAGAAAAGAGGGCTGGGCATGGTGGCTCACACCTGTAATCCCAGCACTTTGGGAGGCCAAGATGGGTGGATCACCTGAGGTCAGGTGTTCGACAGCAGCCTGGCCAACATGGAGAAACCCCATCTCTACTAAAAAAATACAAAAATTAGCTGGGTATGGTGGTGTGTGCCTGTAATCCTAGCTACTTGGGAGGCTGAGGCAAGAGAATCTTTTGAACCCAGGAGGCAGAGGCTGCAGTGAGCCAAGATTGCGCCATTGCACTCCTGCCTGGATGATAGAGCAAGTCTCCATCTCAAAAAAAAAGAAAAAAGAAAAGAGGAACACACATTCCCAGAGGGCTATCTTACAAAATCAAATACATTTTATTCTATTAAATAAAATCAAGTTTATTCAAGGAATGACCAGGAGTTTTCATCACCTTTCTTCCTACCTCTTCTCTCTTCCCTCCACCAGATCTGGCATTTAAGGGCACGATGGGAGCGGGAGACAGGAGGGGCATCCGGTCCTGGAGGCTGGACTTTAAGTGCTCCACGCAGCAGCGGCCTCCCATAGTGCACAATGGTGGAAGGAGGCGGTTCGTATGTCCCCAGGGCGGCATCCCAATGCCAGACCTTCCTCCCATGGCTCTGTTCACCCTTTACAAGCCAGCTACTTGCAGAAAAGTGGGGCACTGTGTTCCATCCAACCTGCAGGCAACTGGTGCAAACGGAGGGGTGTGTGGCTCAGCTTAGCAGCCTAGAGCTCAGGAACCAGGACAGATCCTGAAACAGGAGCTGAAAGGGCCAGAACTGGCACCTTTGGGATCTCACAAAAATGGAAAGAGCCGCTTTTTCACAATATAGAGGACCGTAGCAAGAAACAGGGCTAGCGCAAGGAAGATGAGAAGCTTGTCCGTCAGCTCCCGGCGATTGTATTTTGTGATAAGCTTCCGGCCCAGCTGGATGGTGCCCGACATGGACTTAAATTCTTCATTTGCATCCAGGATCGTTCGTGAAGAAGTGACTGAAACAAAAGAGGAAGGAGGCCCAACTCAGAGACTGCAGCTCAAGATCCAAAGACCTCACTCTGCTGGCTGGGGTGCTGATAAAAACCAGCATTCTCAAGTGAGTTCCTCTGAGCTGGAATCAAAGCATGTGGAGACCAGCCAAGGAGCTGACAAGGAAAGGCTCCTCCCCAGGTCCCATCAGCTCCAGAGAGTGAGGGGGGGTTTGTCTGGGAGTCCTTGAACATGAGCGTCACCAGGGAGAAGGGCAGAAGAGGCTTGCTCACCCAGCCACCTCCTCAGCTCTCTGAAGCAGATGGACGCTGCTCAGGGAAACCACCAGCCACAAAATCAACCCAGGGATCGTGGGCAGGCACTGTGAGGTCTGTGTTGGGGCAGCAGCCAAATGCACCAGAACCTTCCACCTATGAGGTGCGGCCTCCAGGACATCTGCTGGCCAGACCGGCACTTTGCAGGATCTCAAAAGGGCAAGGGTGTCCCGGGCTCTGCCGTAAGCCCTCACACATACCAGTCCCTCAGGCCAGGGATACTGGCTGTAGCTTTAAGGAGGTGACACCTAAGAAGAGGCCCACGTCCCTTAAGGAATCACTGTCCCCAGAGTCAGATGTATTTCTGAATATGGGTATCTGGGCCTGACGCTGAGGGTAGAAGGTGTACCTGGCGAGGTTCTCCCACAAAACATAGCAAGGCATCATCAGAACAGCCATTGAATAGAACACATTAAGTGAAAAGGGAAAGTATAAAGGAACGCCTGTGAAATGTTTCCATTTAGGTAAGAAACAGGGAGATAAATGGTATTTCATTTGCTTAAGTTACAAAAGCTTGGAGGATCACAAGATATTTTTTAAGACACTGGTTACAGAGGTTGCCTCTGGGAAGTGGACCAGAGGGCTGGCAGGTAGGGGTCAGCTGGAGGTCAGAACAGAGAGTGATCTTTTTTGTGTCCCTTTTGTACTCTCCAGAGCTGTGCTGACCAATATGGCAGCCCCTAGACATGCGAGGCTGCTGTGCATAGAAAAACGTGGCTAATGCAAATGGAGATGTCAGGAGATGTAAGTGTCAAACCCACACAATGTTTCTTTTCTTTTTTTTTTTGAGATGCAGTCTCACTCTGTCACCCAGGCTGGAGTGCAGTGGCGTGATCTTGGCTCATCACAACCTCCACCTCCCAGGTTCAAATGATTCTCCTGCCTCAGCCTCCCCAGTAGCTGGGACTACAGGCATGCACCACCACGCCCAGCTAATTTTCTTTTTGTATTTTTAGTAGAGACAGGGTTTCAACATGTTGGTCAGGCTGGTCTCGAACTCCTGACCTCAAGTGATCTGCCCGCCTTGGCCTCCCAAAGTGCTGGGATTACCGGCATGAGCCACCGCGCCTGGCCAAAATCCACACGATGTTTCAAAGACTTAATCTAAGAAAAAGGAATGTAAAATATCTCAATAGTTTTTAATATTAGTTTTACATTGAAATTATAATATTTTACATAATGGGTTAAATAAACATCTTACTAAAATTAATTTCTTATGTTTCTTTTTACTTTTTAACATGTGCCTACTGGAAAATTTAAAGTTACATACGTGGCTGCTGTTGCGTTTCTATGGCAGTCCTGGGCTAGAGTTTTCTTATCCTTCTCTATGCTGTATGTGTTACCTTTTTAAAAATTAAAAGCTAATAAGTAAATAGGATAAATTATCAGAGGAAACACAGCAGCGTTTTGAAAATGACAGATAAAAGGAGAAAAACAAACACTCACAGAACAGGAATCCCTCTCCGCCTGCTTTCTCCACGCCTGCCTGCTGCGATTTCAAAACCCTGAGATCTTGCTAAGTAAAAATCTAATAGGCCTTTCTTTTTAAACTTTATTATTACGGAGAATTTTGAACCATCACAGAGCAGACAGCATAATATCATGAAATGCCATGTGTCCACCACCCATAACCAAGAACCACCAACCTCTGAAATCCTGCTCCCCCTCCCCCCAACTGCAACTACTCCTGCAATTGTGGAGCAAATTCCAGACACCATATTCCTAATAAGCTTTTTGTTTTAAAATTATGGTCCTAGTAGGCTTTTAAATCAAGCTGAATTTGTGAGGCATAAGGAAAGGGTTAAGAACTGTATTCTTCTCTTTTCTTCAATAGTTATCGCTTGTACAAAATGGGCCCCAAGAACACCGGGACCCTCTCAACACCCCAGAAGCCACCAGCATTTGTGTTTCCTTCCCACTGTTAGCGGGGGGTATGCTGTCGCCACACCAGAGCATAAAAGCCCTGGGCTCAGAGGCCAAGTTGTCGCCTTGCTCCCTCTCTCTCCAAGGCCTCTCCCACAGCACACGCTGAGAGGAAGCCCCTGGCTGGTTCCGAGCCCAGATGTTCAGGTAAGCTGCAAACTCAAGGAGTGACCTTGGGGTCACCTGCTTGCTTTCCTTTTGCTTCTGCCTATTTGGTGCACTGAAAAAACAGTGGTCCAAAATTATAATTTCTAGGGGTGATCATGGTATTGTAGTTATGGGGTTGCTTCTGCTTTTTCCCCAAAGAGTCCCTTATCTTTTAGAGAGATGTACTGAGATATTTATGGATGATGTCTGGGATTTGCTTCAAAATAATCCAGATGGGGGATGGGCTGAGGGTAGAACTGAAACGAGACTGGCTGGGGTAATGGACTCAGGGCTCAGGGGATTCAGGATACCATGCTTTCTCCTTTTGTCCACGTGTGCAATTTTCCAAAAGCGTTTCAAGGAGTAAACGCCCTTTTTCTGTTGTCTTATACTGAAGGACCCTGGAGAGGGCTGATACTCTTCTCCATCACAGAGGAGACACTCTGGGAAAACTATTGGAGGAAACCAGATGGTCTCAAGCAGTCTCTCCTGTAGCCTCTGATTCACATCTTTTAAAAGGAACTCATAGGAAAAATAACGTTGGGGAGTATAATTGTAAACTGAGGTCCTAGCAGTCCTACCAGCAGCTGATTCGCCAAACATCTCTTGGAGCAACCATTCCCAAACTTGCCTGGCCATATGGGTCCCCAGAGCCCTCACTGAAAATCAGACTCCAGGCCCCTCACCCAGCCCTGCCGACACCCTCTCTAGGAGAGGGGCTGGGACCTCTGCCTTTCACATGAACACATGGGAATGCTCCCCCTGAGGAAACATCGATGGGGGTGTGGGGTCTTCTAGTAAACAGAAATACGGGCCGGGCGTGGCATCTCACGCCTATAATCCCAGCACTTTGGGAGGCTGAGGCAGGCGGATCACCTGAGGTTGGGAGTTCAAGACCAGCCTGACCAACATGGAGAAACCCCGTCTCTACTAAAAATACAAAATTAGCCGGGTGTGGTGGTGCAGGCCGGTAATCCCAGCTACTTGGGAGGCTAAGGCAGGAGAATCGCTTGAAACCAGGAGGCAGAGGTTGCGGTGAGCTGAGATCGCACCATTGCACTCCAACCTGGGCAACAAGAGCGAAACTCCATCTCAAAAAAAAAAAAGAGAAATAGGAGCAGCACATCCCACACTGGATAAGACCATGGTGTCAAGTCATCTCATGAGGGAGAAGCCACCCAAGTCAGTGAACATCGTGTGGGCTGTGGTGGAGGAGCCCAGAGTGGAGGTGCCAGGGCAAGGGCCCTAGAGCAGCGTCTCTGGGAGAAGCTTCCTACTCCAGGCCCAGCTTTACCTAGAGACTGCATGGCCTCCTCGCTCTGCTGGACCTGCTGGGCCATCATCCTGCTGATCCCCATGAGGCTCTCAGTGATGGTACTGGATGTCTGGGCCAGGCTCTCTTTGGTGGTTTTCCTAAAAGTTCAGAGGAAGAGAAAGGGGAGGAATGTCAACAAAAGCCTCCCTGCAAGAAGGCCCCACATCCAAATGAGATCTCATGTTTTACCTATCCAATTAGTATACATATTTTAAATGATCACATTCAATGCTGGAAAGGGTGTGCTGAGACCCACGCCCCTGTGGACTGCTAGTAGGAACATAAACCAGTGCTGCCTTCTGTAAAGCAATTTGCCAATTGAAGAGCCTTGGTAATGTTCATTCCTTTGACTCAATCATCTCATCCCTGGAAATCCCTCCAAAGGAAACATCCAAAATGTGGATAAAGCCTTATGTTCTAAGACATGCCCTGGTGTATTACTTACACTACTTAAACACTAGAAATGCAAACACACACAGGGAATTGTATTAACATACAATCTACATACTATGTACTGTTAGAATTAGGCTTAAAAAGCTTTTTTTTTTTTTTTAATGAACAACTTTTGTGCTGAAACAGCAGAATATGAAATTTTATGTATGGTACAATTTTGACTTTGTAAGAAATGTAGAAATAAAAATGAGGGAGAGAATATACCAAAATGTTCATGAGTAATAAGATTTGATATTTTCGGCCGGGCATGGTGGCTCACGCCTATAATCCTAGCACTTTGGGAGGCTGGGGTGGGTGGATCACCAGAAGTCAGGAGTTCAAGACCAGCCTGGCCAACGTGGTTAAACCCCGTCTCTACTAAAAATACAAAAAATTAGCTGGGTGCAGTGGCACGCAACTGTAATCCCAGATACTTTGGAGGCTGAGGCAGGAGAATCACTTGAACCCAGGAGGCGGAGGTTGCGGTGAGCCAAGAGGGCACCACTGCACTCCAGCCTGGGCTACAAGAGTGAGACTTCATCTCAGAAAAAAAAAAAAATTCAATATTTTAATTTTGTAATTCATACTTTATTTTACCAATTTACTACAAATAAGTATGCATTTTTTTCAAACTTAAAAAAATTACTTATGTAATTAAATTAAGCACCAAGCTGAAAACAAGAGGGGGTTTCCTACACCTTGCCAATTGTTATCTATTATTATCGGAGCCCAGAAAAATAAAAGAATAGGTACCTTTGCCTTAAGAGATCTCCTCCCTGAAGAAGTTCTGCTTTCTCTAGATTGTCGATTGCAATTTTGCAGGTGAGATTAGCTTTCCTCCATGAGGCCTGATTGCTGGAATTGGAAGGTTCACGTGTGAGTGTGTCCACTCCACCAAGCCATAAGTCAGTTCAATTCACAGCACTTCCCCCCAACAAAGGCACACGGGAGAAGGCCACCAGGCACGGCCTTCAGAGCCCATCCCACCTCCTGCCACTTCCGCCTCCTGGTTCCCCAGCAACTGTTCTTGCTCAGGTCCTGATACCCCTTGACCGGACCCTGGAGGTCGCCACGGGGAGGCTCTGTTGCTGTCACTCTGCCCCCGTCAGCCCAAGGGGCTGTGAACATGGCACTCCTCTGTGCACAGCTCCACAATGGCTGGACTTCAGGGAGGCATCCAAACTTCCCAGCTGGTCACACAAGGCCCCTCTTCAGTCCAGTTGCCTCTAAGGCTGTACTGCTATGGCCTGTGTATTAATTGGTACCATCCCCGGAGAACCATGACTTACTCATCTCCAGTATCTTGAACAACCATTTCTGGCCCTTCAGCTGCTGAGTTAATATACTTTGTAGGAAATAAAAAATCGTGGCCAGGCACAGTGGTTCACACCTGTAATCATAGCACTTTAGGAGGCCGAGGTGGGGGGATCACTTGAGCCCAGGAGTTCAAGACCAGCCTGGGCAACATGGAGAAACCCCGTCTCTACTAAAAATACAAAAAATTAGCCAGGCATGGTGGTGGCGCATGCCTGTGGTTCCAGCTACCCAGGAGGCGGAGGAGCGAAGATCACCTGAGCCTGGGAAGTGGAGGTTGCAGTGAGCCGTGATAGTACCACTATACTCCAGCCTGGGTGACAGAGTAAGACCTTCTCTCAAGAAAAAAAAAAAAAAACACACACACACACACAAAAAGCCAATCTTTCAAAATATTTCTTCAAGGTTTGTTGTTCTTTCCATACTACAGACCAATCATGAATGACACAAACATGATGGATTAGCAGAGCCCTGACTGACACGGCGGATCTACAGTCTTCACCTGCGCTAACTTGTGGGTGATAACGGAAAGTTGGTGAACAGCTTCCTGGAGTTAGAAATGTGACAGTTGACCGGGCGTGGTGGCTCACATCTGTAATCCCAACACTTTGAGAGGCCGAGGCGGGTGGGTCACTTGAGGTCAGGAGTTCGAGACCAGCCTGGCCAACATGTTAAAACCCTGTCTCTACTAAAAATACAAAAATTAGCTGGACATGATGGCGAGTGCCTGTAATCCCAGCTACTCGGGAGTCTGAGGCAGGAAAATCACTTGAATCTAGGAGGCAGAGGTTGCAGTGAGCCAAGATCACGCCACTGCACTCCAGCCTGGGCAATGAGAGTAAGACTCCGTCTCAAAAAAAAAAAGAAATGTTGACAGTTGTTGATAGACTATAAAAAAGCTAACTGCGTCTCTCTAAGAATCAAACTCATACTTCAGAACTCTTATGTAGCCAGCTCAAACCAATTGTGCTAATCTCTGGAAATACTCAAAAATCAAAACACAGAGTACATGAACTGACAGGGTGGTTTTCTAATAGCACCTTTATGCTGAAGGTCTTAATGAGCACCTGCTCCGCCATTTCACACCTGCCACTTTAAAGAATCCATTACATTTTGAAACAGTTTGCAAGGGGGTTCTGCAGGACCCTGGGATCCAGAGATGAATGAGGGGCAGTACTTCTCCTCAACCACCTCACATTCATTTGGGAAAAAGACAAGCAAACAGATACTCACTGTATGGTGTGACAAGCATGATGACCCAAGCAAGCACAACTACTGCTTCAACTGCCAAAGTTGGTTTTTTTTGTTTTTTTTGTTTTTTTTTTGAGACAGGGTCGGCTGGGCACGGTGCCTCACGCCTGTAATCCCAGCACTTTGGGAGGCTGAGACCGGCGGATCATGAGGGTCAGGTGATCGAGACCGTCCTGGCTAACACGGAGAAACCCCATCTCTACTAAAAATATAAAAAATGAGCCAGGCGTGGTGGCGGGTGCCTGTAGTCCCAGCTACTCGGAGAGGCTGAGGCAGGAGAATGGCGTGAACCCGGGAGGTGGAGCTTGCAGTGAGCCGAGATTGCGCCACTGCACTCCAGCCTGGGTGACAGAGTGAGACTCTGTCTCAAAAAAAAAAAAAAACAAAAGAAAAGAGGCAGGGTCTCGTTCTGTCTCCTAGGCCAGGTGCAGTCACATGATCACGGCTCACTGCAGCCTTGACCTCCCGAGCCCACTGCCCTCCTGCCTTGGCCTCCCAAGTAGTTGAGACTACAGGCACACATCAGCATGCCCCCAGCTAATTTTTTTTTTTTTTAATAGATGAGGTTTTGCTTTGTTGCCCAGGATGGTCTTAAACTCCTGGGCTCAAGCAGTCCTCCTGCCTCGGCCCCCGAAGTGCTGGGATTATAGGTGTGAGCTACTGCACATAGCCCCAAAGTATAAATTGACAGCTTTCTCTGCTCTGGCCTGTAATGCTACATTGTGGATGGCCATTCCCAGCTTTAAACCCATGCTAAGCTGAGTGTGTCTGGCATAACTTACCATACTTTATACAAGGGCTCCTCTGTACTCAGTGTTTATAATCTGAGTAGGCTTGGTGGCTCAGGAAAGCAAAAGCCATCATAACATAAAGTATTCGTGAAATAGCCAAGCCCTGGATCACTGCCCACCACTCATACAGCCCTCCCTGCTTACACTGGCCTCCCTGTGCCTGTGTTTTTGCCAGTCGGTGTCTTCCTGACAGCTGACTGTTACATACACAGCTGCTTGCAGGGAAGATGATGCTGGCAAATTGCTCAAATCAGAAGCAAAGCCACAAATACAGATCTGGCAGAGGCAGACCAGTGAACAAGAGACAAAGAGAAAACCCATGGGAATGACAACTTAGCAGGGGTTTCAAAAGAGAATGATTTAGCCAGGCACGGTGGAGTGTGCTGTAGTCCCAACTACTTGGGAAGCTGAGGTGAGAGGATCGCTTGAGCCCAGGAGTTCCTGAGGCTGCAGTAAGCTATGACTGTACTCCAGACTGGGCAACAGAGAAGGACCTCATTTCCAAAATTTTTTAATTTTTTAAAAATAAAAATATTTTTTTTTTGTTTTTAAGGTGGAGTCTCACTCTGTCACCCAGGCTGGAGTGCAGCAATCTCGGCTCACTGCAACCTCTGCCTCCCGGGCTCAAGCGATTCTCCTGCCTCAGCCTCCCGAGTAGCTGGGATTACAGGTGTGTGCCACCACACCCGGCTAATTTTTGTATTTTTAGTAGAGAGGGGTTTCACCATGTTGGTCAAGCTGGTCTCGAACTCCTGACCTCATGATCTGCCCACCTCGGCCTCCCAAAGCGCTGGGATTCCAGGCGTGAGCCGCCGCACTGGGCCAAAAATGTATTTTTAAAAAAGAGAGAGAATGATCTGAATACCTCAAATATGTTTGGAAAAACCCTCTTTATGATTGGTACAAAAGTCAAATGTGAAGGGAAAGATACTGTTTCATGTTGTCTGACAATTTCATTGGAAAAGTTAAACCTCTCCCAATTCAATAACAAGAAATGGCATATAACTGTAACTATATAATCAAGGATTAGCACACACCTGCAATTACAACCTCGATTTTGGTTTTAATTTTTGACCTCAATTTTGTTTAATTTACGGTTTTTCTTGCATTTTATTTTATTTTATTTTTAGACAGCATCCCACTCAAAACCTTCTAAATTTTGGTCCACCTTCAGCAGGTTTTCTTTCTGTAGATTTTTTCTGGTACCAATTATCCTTAGATAAAAAATGACCCTGTATTACAAAAGCAATCATATTTTTTGATTAAAAATATACAATACAGTATAATGTTAAATATGCTTTTGTAAACTATGTTCAGCTCCACCTGCTCAGATAGGCCCTATTTATCCCTTCCCCACTCGCCCCCACTTGACTATTGCTGACTGAGAGAGAACATTCCACCAGTGTGTAACTGATGCAATTGGCTGGGCGTGGTTGCTCACACCTGTAATCCCAGCACTTTGGGAAGCCAAGGTGGGTGAATCACATGAGGCCAGTGTTAGAGACCAGCCTGGCCAACACAGCGAAACTCTGTCTCTAGTAAAAATACAAAAATTAGCCAGGCGTGATGGTGGGCGCCTGTAATCCCAGCTACTCAGGAGGCTGAGGCAGAAGAATTGCTTGAACTCGGGAGGCAGAGGTCACAGTGAGCCAAGATCAGGCCACTGCACTCCAGCCTGGGCAATAGAGCGAGACACCGTCTCTCAAAAAAAAAAAAAAGACACCATTAAGTCAGCATTAAAGCAGATCCATCAGGCAAACACACGTGCAAGGCTCACAGGCAACAAGAAGAGCCAGCAGAAGCCGCTGGCGGGGGCAGGCCCTGCCTACCTGAGCATCTGCTTTTTGTGATTCTCCACTTCCTGGAGTAGAAGTTGTTTCTCTGATTCTTTGTCTTGCTCTTTAGCCAACTGCTCCAGGTCCTTTGAGGAAAAATAATTCCATGTTAAAATGATTTCAAAAGTCAACATGAAAGCAGAAGAGCATTTCTATTTCTGCCAAGGGCATACAATAGCACTTGAAGCACCCTTTTAAAACAGAACACCTAGGAATGCTAGGTAACATATAACACACATCCTTTTAAATCTATAGCTAAGTCCACAAGGAAGTAAGGAAAACCCCTATGGCCCAAAAGTGGGAAGGGAACAAGAGCTGGAATAGTCAGCCTGGGAGTGATGCACGGCTGTCCTGGCGTCAGAGCTGCTGCTCCTGTCACCTAGGGCAGGCCCGAAAGGAAAAGAAAAACAATGACGAAATACAAGCACACTGATCCCCCACTTAGATATCATTAAAATATCAAACTGCTGTTCATTTCCAGATACTCACAATTTCTGTGCCTATTTAATTAAAGACGAGTAATAGGCAGTTTGAGCGCTTGAAGGTTTGAGAGCTCGTGCAGGGACAGAAAAATGAAGCCCTGAGCCATCTGAGGCTGAGGTTGAGAAGCTGAACTGAGATCACCACAAATCTAAAACCCACGAAAGGTTACAGACACAGGAAAATGGTATAAAAAAATGTCCATCTACCAGCACAGAGGGAAAACATAGATGCTTGCCTTTTTTTGCTATGAGTTCCAAATAGAGGGGTTAAAAAAAAACTCCCCTGAGAATTTATAACCAACCAGGGAGCTGCTCCTTCCACTGATCTAGGGTTCAATTTATCTTCCCTGAGTGGTTCGTGAAACTCCATGAAGAGAAATGAACATAAACAGTGTTCTCGGCCGGGCGCAGTGGCTCACGCCTGTAATCCCAGCACTTTGGGAGGCCGAGGCGGGGAGATCACGAGGTCAGGAGATCGAGACCATCCTGGCTAACATGGTGAAACCCCATCTCAACTGAAAATACAAAAAATTAGCCGGGCGTGGTGGCGGGCACCTGTAGTCCCAGCTACTCAGGAGGCTGAGGCAGGAGAATGGCGTGAACCCGGGAGGCAGAGCTTGCAGCAAGCCAAGACTGCGCCACTGCACTCCAGCCTGGGCGACAGAGAGAGACTGTCTCAAAAAAAAAAAAAATGTTGTCAGACTTGTGATCATCTCAGGAGACCTGGCGGGAAGCTAATGCAAAAACCTCTGTAGAGACTTGGCCTCGACCCAGCTGCACAAAGTCCCTCAGATAAGGTCTGCTAAGATGAGCGCTCACAGTCCAAAATAACCTAACACCAAGGAAATAACCCACTATAAGTTAGGGTCAGCAGACATACCCAGAAGTATTAAACCCCAAGAACTTCAGATAAAAGAACCATCAAGAGGGACTATAATTAAAGATAGCATTATACCAATCACATTTTTTGGTTTACAAATTAAAACAGGTTCTAGCTTCAATCACGCTATTGATCTGAAACATCAATGTATTTGCTCATTTATATACTAATTTACTGATTTACGTATCAATTTGCACATACTGGTTTGGAACAAGTTTGTGTATCCACCATTTCAATAGCACAGAGATGACTTTCAATTTATGCCTCCAAATATTGCTGAGGTAGAGAATAAAAGAAATAATCAACTGTGAATTAGAAAAGTTTTGCAAATGTCATCAATTATTTTCATAATTATTTGTTTAAAATCTGTATTCCCTATTAGAATGTAAATTCTATGGGCTGGGCCTGGTGGTTCACGCCTATAATTCCAGCACCTTGGGAGGCCAGGGCAGGCAGATTACGAGGTCAGGAGATCAAGACCATCCTGGCTAACACGGTGAAACCCCGTCTCCACTAAAAATACAAAAAATTAGCCAGGCGTGGTGGCGGGCGCCTGTAATCCCAGGTACTCGGGAGGCTGAGGCAGGAGAATGGCGTGAACCCGGGAAGTGGAGATTGCAGTGAGCCGAGATCGTGCCACTGCACTCCAGCCTGGGCAACAGAGTGAGACTCCGTCTCAAAAAAAAAAAAAAGAATGTAAATTCTATGAATAAGCAGAGCTGTATCTCACATTATTCACTACATATATTCCTTGTGCCTGGCACATACTGGGCACTGAGTCACTGAATGGAAGAATGAACGCATGGGAAAAGCGGAGGGATTAAAAAGGGGGAGAAATGTACAATTTACTCATGAAAGATTGCCTGGAAGTTCTTTCAAAGAGAACCAGTGATAGTTCTGGAGAAAGGAATGGCGGGGGAGAGCAGTCCTCAAATTCCAGTTTGAGAGCTATATGTACAAAGACAAACACACAGATATTTATACACAGTCAGTGCCCAAGATTCACCATGTGCAGAACACCCAGTTTTGAGGATATGAGGCCAGTTCTCTAGTATCACATGATCTTGTTGGAAATACACAAAAAAGACATTCAAATAAAAGCTAAAAATGGCAAACAAACAGGAATCTTGTATTTATTTCCAGATACAAAAAGAGTATGTAAATACTTAAGAAACGCAGATTAAAACTGGGATGGGGTTATTCATTTACTGGCCATGTGCTTATTAGGTCCTTCCTAGGTGCCATAATAAATATGTAAATGTACACGTATTGGTGAGGTCATTTTAATGAGTGAAGGAAATAAACACTGGGTGGGCACCCAGATGTTTAAAAAGAACATACAAATACTCACACTGAAGGTAACAGGTGTAGTTGGAGAGTTGAAGTCATGCTGAGTTGAAGAAAAGTCTGTCAGGGAATAAGTTAGCTTAAAAAAAAATGTGGAAGCAGTCCAAATAAATGCCCTTTGATAGAGAACTGGCTAAAAAAAAAAAAAAAAATGACAGTTATTTAGAAAAGAATGAGAGACCAGGTGTGGTGGCTCCTGCCTGTAATCCCAACACTTTGGAAGGCTGAGGCAGGCAATCACTTGAGTCCAGGAGTTCAAGTCCAGCCTGAGCAACATGGCAAAACCCTGTCTCTATAAAAACTACAAAAATTTGCTGGGTGTGGTGGCGCACGCCTGTAGTCCCAACTATTTGGGGGACTGAGGCAGGAGGAAAATCGCTTGAGCCTGGGAAATCAAGGCTGTGGTGAGCTGAGATTGTGCCACTGCACTCTGGCCTGGGTGACAGCCCAAGACCCTGTCTCAAAAAAAGAAAAAAAAAGAAAAATGAGGACAGTCTCTGATTACTGAAATGGAAAAATTTCCAATATACGTATAATAAAATTATACTTAACAGTATAAGTTTTGACCGGGCGCGGTGGCTCACGCCTGTAATCCCAGCACTTTGGGAGGCTGAGGCAGGCTGATCACAAAGTCAGGAGATCGAGACCAGCCTGGCTAACACGGTGAAACTCCGTCTGTACTAAAAATACGAAAAATTAGCTGTGTGTGGTGGCACACACCTGTAATCCCAGCTACTTGGGAGGCTGAGGCAGGAGAATCGCTTGAACCCAGGAGGTGGAGGTTGCAGTGAGCAGAGATCACACCTGCACTCCAGCCTGGGAAACAGAGCCAGACTCCGTCTTAAAAAAAAACAAAAAAACAAAAGTATAAAGTTTTTAAAAGCTGTGTGTTAGTATGCTACTTTTTAGATGAGAAACAAGGAAGAAATTTTAAAAAAAAAGAAATTTGTCTTTTTAAATATTTGAGTAGAGAAACTCTGGAATGACATATCAGTAACAAAAGTGGTTACCTGTTTGGAAGAGTGGAACAAAAAACAAAACTGGGGCATAACTGAGACTTTTCACTGAATGTTGATACTTATAGACAGACACATACATAAAACATGTAAAAGGAACATCTTTTCAAAAATAAAAAATTAAGATGATTAAATCAGTACTGGAGATGAAGGCAGGAAGAGATCAGCTAGGTATGGTGACGCTGCTGAAAATCATATAGTTAACTCCAATAGCAAAAATTACACATTTTCAAAATTGCCCTTGAAAATCTCTGAGGTAGGCAAACACAGGACACAGACATACTGTTTCTCAGGGGTCCAACTGGCCAGCTTTTCTACCAGCTTTAGAACAGACTGTCTTCCTCTGTTAAGCAACAACAGAGTTGCTGGTGGGCTTTGGGGGCCATGTTATATGAAAAGCACAAGTCTTTTTTTTTTTTTTTTTTGAGACAGGGTCTTGCTCCGTCACCCAGGCTGGAGTGCAGTGGCACAATCTTGGCTCAATGCAACCTCCAACTCCCAGGTTCAAGCAATTCTCATGCCTCAGCCACCCAAACAGCTGGGATTACAGGCACGGGTCACCATACCCAGCTAATTTTTATACTTTTAGTAGAGATGGAGGTTGACCATGTTGACTAGGCTGGTCTTGAACTCCTGGCCTCAGGCGATCCACTCGCCTTGGCCTCCCAAAGTGCTGGGATTACAGGCGTGAGCCACTGTGCTGGCCAAAAAAGCTCAAGTCTTTAGACCTGATATAGTCTGAATATTTGTCCCTGCCCAAATCTCATGTTGAATGGTAATCCCCAGTGTTGGAGGTGGGGCCTGGTGGGAGGTGTTTGGATCATGGGGGTGGATCCCTAATGAATGGCATAAGTCATCCCCTTAGTGGTAAGTGAGCTCTCACTCAATCTCTCTCTTGCTCCTGCTTTTGTCATGTGACATGCCTGCTCCCTTTGCCTTCTGCCATGACTGGAAGCTTCCTGAAGCCTCCCCAGAAGCAGATACTGCTATGCTTCCCATACAGCCTGCAGAACCTTAAGCCAATTAAACCCATTTTTTTAAATAAATTACCCAGCCTCAGGTATTTCTTTACAGCAATGCAAGAAAGGCCTAATACAAAACCCCAATACCACAAGACCAGGTGCCACAAGACCCATCCAGGGATGGTGATATGGTTTGGCTGTGTCCCCACCCAAATCTCATCTTGAATTGTAACTCTCACAATATGTCATGGGAGGTACCTGGTGGGAGATGATTGAATTACAGAGGTGGGTCTTTCCTGCACTTTTCTCATGATAGTGAATGAGTCTCATGAGATCTGATGGTTTTAAAAACAGGAGTTTCCCTGCACAAGCTCTCTCTTTGCCTGCTGCCATCCATATAAGACGTGACTTGCTCCTCTTTGCCTTCTGCCATGATTGTGAGGCCTCCCCAGCCATGTCAGAAGTCCATTAAACTTCTTTTTCTTCCCAGTCTCACGTATGTCTTTATCAGCTGCATGAAAACAGACTAATACAGATGGGCAGATCCATGACACCCACCTCACCCTCACTGAAGGTACAGCAGGGGAAACATCTCCACTATTCAAACTGCTACTTCTAAGAGACCTCCAGAAGTCTAGAGGAGCAGGCATGTTTCCACACTCAGGTACCTCCTGACTCTCCTAGGTCCCACTAGGGCAGAGTAAGTGCTAGTTCTCTGCCAACCCAACATTAGGTCCTGTGGCTGCAGTGAGAAGAATTCCAGGAGAAAACTCAGGAATAAAAATGGAGAACGTAAGACATCAGACTGAAATTACTAGAAACCCTCAGGAAATAAAGAAGGAAGAAGAAACCAAGAAACCAGAAAAACCATCAGAACAGTAATCAACCCTTGGAGTGACCAGGAGATCCAGAGTTCCCTAAAAGAATGCAATTATCTCAAATTTGAATAACTGAAGAAGAATCATGAACAATATAAAGCAACTGCCTAGTGCTTCAAGTAGAGGGGCATGAAGAGGAGCCGGCAGGAATGTCTCCAGATAATGACAAGTTTGCAGGACTTTTACTGAACTACTCATGAGGCTAAACAGAGGCCAAGGAGCCAACCCTGTTCCTGTCCTCAGGGAGAGGGCCTACACAGGATTCCAGGATACAGATGGACAGCATCTTTTTAAGTGTGCAGATGCAGTCATCCTTCCAACTCCTGAGTTCCAGCCCTGGGCCTGTGCCATCCCTATTCACTTTGAGGGGCTGCTGTGGGCCCCTCTACCCATGAGCTGCATGCAGGATCCTTGGATGCCCAGATGGCAGCCTTGAAACATGACCCCTCCATAGTCAGCTCCATACGTGTTTCCTCTCAGCAGCCCCCAGACCCACAAGTGGTCTTCATCCTCTGATTCTGATCTAGATTCTGAACTTGGAAACAATTAGAAGCTGAATCCCAATTCTGTCTGAAAGCAACACAATAGTCTGGGCTCATGCCTGTAACCCCAGCACTTTCAGAGGCTGAGGCAGGAGGATTGCTTGAGCCCAGGAGTTTAAGACCAGCTCAAGCAACATAGAGCAAAAAATCCATCTCTATTAAAATATATATATATATATATATATATATATATATATATATATATATATATATATATTTTTTTTTTTTTTTTTTTTTTGACACAGAGTCTTGCTCTGTCACCAAGGCTAGAGTGCAGTGGCACGATCTCTGCTCACTGCAACCTGCACCTCCTGGGTTCAAGCGATTCTCCTGCCTCAGCCTCCTAAGTAGCTGAGATTACAGGTGTGTGCCACCATGCCCAGCTAATTTTTGCATTTATCAGAGACAGGGTTTTGCCATGTTGGCCAGGCTGTTCTCAAACTACTGGCCTCATTTTCATTTTTAAAAATGAAAGCAACAGAATAACATGATCTATACAGTGGTGCACAACTCTTTGCCCAGCCCAATGTAATAAGAATAAAATGTGAAATAAATAAAACAAACAAACATAACTGCTACTTGTCACCCTCTAGTGTTTTTTGAGACAGCACATATACCATACTTGAATTCAGGCATACTAAATGTGTATATGATGTGACTGGTGACTATTGAAATAAGGAAGATGCTGAGCAAAGTAACAGCATAAAAAAAAACCCAGGAGTGTGATGGATTGAGGTAGTGAATGAATGAATAGGGTAGAAAGAATGGCAGAGAAGAGAAAGTATTTGAAGTGGCCCCAGGATTTCAAAAATTCCAAGGATAATGGTGTTCCTGCCATTCACTCGTTCACACAGCTGGCAGTGTTCTGCATGCAAAAGTTTCTTGTTTTTTTTTTTGAGACAGAGTCTCGCTCTGTCGCCCAGGCTGGAGTGCAGTGGCTCGATCTCGGCTCACTGCAAGCTCCGCCTCCTGGGTTCACGCCATTCTCCTGCCTCAGCCTCCTGAGTAGCTGGGACTACAGGCACCTGCCACCATGCCCGACTAATTTTTTGTATTTTTAGTAGAGACGGGCTTCACCGTGTTAGCCAGGATGATCTCGATCTCCTGACCTCGTGATCTCCCCGCCTCGGCCTCCCAAAGTGCTGGGATTACAGGCGTGAGCCACCGTGCCCGGCCAAAAGTTTCTCGTTTTTACCTGGAGAGCAGGTTAGTACAGAGTCACCCTCCCTGTCTAAGTGTTTACTGCTCCCATCAGCTGGTGTTTGAAGAACCCAGACGGCTCTCAAGCAGAGGATATACCCAGGACAGAGCCCCCTTCATTGACTGAATTGAGAATACCCACCTGTATTCTGTGACGCAACTGTTGAAATTTCTCTTTTACTTTAGTATTCAGTTCAGTAAGAGCACTTAAGGGTCCTGAACAATCACGGATATCCTAGGAGACATTGAACAGATGAAAGGCCTTTCTCAAGGCAATGAAATGAAATGACACCATCCATACAGTGATAGAGTTGGTTTAGACCAACTAATATTAACATACTAACTATAATTCATCCTGATCTTTGCTGTTTACCTCTGCAACACAAGCAAAAACATTATCATTTACATTTTTCTCATTCCTTTTTAGATTAATGTTGAATTAATATAAAAGCCTAGAAAGAAACACAACTGCTTTGACCTAATTTTTAGTGCCTAAATTTTAACAAAACATTACCTGGCCAGTAGGAAACAGCTTAAAACAGCTTGTATGCCCAACAAGAATGGACATGCAAAAGTGATACTATCACTTTAGAACCTTAGATCCTTCCAACTTGGAAGATCAGGATGTTTAAATATCTGGCATCATATGATGAGATTAACTTCTCCAGTGTGATTTTACAAACCATTAGTGATAAGTTAGAGTGTTTATATAGACATGTTTAAGGGCAGATTTAGAATCTGTTGCTGGACATTCAGAATTACTGGTGCCAGCTTTCACGGCAGGCTCTGGAGACAGACCAGGTGGATTCGAATCCTGGCTGTAGCAACTTATGAGCTGTGTAAAGTTACCTGGAAAGTTATTTAAATTCTCTGTGTCTGAGTTTCCTTATCACAACACTACTTACCTCATAGAACATCATAGATTATGTATGTATGTAAAGCACTTAGCAGAGCTGCTGGAAAACGGTAAGAACGCAATACATCCAGCTATAATCAGTCTTTCTCATCAGCAATGACAAGAACCCAAATGTTAGAAAGAGTACAGAAGAATGCCTAAGCAATTTAGATTATGTGAAAATGTAATTTCATTTGTATGAAACCTGTTTATTTTTCTATAATTGGCCCAGAAGTTTTGTAATGTATACATCAGAGAAGTGAAGTTCAAGAAGTTTTAAATATCTGCATCAAATTTCACTTTTTCTCTGGCTTATTCATTTAATCACACTTCTTTGCACCGTATTTGTTTATTCTGCATCTAATTTGGTTTATTCTGCATCTGGTTTATCTGGGGAGCCCTATTTTCCTGCACTTTTTGCCACACCTTGTTACAAACTCTGAGTCTACATCTAATGTTTAGTGACTTTGTTGAAAATGATTATTTTTAAAAACCAAGGTTTAGGCCGGGCGCGGTGGCTCACGCCTGTAATCCCAGCAATTTGGGAGGCCGAGGCGGGCGGATCACGAGGTCAGGAGATCGAGACCATCCTGGCTAACACGGTGAAACCCCGTCTCTACTAAGCAAAACACAAAAATTAGCCGGGCGTGGTGGCGGGTGCCTGTAGTCCCAGCTACTCAGGAGGCTGAGGCAGGAGAATGGCGGGAACCCGGGAGGCGGAGCTTGCCGCGAGTCGAGATCGCGCCACTGCACTCCAGCCTGGGCGACAGAGCGAGACTCCGTCTCAAAAAAACAAAAACAAACAAGCAAAAACAAGGTTTAAAACTCGGTTTCTTTTTGCTGAACTCATGGAACCGTGTCTACACTCCCAATTCTTGCCTAAGTCCACTCGTTTATTTTACCTCTACCCTTAAATGGCTTAAGGCGAAACACTTCATTTCCTATCTGTTCAAACGGGGTAACACTCTAAGGTGTTATTCCTAGGTTGACTTTCACAGTCCAGGTCCCAGTTTTGCCACTGACCCAGGTATGCCTTCTAACCTAGGCCTTGGCGCCGTACTCGATTTCCTCAAGCATAAAATCACAACTACGGTCCAGGTTACATTCGTTTCACCCGGTGCCTCCCGTGCCAGGTGGCCTTGGATGCCAGGAGAGCTGGCCAGCAGGGGGCGGGGCTAGCTGCCTCCCGGACGCTACCAGAGGATGCTGAAGCAGCGTCAGAGGGCGGGGCCAAGCAGGGTGACAGGTAGGTTGTGAGGTAGTCAGGGGCGGGGCGACGACCAGGGCTGCAGGTGGAAGGGGCAAAGCCGAGCCCCGAAGCAGTAGCTGAGTCAGGGGCGGAGAACAGTGGGGTGCTCTGGGGATGGGAGATCCGGCGGCACCCGGAAAAAGGATCAAGGCCAGCAGTCACCGGGACACAACCAAATGGGGACCGGGGGGGTAGCCGACCATGGGGCGGAGCCTGTGGTCTGGGAAACCAAGTGGGGAAAGTTCGGGAGTGACACTGCCAAGCTCACAGACCAGCAGAGCTTGGGTTAGGGCTGCTGGAGCCCGGCAGGGGTCCCGGGATCAGTACCTGAATAAGCGCCTTCACCTCCAGGTCAAATTTGACAATCTCTTGGTTACAGATCCGGACGTGGACGTCTTGGGGAGCCGCCATGTTGGGGACGCCGGCTACGGGCAGCGGCAGGACCCAAGTTCAAACGCGTTTTCGCACCACCTTCTTTCCCTCCCCACCCAGTCTCGGGGCAGCGCCCCCTAGAGACCGGCGAAAATGGCAAGCGAGGGTCACTGCGCAGAGTTGGGACTTTCCCTGACACGTGTAGGGAAATCAGCCTCTCCTCTTGGTATGGCCCTAATAACATGGAGAGGAAGGGAAGAGGGAATATCAAGAACGCTTCACAGTGGTCTCTTTCCATCTTCCTTCTGTCAGGCATTCTAATAACTATATATTTTTTACATAGAAAAAAAAAGACTGGAAGAAAAGTATCAATTGAGATGTCTCTGGAAAGTACCAGTAATAATTTTTTGTTTCTTCAAACTTTCTTATATTTTTAATATTTTCTACAGTGAGTATAAATTGTGGAGTAAAAGAGGAAATGATAAACGTCATATATTTTTTAAAGTATGGAGTTCAAGGCAGGTCGGTAGAGTACCTCCTATCACTCCAACACATGATCTAAGGGATCTTTGTAAAACACGAAATTGATCAAGTCACCTACCTGTATGCAGCCCTTCTATGGCTTCTCGTGTTTCCCTTTTGTATACAACTGGATTTATTAAATCTACCTTGCTAAGGTAGTTTTGATGGAAATGTCAGAGCAAACCCTCAACAAATGGTGGCTCTTTTATTTTTGTTAGTAAATAATCCAAGTTTCTTAGCTGGTCCTCAAGGCCATCAGCCACCCCGGCCATCAGCCACCGCACCCTGCGCCCTTCCTGGATTGCTCAAGCTCCTTCTGGATGTGTAGCCTTAGAATGTGGTGTTCCCTCTCCCTAGAAAGCGTTTCCCCCACTCGACCCCACTCCATCTGCATTTGTTCGGGTCACTTCAGCAAGCATAGATTGTGAGGACCTAAAGGCTTAGGACTTGAATGTTCATCTCTCTCTCTTTTTTTTTTTTTTTTTTTGTGGCGGAGTCTCGCTCTGTTGCCCAGGCTGGAGTGCAATGGCACAATCTTGGCTCACTGCAAACTCTACCTCCCAGGTTCAAGCAATTCTCCTGCCTCAGCCTCCTGAGTAGCTGGGATTACAGGTGCGTGCCACCATGCCCAGCTAATTTTTGTATTTTTCATAGACACGGGGTTCACCATATTGGTCAGGTTGGTCTCGAACTGACCTCGTGATCCACCCGCCTCGGCCTCCCAAAGTGCTGGGATTACAGGCGTGAGCCACTGTGCCCGACCATGTTCATCTCTCTTAATCCTCACAACCACCCTTGAAATTGTACTACACTATTATCACAGATCAGGAGTAGGGCTTAGAGTAAATTAAAACAAAAAACAATCAACCCTGTTGCAAGATTACCTATCTTGAAAGTGGCAAAGCCTAGGCCGGGCACGGTGGCTCATGCCTGTAATCCCAGCACTTTGGGAGGCCGAGGCGGGTGGATCACGAGGTCAAGAGATCGAGATCATCCTGGCTAACACGGTGAAACCCCGTCTCTACTAAAAATATAAAAATTAGCCGGGCGTGGTGGCGGACGCCTGTAGTCCCCGCTACTTGGGAGGCTGAGGCAGGAGAATGATGTGAACCCAGGAGGTGGAGCTTGCAGTGAGCCGAGATCGCCCCACTGTACTACTCCAGCCTGGGCGACAGAGCAAGACTCCATCTCAAAAAAAAAAAAAAAAAAAGAAAAAAGAAAGAAAGAAAGTGGCACAGCCTCTACTGAAAGCCATCTTTTCCCCAAAAAATCAATATGGTCCCCACCTGTTGTAAGCGGGGCTATGTGCTTGTCTGTGTCCCTACAGCCCTCTACACACCCTCTCGTAAGGTATTCATCACCCCACTGCACCTAATAGAGAGGCAGTGTATCACAGGCTTGGCATCTGCCTGGGCTCAAATCCTGTCCACCACACACTTCGCATGCCTGTGCCTCTGTCTCCTCGGAAGCTAACTGGTGATAATCAATTGCGCCTACTTCACAGGTTGGAGAATTAAATGAGAAAATACATGAAAAGCACCAAGCACAGTGTGCTAATGTGGCATATAGTAAGATCTCAATGCCCGTTAGCTGCTGTTATTCTACTACTAGCCCACATTTTGGGAGCACTTCCTATGTGCCAGGAACTTTGTACTAAGCGCTTCATGTGTGTCTCGCTTAACTCTTACAACAACTCTGTGAGGTAAAAACGGGGCAGAGAGGAATAATGACTTGCCCAGAGCAAATGGAGTTGCTAGGTCAAAGGATATATGCATTTAAAAATTCTGACATATTACCAAATTGCTCTTCATAGGGATTATGTCAATCCATACTCCCTCCAGCAACATGGCATAAATGCCTGTTTCCCGTGGCCTTGTCAACAGGATAGGTTAACAAACATTGGAAGTTTTGCCAATCTGATTAGGTAGAAATGCCTTCTTTAGTTTATGCTTTTCTGATCATGAAGGAGGCTGAGAAACTCTACCTATGCTTCAGAGCTATTTGCATTTATTCTATTGTCTGCTCATTGTTCTATTGGGTTGTTGGTTTTTTTCATATCCGTTTCCAGGAACTCTATATATTAGGAGGATTAGTCCTTAGAGATGAGTTTCAAAGCTTTTCTATTTTCATTTTTTTTTAAAGACATCTACAGCCTTAAAAAGTCTATAGAACTTTGATTTAGCTTATGGTTTTTGTTAATCTTGTTTTACATTGAATTTATCAATCTTCGTTTATGATTCCTGGATTCGTGGTCCAAATTACAGGGATTTAAAGGGATTGCCCACATTTCCTTGTAGTGTTTTTATGGGTGGTTTTTTGTAGCTTTTTTTTTTTTTTACACTTAGATCATTATCTATTTTGAAATATATGTTGGCTTATGGTGTGAGATATAGACCCAATTTTACTTTTTCCGGAGGTTACTTAGTTATTCCAATACTATTTAATGAAGAGTCTACCTTTTGCTCACTGGTTCTGGATGCCACATTTGCCATACTAAATTGTCGTATATGTTTGAGTCTACTTTTAGACCTTCTATTCTGCTTGACTGGCCTATTCATGTATCAAAATTAGTTTTAACTATTATGGTTTTATAACGACTTTTAGTATCTGCTAGGATTAAATAACTCTTCCCCTTGTCCCCTGCATCACTGCCCCCTCAGCCCCACTGCCTACCAGCATCTTCCAGCTATTTTATCCCTGTGTAAACTTTTTTTTTAAACCCTCTTGGTATGTTTTCTTAGGATGACATTTTTTAGCAATATTATATTTTTAATTTAACTTACCACTGTTAGTTCTATGTCACTGCTCCTGTGTAAGAACTTGGTGTATCTTTCAATTTATTCCAGTTTCCTTCTGTGTCCTTCACAGTACTTTCAAAGTTTTCTTTATCCTAGGCCTTGTATACATTTTCTGTTAAGTTTATTCCTGGTAATATTTTCAGGTTAAAACCTTTTAAAGAAACTGAGGTTTACTTTCTTCAGGTCACTCCAGTGTTTTGGATACTCACATAGAAGCCCCCTGTTTAGGACAGCAGAGAAGCCCCAAAGCCAGCAGCTGGCAGACCTGCAGACGTGCCCTTGGGACCCCGTTCACATCATGCTTCTTGTTGAATATTCATATGCAATCAACAGTCCCCAGTTGCATCTCTTATGCTGCAGCTAAAGAAGAAAACATAAGCTCCCTTTTTCTCTACCCTCCAATATACTTCCTTCCAATAAGGGGACCCAATCCTAAACCTTAAGCTAGAGGCCATCTTCGAGGAACAGATGTGCAGTCTGGTGATCATTACACGCAATCACTGATTCCTCTCAACTCTGTTTTGCTTCCCCTATCACCTTTACCCACTGATCCTTAGACTAGCTTTTGTTTATCTGCTAGGTTTTGGCTTTCTTTTTGGTTTTTAGATTCTAAGGCCTTTATCCCCCGCTACAGAGACATCCTTCCAAATATTGCCTGTGACTTGACCTGATCCCAAAGAGATGAATACAAATTATTTCTGTAGTGCAGCAAGCCGACTGGAGTTGAATTGGAGCTCTATAATCATATAAGGTAGGTCTGGGGCTAGTCTCCTCATCTGAGTCTTGTCTCCTGTAAAATGAACATGACCACCAGCCTCATTGGGCGCTTGAGAGTAGCAGCTGAGTTTCCTGTAACAAAAAAGCACCTAGCAGAGTCTTAAGGAATGCCACTCCCTCCCCTAGGGCTTTCTAACACCTTCTTCCTGCTCTGAACCTTTTAGCTGGGATATTATAGCATTTCCCAGCCATTTTCTTTCTTTCAAATTCTCCACTGTACTGTGGCTAAACAGCTCACCAGCTGAATGACCCAGCTAACTGGATGCTATCCACAGGTTTAGTTTCCTAAGGACTATACTGGTCTGGCTCACCCAGCCCTTTAACAGTCTCAAGATCTTGACAGAGGATCCTGTGAGCAGTGGTCTTTAGAGATCAAGTCCTGATGCAGAACCAGTCCATGGGAGGCCATGCCCCTCCCCTTTGCTTCCTGATGGCCTTAATGTCACTCACATGAAACAAAGAGGGTTTCTTCAAGGGTCCAGGATACTAAGAACCCAAGTCTATCAATTCTCTAATACACCACTGGATGTGTCCATGAAAACACCTCAGCAACAATAATGTGCCTAGAGCCCTTTGCATATCTGTAACAGCTCCTGTGTTGTTCTGCAATCCTGTTCACATGCTGGCTCTGAGTTCCTGGAGTTCTCTTTCATCTCTCTATTGTCCAGTACCTAGCACAGGTCCTGGCAGAGTAAGTGCTCAACAAATATTTGCTGGCTGACTTTCAGCCACATACTCTGATGGAAGCCTTCACTTAGGTCTCTGGATTTAAGCCTCTATATATACGCCCAGCTTAGTTTGGAGACTTACTTAGAGTGATTAAACACACAAACACATACAAATGTTTAAATCAGGAGAGACCCAAAATATTTTATTTCCCATGCAGAACACTTGCCCAAAGATTAAAAGAGGAGAAATAAGAATATCCTCTAAGCTGTGAAGAATGCAAATGCTTACATCAACAAATAATTCTATATAATAGCTAAATGTCACTAAAATATTGAAAAATCAACCTATAGTGTCAAAAAAATGTTAGCTCTTTGATTATTACCACGAGAGGGGCAGCAGACCAGCAGTTCACCACTCTCTGTGATTTGGAATTTCTTTGGAATAGGTTATCTTGAGGAGCGGATGGTTACCTAGGTAAGCAAGATATAAGTACAGAAAGGAAGGGCGAAAACATGAGGCAAACAATTCAGAACGTTTTCTTTTCATCTTTTTTTATTTTAAATTACAAAGGATGTTGCATACACTGATGAATCTGTATCTGACTAGAAGTGCTCAGGGGTTGGAAGGTGACAGAAAACAAAGGCAAAATTTGCATTGCCTTTCCATCTGAAATGAAAAACTGCACAACTATTAACCAACATTTAATAGGATAATTTTTAAACAGCTCATGCGTCAACAAGATAAAGTTCTTTCTAGACAAGAGACAAGACTGAATCCAATAAAAAGTGTCATAGCTCCAGTTGGGAGAGAAAAAAAAAAAACTACAGAATATTTATGATAGCATTACAAACAGGATCCTACGCAACTATGCAAAAGAGGTTGCCACATTGTATGAACAAATGCTTTGAATTCTTGCCCTTCCACTCTTCTCTTGTGACTTCTGTGCTGTCAGCCCTAGTATCGCTGTCAACCACAATACTAAGCTGTAGGACAAATCCTAGGGAAAGAAGGTAAAAAAGCAGGCAGTGGAATACAGTGTCATAAAAATGTGGTGGAAAGGCAGATACAGTACACACATACACATTTCTGTTATTTGGTTCTGAAAAAAACAAAGGGCGAAGGGCAAGACATAGTAATCAGTCCTGCTCCTATCCACCCAGAATTTAATTAACTACACCATTGTGTTTACATTGTTATGAAAGAGGCAAACCGAACCTAGTTCACCCAAACTTGGCACATTGAAATACCCAACTTTGATGTTCTTCACTAGTTACCAAGTCTTCAATTCCAAAATACTGTTTGGAAGTAGTTTTAAGGCTCTGTCCCCTCACTACTACCTCCAAAACTCTCTAAACAAAAATGGCAATTTGGCCTAGCTCAGTTCCTAGGTGTAATTTCTACGATTTCAGTCAGTTTATTAAGCATGAGGACTATGCTTCAACACATAATCCCATTTGCCTATGGAAGTGTATAACTTTCAGTAGTACATTTTCATCATCTTTCCCCAACATGCTTATTCCTTAAAACGAAACCACCATTCCTACAGTTGACATTCATTGTTACATCCCAATGTGTTTGAAGTATTAAAAAAACATGGAGTCGTCTTCTCATAATGCCCTTATTAAGATTACAAAGATTACAAAAGAATCCACAAGTATTACGGCACTGTGTGAGACTTATTTGTCATGATCCAAGGGAAGAACAAGACTGCAGTTCTGTGCAAAGTTGTGGAAATGGCCTCAGTTCCATGGGAAATGGTATTCCACAACAGACTTCACTAGAAGGATAATTGAAACCTTTTACTTTAACACTGAAAGCATAATTCAATGCATTCTCAAAATTCAAGTTTCAAGATATGGAGAGATGCTAACATTCTGTTACATAATTAACTAGAAAATACTTGAACAGAATTTTAGGAAACTATATAAAGAAAGGGAACATAAGTTTTTGTTAATTCTTGCTGAAGGCAACTTGAATTCATTTCTTATAACATTAAATCTTAGCAGCTAAATTTTTTTAAATGTGTGGAATAAAGAAAAGCACATCCATTCTTGACATTTTGGTGAATAAACTAACAGCTTTATTAATGAAGGCAAACATCAGATCATTGTATGAATATTATATATATATATAAAAAGAAATCCAAACTAACAGCATTGTATTTCAAAAGTACTGTACTTCTGTTTCTTTTAAAGAGACTTGTCATCTGTTTTTATAAAACAAAATGGGTACTCTTCTCCTAAAAAATCCTGGAAAAATGAAATAGTCAATTTCAAGCTGATGAATTGAACACACCTTTCTTTAAATGCAGACTATTGCTAGGAAGCAAATAAAGTCAAGCATCAGAAAGAAGATGTATGAGAAATGCATGAAAGTCAGAGAAAAGGGATGTAGTGAAATTACTGCTAATCTTTCCCCCCTATATTCAAAGACCATCCAAAACTGGTCTTTCATACAAATATAAAATAACTATAAAGAGAGGGAATTTGAAACCATACCCATCTGAAATCCTTCATGATGCTTTTGTAATAGTTCTGATTCTCTTACCAAAAAGGTCAAAGTTAAAGATGTAGGAAGTGGAAGGGAATGAAGACGTTTAGTTTTAAATGTACAAGTAAGGCACAATATAAAGCCACATCATAATCTGTCATGAAGGATATAGGAAAGGACAAGAATCATACATGGTACAGTAGAACAAGCAATTATATTGACTGGAAAAGTGTGGCACCCAATTCAAAACTCAGACAAGATCTTAACAAGAGCGACTGGACAGCATGCTTTCATATGGAGACAAACTCTATAAAGAATCCAGTGTATCTGAAACTAGGAAAAAAGGTTTTTGTTGGTTTTTTTTTTTTTTAAATCATAGTAGTACTAGAGTCAAAGTTTATAATTGCTTTGGAACAATGGGTTTACTTGAGGTGAATTCACAATGCCTTCACTTAAAAGTAAGATTCTGGACTTCATTATGAGCTATCTGTATACCATGTATGAACACAGAAAACCTTTAGAGAACTCTTCTCTAATGATCTTCACCCAAAAATACATGCCACAATTTTCAAAAACAGAACATGTACAATTGTTGGGGTTTTTACATTACCCTTATAAGATTGGTTTGTGTGATACACTAAACGTATATATTTTAATGACAATAGAGGAAGCAGATTATTACTGGCATTAAAGTACAACCATTTCTAGACGGTTTTAAATGCCACAGAGTCCCCTGGTTAAAATGTAAAGCTGCACAGCTTGCCTATGTCATCTTTATGATAAAGTTAAAACAGCAAGAGGATTTAACTTTCACTCTACATTTTACTGCCAGGTTTTTATATAGATCAAGTATCGCTGCAGCATTCTGACCAGCCCAGATTTAGCAGCAAATGGCAGGAATCATATAAAATGCAATTTTTTTTTAACAAAGTGCTTTTCTAAGATATACATACATATATAAATAGGTACAAAATAAAGTGTCAACATTAAAAAGCTCAACTATTTAAAAGCTTTTAACTATTTAACTTAAGTAGTACATATAAAACACTGAAACTCAAAGATATGGAATCTACTAAACAGATTCAAAGTCTTTTTTTTTTTGAAATGCAAGACCAAAAAATCAAATTCTGGTTTGCAGACAGGAAAAAAGTATCAAAAACCAGAATTCCTAACAGAGCAGCTAGAAAGGGGCAATTTTATAAACCTTATCAGCTGAATATCATGAGGTGATTTTCACCTGATTGCAAAACTGCCATAGTTTGAAACACTTTTCAATTTACCAGACACACTCTGTCAAGACTTCATATACTTCCAACTTGCAAGCCTGTGTTTTGCCTTCTCCAACCTAAAAAGGAAAAGCTTTAAACGATGAACTTACATTCTATTAAACCATCAGACTTGAGCTTATCATCTGTTTAGCGTGAATGTACAAACCAGGTACATTTCCACCAAACACATAGAAAAATCTTGTGCATCACAGTTCAGCTAAGGTGGTAAGACAATCCTTACAATCCTCCTTGGATTTCTTTTTTAAGATGTCAAAGAAGCAGGTAAGCAACATTGTTCATTTGTTACTGGGTGTTCTAGATCAAACCTTCACAAGCTATATATATAGCTTCATATGCTATAGCTTACAAATGGGGTAACAAAGTAAAAGAAAAGAACAAATTATACTTTGACACTTTATAGTCAAAGTATAATTAAAAAAGAAATCCTACAGTGGGTAATGGAGAAATAGATAATTTTTCCAGCAGCTATGCCTGAAATTTTTGGTATTTTTTTCCTTGCTAAATATGCTTTTTTTCTTTTTTTAGTTTTTAAGCCACCAGTTTTCAGAGTTCAAAGCACAAGATTTGAGAATAAAACAGTAAGAGAGACAGGATGGAAAAATCTGTGGGGGAAGGTTTATAATGCTGCCTTGACATAAGAAATTTCTCATCAAGAGGTAAAGCTTGAACACAGTTAAAACACTGACTAATGAAGCTGTTTTATATGAGCAAAAAAGAGCACCTAAAAACTAAATGTGTTAATGTTTCTCAATTCTAGAAACTATAGAAGAATAAGTCACATGTTAAGTTTGAAGAAGCTAGTTTGAAAATACCTGTACAAAAATATAAAAATCTATAAATTGTTTTTGTTTTAGCCTGTGTTGATCTTTGAAAATATTACATGCACAATAATACATCAATCGGAAAAGTGGCAACTAAAGAATTAGATATTTTTAGCTTTTTTCTTTCTTTACATATATATATATACATAATACAATAAAAATAATCTATTTTGTTGTCTGGTGGAAGTATACTACAATAAGCTAAATAAACATTTTAATTTTCAAAGTCAAAAACTATTTTATCAATAGCTTACTAAAATGAAATATATTAAAATTTCCTACAATAAGTGCAGAAATAAAAGACATCTAAATGGCCACCAACTTATCTACTATGGAAGCGAACTAGAGGAACAGCAAAATAATATTTGTATGTATGGATGCTCCTTCTGTAGATAATTGGACCCAAACAGAAATAAAATTCACAGTTCAGTAAGATCCCTAACCCTGACCTTTTTTTTTCTTTTTTTTCTCCTTTTTTTTCATACATTCATACAGTATCATGTAAGCTGTGCAAAACTTTACTTAGACTGGCAGTTTGCCATATCAGTTGCATTTGTCTTTGGTACAAAAAATAAAACAATCGCAATAATGTGCAAGTATTTGTCTTCTTCCGGTCAAGTACCGAAATATGAGTTTTCTAGAGCCATCTTTTTTTTGTTGTTTTTTGTTTTGTTTTTTATACAATACACAGACTCTGTGGCATATATCTACATTTCAACATAGTCCTATATACATTCAAAAAATCTGAAAAAGAGTTGGAACAAAAAAACATTTAAACCCCATAATTTTTCCATCTATATATCTTGTTTTTTCTCATTAGGGTTTTCATCATACAAAATATTACCAGTTTTAGAGTTTCCCCAAAATACAAGGCACAAAGAATATGCTTTTTTTTTCTTACTTGCACAGACATTTGTGTGTGTGTGTGTATATATATATATATATATATATATTTATATATATCATCTTGAGCTCTGACAATGAACATCTAATATGGCCCACAGGCACAAGTGCTGGGTGTGCCATATACAAGTGAGATTAATGGTTGTGGAAAATTAGAACAAAAAGCAATAATTCTAAAAACAATTTAAACCGACTGTTTAAAAAAATGCTTCCTCAATTTTTTTGTGTGGTTCAGAGCATAAATCTGCCACAATACTTGGCATTTTACTATTTCACTCCTCCAAAATGTTTTGCTTTAACAGATTTTTGTAATCTGTACCTAACATTTACTTAAACATATGATTTTCAATTCTGATGCCAGTAGCAGTTTTAATCATGGTTTATGCTCTGAAAATGCAATAATCAAGTATTTTGGATCATGCTTCACTTATGCTACTTAGTTCTTAAAACAATGTAACCTAATTGTAAATGTTTACATAATGCTAACTGACATGCAAAACAGAATGAAAATTTACAATGGATAACGTGACAAAACGCAGACATTTCTGACCAGTGGTCCAATGAGGCTGATTACACCTTTGATGTTGGTATCCTTAATCCTACAAGGCCTCCAGTGGGATTCCCTTCTGCAGTCTTCTCTAACACTTGGTTAACAAATTCTGAGGTTTGCCCAGCAACTGGTAGACCTGAAGAGAAGAATAAAAGGCACATCTAGACACAAAAATGGAAGGCCATGAAGGGAAGGGAAGGAGCTGGTAAAAACTGAGGTTCAGGTGTGGCCCTCAGCTTGATACTGGTCCCAAATGAATTCCCTGGCACTTGTTATTGCAGCTCAGAAAACAATGCTACCCTTCATATTACTGTCTAAAATTTTAAGATTAGAAAAGTCAAACCAAGGATAGCCATGAAAAATCATAAACCAACATTTAAAGTGAGGTAGATGACAAGTGTAACAGTCCAAATAACAGTCCAAACCCAAACCCAAAGGCTGCCGACAGGCACTGCTTCCCACGCCCTGGTTTTTCCCTGTTCTCTCAGCCAGTCTCTTCCAATTACTCTAAACTCACCAAGTTCCATGGGTAGGTTTCACCCATGAAACTGAAAATATAGACCTGAAGGATGTTTTGGGTCATTTTTATAATTACTGGATACAGTTTAAGTTTCCTTTTCTTCATTTAAAAAAGTGAATGAACGAATAAGAAATGTTGGAAGAGAAGAGGGAGAAAGGTGGGAGCAGCATAAGTATGTAGATTTTCTCATCTTCCTCATCTTCCATAGTAAGACCAAAAGATAAAATCACTAAATCAAATAACAGAGGTATAAGTACATTTTTTTAAGTATTAAGAAAAATAAAAAGGATGGAAATAGAAATATATTTGTCAGCTAGGCACGGTGGCTCAGGCCTGTAATCCTAGCACTTTGGGAGGCTGAGGCAGGCGGATCACCTGAGGTTGGCGGATCACCTGAGGTCGGCAGATCACCTGAGGTCGGAAGTTCAAGACCAGCCTGACCAACATGGAGAAACCCTGTCTCTACTGAAAACACAAAATTACCCAGGTGTGGTGGCACATGTCTATAATCCCAGCTACTCGGGAGGCTGACGCAGGAGAACTGCTTGAACCCGGGGGGTGGAGGTTGGGGCCAGCCAAGATCATGCCACTGCACCCCAGCCTGGGCAACAAGAGTGAAACTCTGCCTCAAAAAAAAAAAAAGGAAAGGAACGGGAGGGGAGGGGGAGGGGGAGGGGGAGGGGGAGGGGGAGGGGGAGGAAAGAGGGAGGGGAGGGGGAGGAAAGAGGGAGGGGAGGGGGAGGAAAGAGGGAGGGGAGGGGGAGGGGAGGGGGAGGGGAGGGGAGGGGAGGGGGGGAGGGGAGGGGAGGGGAGGGGAGGGGAGGGGAGGGGAGGGGAGGGAAAGGAAAAAGAATTTGTCGGCTGGGCGCAGTGGCTCACGCCTGTAATACCAACGCTTTGGGAGGCCAAGGCAGGCAGATCACCTGAGGTCAGGAGTTTGAGACCAGCCTGGCCAACATGGTGAAATCCTGTCTCTACGAAAAATACAAAAAATTAGCTGGGCATGGTGGCGGGTACCTGTAATCCCAGCTACTCAGGAGGCTGAGGCAGGAAAATTGCTTGAACCCAGGAGGCAGAGACTGCAATGAGTCAAGATTGTGCCACCGCACTCCAGCCTGGGCAACAAGAGTGAAACTCCATCTCAAAAAAAAAAAAAAAAAGAAATATATTTGTCATTGCTCATAGGAAGAAGTCAAAAGATATCATAAAAAATACTGGCCGGGCATGGTGGCTCAGGCCTGTCATCTCAGCACTTTAGGAGGCCGAAGTGGGCAGAGCACAGGTCAGGAGTTTGAGACCAGCCTGGCCAACAAGTTGAAACCCTGCCTTTACTAAAAATACAAAAATTAGCTGGGCATGGTGGCAGGCACCTGTAATGCCAGCTACTTAGGAGGCTGAGATAGGAGAACCACTTGAACCTAGGAGGCAGAGGTTGCAGTGAGCTGAGATTGCACTACTGCACTCCAGCCAGGGTGACAGAGCAAGACTCCGTCTCCAAAAACAAACAAAAAAAAGTGTGTGTGTGTGTGTGTGTGTGTGTGTGTGTGTGTATACATATATACAAGCTTAACCATGTGATCAAACTTAGCATGACAAATAATGAGACAATCTGATATTATGTGCCTCTTGACTGATGGAATGAAAAGGTTGTATGATGTATTCTTACCAGAAAATCTAACTGCATTTAGTCATGAGGAAACAGATAAATCCAAATGTTGAGACATTTTACAAGACCTGGATTTTTCATAAAAATAAAATAAGATGGGGAGACTGATGTAGACTAAAGAAAACAAAAGAAGAGATATGACTAAATGCAATGCATGATCCTCGACTGGATCACACACACAAAAAAATGCTATAATGGACATTATTGAGACAACTGGGAAAATGGATTCCATATTAGATATTATATCAATGTTGAAGCACTAGGATGTGACACTGGCGTTGTGGCTAAGAGAATGTCCTTGTTTTCAAGCAATACAGGCTAAAATAGTTAGAGACAAAGAATCATGATTTTTACGAGTTATTTTCAAATATTCCCTGTCCAAAATACACATGTAGATAGAGGTAGAAATAAAGCAAATGTAGCAAAATATTAACAACTGGTGAGGGCTGGGTGGGGTGGCTCATGCCTATAATCCCAGTGCTTTGGGAAGCTGAGGCGGAAGGATCACTTGAGCTTAGCCTGGGCAACACAGCAAGAACCCGTCTCTACAAACATAAAAATAAGTTTGCTGCTGGCCACGTGAGCTGGCTCATGCCCGTAATCCCAGCACTTTGGGTGGCCAAGGTGGGCGGATCACTTGGGGTCAGGAGTTTGAGACCAGCCTGGCCAACATGGTGAAACCCTGTCTCTACTAAAAATGCAAAAACATTAGCCAGGCATGGTGGTGTACGACCAGTGACTTGGGAGTCAGCTGAGGCAGGAGAATCATTTAAATCTGCTAGGCAGAGGTTGCAGTGAGCCAAGATCACGCCACTGCACTCCAGCCTGGGAGACAGAGTGAGACTCCATTTCAAAAATAAAAATAAAAATAAAAATAAAAATAAATAAATTAGCTGGACATGGTGGCGCACATCTGTAGTCCTAGCTACTTGGGAGTTGGTGCTGAAAGATCACTTGAGTCCAGGAGTTGGAGGCTGCAGTGAGCTATGATAGCACCACTGCATTCCAGCCTGGGTGACAGAGCGAGACTGGTTTCTAAAAAAAAAAAAAGCAATGAATTTTAAAGAACAGTGAAAACAACTGGTAAATCCAGTTGAACGAAACATATATGTTCATCGTACAATTCTTTCTCCTTTTCTATAGGATTAAAATCTTAAATGAAAAGTTGACAGACAAAATAAGTATACATTTTATGTTACAGTTAAAAGCCAATCCACAAGGTAAAAACACAAAGCTTTGAAAATTATCAGAGGATACAAACAAAAGTGAAACCATAATGGATCATGTAAAGGCAAAAAAAAGGCCACATAAACAAACTCTAGCAGATCTTTTGATGACAGCACTAAAACCAAACATAGATCAATTTTTTTAAAAATGAGCTAAACTCACCTATTAAAGTACAACCTCCAGAATAAATAACAAAAAAAATCCAAATACATGCTACATAAAAAAATCTAGGCCGAGCGTGGTGGCTCACGCCTGTAATCCCAGCACTCTGGGAGGCCGAGGTGGGTGGATCACAAGGTCAGGAGTTTGAGGCCAGCCTGAACAACATGGTGAAACCCCGTCTCTACTAAAATACAAAAATTAGCCAGGCGTGGTGGCATGTGCCTGTAATCCCAGCTACTCAGGAGGCTGAGGCAGGAGAATCGCTTGAACCTGGGAGGCAGAGGTGCAGTGAACTGAGATCACTCCATTACACTCCAGTCTGGGCGACAGAGCGAGACTCTGTCTCAAAAACAAAAAACAAACAAACAAAAAAATCTAAGAAAAAATTTTCTGATATCTGAATTAAAATTAAGTTACATTTTAATTTAACTAAAATGTTTTGTGTGTGTGTATTTTTTTTTTTTTTTTTTTTGAGATGAGGTCTGTCACTCAGGCTGGAGTACAATGGCACGATCTTGGCTCACTGCAGCCTCCATCTCCTGGGCAAAAGCGATCCTCTCGCCTCAGTCTCCTGAGAAGCTGGGATTACAGGCTCGCATCACCATGCCTGGCTAACTTTTTGTATTTTTTTTCTAGAAATGGGGTCTCCTTATGTTGCCCAAGCTGGCTTCGAACTCTTGGGCTCAAGTGATCCTCCTGCCTTGGTCTCCCAAAATGTTGAGATTATAGCTGTAAGCCACTGCACCTGGCTAAAATGTTTTAAAAAGATGTAACTGGCCGGGCGCGGTGGCTCATGCCTGTAATCCCAGCACTTTGGGAGGCCGAGGCTGGTGGATCACGAGGTCAGGAGATCAAGACCATCCTGGCTGACACGGTGAAACCTCGTCTCTACTAAAAATACAAAAAATTAGCCGGGCGCAGTGGCAGGTGCCTGTAGTCCCAGCTACTCGGGAGGCTGAGGCAGGAGAATCGCTTGAACCCGGGAGGTGGAGTTTGCAGTGAGCCGAGATCGCGCCACTGCACTCCAGCCTGGGCAATAGAGCGAGACTCCGTCTCAAAAAAAAAAAAAAAAAAAAAAAAAAAAGATGTAACTAATATAAAATGATTCAGAGGCCGGGCACGGTGGCTCACGCCTGTAATCCCAGCACTATGGGAGGCCGAGGCGGGTGGATCACGAGGTCAGGAGATCGAGACCATCCTGGCTAACATGGTGAAACCCCATCTCCACTAAAAATACAAAAAATTCGCCGGGCATGGTGGCGGGCACCTGTAGTCCCAGCTACTCCGGCGGCTGAGGCAGGAGAATGGTGTGAGCCCGGGAGGCGGAGCATAAGGTGAGCCGAGATCGAGCCACTGCACTCCAGCCTGGGGTACAGAGCGAGACTCCGTCTCAAAAATAAATAAATAAAATAAAATAAAATAAAATGATTCAGAAGGATTGAAAATAAAAGAGTAGACAAAGGAATACCAAACAAATATAAATAATAAGATTAGAAACAATACCAAACAAATATAATAAGAAAGCTGCATTCGTGATAATACCAGACAAGAAGTGTACTTCGTGATGATAAAAACTGTAGTTCATAATGCAGATTTAGTACTAATAAATACTATTCAAACATCCTGACATTCAGAAGCAAAAACACAGAAAATATGAGATGAAACTGAAATACATTACTGGGAACTTTTCTCAGTTCTACACAGAGTAAATGGACTGCCACACCAAAAAAAAAAAGGAAAAAACTTTATTAAAAATACCTAGTCGATATGTGGGAATCTTATTATAAAACAGAAAATACATCTTCTTTTAAAACTCCCGCAGAACATTAAAAATTGTAATCTTATATTAGGTAGCCAAGAAAATCTCAATAAATCCACAAAAAACTGGAGGTCAGTAATAAAACTAGAAAACAATAATCCCTACCTGCTGGGGGAAATTTTAAATCTCTCTCAAAGAATTCTTGGGTTAAAGAGTAAATCAAACCTAAAATTTCAAAGTATTCAGAAAACAATAAAAATGACAAATCAGAACTTATGTCAGAATTTTAATCAGCTAAAGTAGCTCTAAGAAGAAAATTCAAAGGCTGTTATTTATATGAATGGTCAAGAAAGAATAAAAAGAAAAAAATTAAGCATCTAACAACTCAAGAAATTAGAATTGGTAAGTTAAGAGCTGGTTTTGGGGGGGAGAAAGTAGAATAACCTATAATGAATCAAGAAATAAGGGAGAACAGACACAAAATAATAAATGAAAATGGAACAGTAACAACAGATATAGAAGAAATCAAAAATCAAACAAAAATGCTTTGCTCACTTTTAATAAATTTGAGGCCCAGGAGGAAGTAATTTTTCAGGAATACGTAAATTATCAAAAATGACTCCAGAAGAATTTGTAACCTGACAGAGAAATTACCTTTAAGAAAAATAAACTCAGGCCAGGCGCAGTGGCTCACGCCTGTAATCCCAGCACTTTGGGAGGCTGAGGTGGGTGGATCACGAGGTTAGGAGTTTGAGACCAGCCTGGCCAAGATGGTGAAACCCCATCTCTACTAAAAATACAAAAATTAGCCGGGCGCGGTGGCATGCGCCTGTAGTCCCAGCTACTTGGGAGGCTGAGGCAGGAGAATCGCTTGAATCTGGGAGGCAGAGGTTGCAGTAAGCCGAGATCGTGCAACTGCACTCTATCCTGGGTGACACAGCGAGACCCCATCTCAAAAAAAAAAAAAAAAGAAAAGAAAAAGAAACTCAGCTAGGCTCAGTGGCTCATGACTATAGCACTTTGAGAGGCTGAGGCGGGAAGATCACTTGAGGTCAGGACTTTGAGACCATCCTGGCCAAGGTGGTGAAACCCCGTCTCCATTAAAAATACAAAAATTAGCTGCACATGGTGGAACATGCTACTCAGAAGGCTGAGGCATAAGAACCACTTGAACCCAGGAGGCGGAGGTTGCAGTGAGTCAAGATAGTGCCACTGCACTCTAGCCTGGGTGACAGAGGGAGACTGTCTCAAAAAAAAAAAAAAAAAAAAGAAAAAGAAACTCCAACCCATTTAAACTGGTCCAGAGGCAAATTCTGGGAAGACAGCTGTATAGTTGTTGTTATTGTTGTTTTTGAGAAAGGGTCTCACTCTGTTGCCCAGGCTGGAGTGCAGTGGTGCAATCACCCTGCTCATTGAAGCCTTGACCTTCCAGGTTCAGGCTGGTCTTGAGCTCCTGACCTCAATCGATCCTCCCACCTCAGCCTCCCAAAGTGTTGGGATTACAGGCATGAGCCACTGTGCTCAGCCACCACATAGATTTTTAATCTTCATTTCCCCATATAAAAACAGAGCAACTAAATGGCAAAACCATAAACCCATGGAAAACATTTACAAGTGATAAGGTATCCCTAGGAACATTCAAGAAGGTAGGAACAAACTACCAAAAGCTTTAAGACATGTATGGCAACAGCATTATCAATATTTATCAATATTTATGTGGATGGGCCAAAAGGAAGTAATGGACATGAGAACAAAAAAAAATTTCCATATAGCGAATAGGTTACCCACTGGCAAGTACAGCAGAGTCAACTTGAGAACTGCAGCTAACGCTGTGAGGGATTTTCTCCAACCCAATATTGAATACAAGGTGAGTACAAGGAGCCCACAGTCAGAAGTGAAGGGGCCCACAGTTGAGCCTCTGTGAACTCTGAAAATGGACCAGCCAGGACTCTTGCAGGACAGGAGCAAGCCGTGATAAAACAAAAAAAACTGGCCAGGTGCAGTGGCTCAGGCCTGTAATCCCAATACTTTGGGAGGCCAAGGCGGGCAGATCACTTGATGTCAGGAGTTTGATACTAGCCTGGCCAACATGGTGAAACCCCATCCCCAGTAAAAACACAAAAATCAGCCGGGCGTGGTGGTGTGCACCTGTAATCCCAGCTACTGGGGAGGCTGAGGCAGGAAAATCGCTTGAACCTGGGAGGCAGAGGCTGCAGGGAGCCAAGATCACGCCACTGCACTCCAGCCTGGGCGACAGAGTGAGACTCTGTCTCAAAACAAAACAAAAAACCCTGGGGTTGAAATTAACATTGAGCAAGAAAGGAACTAAAGATATGAAACAGAGATGGTCCAAATAAAATGAGGGAGGGAAGCAGAACAAGAAATCTCAGAAAGACAGGTGCCATTTTTTTGTTTTTGTTTCAGAGATGGGTTGCCATGTTGCCCAGGCTGGTCTAGAACTCTTGACCTCACATGATCCTCCTGCCTCAGCCTTCCAAGTGACTGGGATTACAGGAAAAAGCCACCAAACCTGGCGTGCCATGTTTTTTTGTTTTGTTTTGTTTTTTTGAAAAGGAGTCTCGCTCTGTCGCCCAGGCGGGAGCGCAGTGGCACAATCTTGGCTCACTGTAACCTCTGCCTCCTGGGTTCAAGCAATTCTCCTGCCTCAGCCTCCCAAGTAGCTGGGACTACCGGCGCGTGCCACCACACCCAGCTTTTTTTTTGTATTTTTAGTAGAGACGGGGTTTCACCATGTTAGCCAGGATGATCTCGATCTCCTGACCTCGTGATCTGCCTGCCTCGGCCTCCCAAAGTGCTGGGATTACAGGCGTGAGCCACCGTGCCCGGATGCCATGTTTTTAAATGTTAACTGAAAAGCGGAGACTCTGTGAAAAAAGAAAAGCTATTCTGAACCAAACCTTCTTTTAAAAGTTCAGAGGAACTAATTTCACACATATATGAACAACAGAGAAGTATCAAGGTCAGAATCCCACAACTTTTTCTAAGAAAAAAGAGAATAAAAGACATTAAAGAAAATGGCACGATACATGAAAGAACATAAATCAGAAATAGAATAACTAAGAAATAAGGTGACAGAATTCAGAAAATAATTAGAAATACAGGGGAAAATTCCTGAAAGTAAAAGGAACCTAAGATCAGCAAGTAATGACAGCAAATAATGCTTTAAGAGAAACAGAAGGTAAAAAGGAGAAATAATGTTAAAAATGAAGAGATAAAAATGATTCAAGAAAAAGTGACACAAGGCAGGAAGATCATTTGAAGTCAGGAGTTCGAGACCAGCCTGGCCAACATGGTGAAACCCCACCTCTACTAAAAAATACAAAAATTAGCCAGGTGTGGTGGTGGGTGCCTGTAATCCCAGCTACTCAGGAGGCTGAGGCAGGAGAATCACCTGAACCTGGGAGGTGGAGGCTGCAGTGAGCTAAGATTGTGCCACTGCACTACTGCCTGGGTGACAGAGCAAAACACTGTCTCAAAAAAAAAAAAAAAAAGAAGAAGAAGAAAGAAGAAGAAGGAAGAAAGAAGAAGAAAAGAGAAAAGAAAGACAGACGAATACTAAAGATGGGCCAAAAAGAGCCAATCTATAGATAATAAGAGTCCCTACAGAAGAAAAGCAAAGCAAGGGAACAGATCAAACACTAAAAACATTTGAAAGTACATATTGAAAGAACACAGTATAAACATAAAAATGTCAACTAAAAATGACCAACTCTAAGATATAACTTAGCAAAATCACTGGTATTTAAAGAAAAAATCCTTTTGGCACCTAAGCAAAAACAGCAAAGTACTTATAAGGAAAAAATAATTAGTCAATATTGGCTTTTCTTTTTTCTTTTTTTTTTTTTTTTTTTGAGACAGAGTTTTGCTCTGTCACCCAGGCTAGAGTGCAGTGGTCTAATCTTGGCTCACTGTAACCTCCACCCCTCCTGCATTCAAGCGATTCTCCTGCCTCAGCCTCCCAAGTACCTGGGATTACAGGCACCTGCCACCACGCCCAGCTAATTTTTGTATGTTTAGTAGAGACAGGGTTTTACCATGTTGGCCAGGCTGGTCTCGAACTCCTGACCTCAAGTGATCTGCCCGCCTTGGCCTCCCAAAGTGTTGGGATTACAGGCATGAGCCACCAAGCCCAGCCAGTATTAGCTTTTCTATAGCAACACTTTATGCCAAAAGAAAATGGAGACTCATATTCAAGATACTCAAGGAAAGAAAATACGAGTTGAGGATTTTATACCTGGTAAAACTGACTTTCAAGTGTAAAGGAGTACATAAGCTTACCAAACATATAGATGTTTATATTAAAAAATAAAAAGGTAAAAATAACTTTTTCTTGTAATGTTAAATTTCCCCCTGTAGCTAATAAAGGAAGAATAAAAATGCTTTTAAAAATAAAAGGAAAGAAAAGAAAGAAATGCTATGAAAGAATACATAAAAAATTAAAATAGCATCAACCCATTTGAAGAAAAAGTCAAGCACAGAATTAATCCATATGGAAGCAGGAGGTAAGTGATTGCTGAGGAAAATACTGGCGATTAGGGTCTACTCTTCACCTGATTGTTTTCAATATAAATATACTTTTGTTCAAGAAAAACATTTGACCTTTTATTGTGTATATTTAATTTTGGGGGTTTTCGTGGGTCATATAACGCTGGATGCCTTGGATGCTACTGTCTGTCAGTGACTTTCTCCTACAGCAGCTGAGCTGATTCTCATGTCTATGTCTATACTAGCTAGCTCTCTCTTCCCTGTCAGCTCTCAGTTGGCCTGACGTCTAGATCCCTGCCCTCTGATCCTCCCCACATTGTGCAATCTGTTCAGGGATGGGAAACCAGAGAGCCAAGTTTGTGGGAATCCTGTGAAATGCATTACTGAGTAAAACAAGTAAGAATCTCTACACTAAAGTGCAAACTGCAGGCTTGACAGCTCTGGGACCTTTTGTCCTCCATGAAAGGTTAAAGTTGCTAGAAGTTTGTTTTTCTTAAATGTTAAAATAGTTTCATGATTAAGTCTAAATTACAAGTTGTGGTCACCTGCAACACATGTTTATGAACACTAAATCTCAAAAGATAAAACTACTCATAAAGGAGAGTAATTACAATGAGAGCACTTGAGTTTTTCCTTAAACTAAAAGAACTTTTAATATCCCCTTAAATCATACATCTTACACATATTATTAATTGTTATGAATTTATCTCGCATTCTTCTTACCGAGAGTATCTTTAATGAGGATTTCAAGCTTCTGCCCCATGTTGGGTCCTCTCTCATCTCTTGGATTCTGTACCCGGTTTACAATCTCTTGCTTGATGGAGTTGATTACAAACAATAAATTATCTGTAAGACAGAACAAAACACTTGGAATATGTCACTACCATGAAAGACTTTCCTTTTAATTATGTAATAACAGATAATTAAGAAATGGACTGGATTAAGAAAATGTGGCACATATACACCATGGAATACTATGCAGCCATAAAAAATGATGAGTTCATGTCCTTTGTAGGGACATGGATGAAATTGGAAATCATCATTCTCAGTAAACTATCGCAAGGACAAAAAACCAAACACCGCATGTTCTCACTCATAGATGGGAATTGAACAATGAGAACACATGGACACAGGAAGGGGAACATCACACTCTGGGGACTGTTGTGGGGTGGGGGGAGGGGGGAGGGATAGCATTAGGAGATATACCTAATGCTAAATGACGAGTTAATGGGTGCAGCACACCAGCATGGCACATGTATACATATGTAACTAACTGGCACATTGTGCACATGTACCCTAAAACTTAAAGTATAATAATAATAATAATAATAATAATAATAATAATAATAATAATAAAAGAAATAATAGATGACACCAACAAATAAAAAAAATTCTATGCTCAAAAAAAAAAAGAAATGGAGAATGTGTAAGAAAGCATTAAGCAGTAATGATTATAAGCAGCTCCTATACAAAGAAACTGATTTCAAATGATGTGGCACTTGTTTTTTAAAAATATCTCAAGATTAGCCAGGTGCAGTGGCTCACGCCTATAATCCCAACACTTTGGGAGACCAAGGCAGGTGGACTGCATGAGGTCAGGAGTTCGAGACCAGCCTGGCCAAACGGTGAAACCCTGTGTCTAATAAAACCACGAAAATTAGCCAGGTGTGGTGGCATGTGCCTATAGTCACAGCTATTCCAGAGGCTGAGGCAGGAGAATTACCTGAACCCAGGAGGTGGAGGTTGCAGTGAACCAAGATCTTGCCACTGCACTCCAGCCTGGGCTAACAGAGCAAGACTCCCTCTCAAAAAACAACAACAACAACAGCAGCAAACAACAACAACAACAACAAAACCCTCAAGATTACTGGGTATGCACTTTTGATAACACACTGTAGCCAGGTGTGGTGGTGTGCACCTGCAGTCCCAGCTACTTGGGAGGCTGAGGCAGGGGAATGGCTTTAGCCCAGGAGTTGCAGGCAGTTGCACTAGGATGGTGACTGTGAATAGCCGCTGTGCTCCAGCCTAGGTACCACAGTGAGACCCCATCTCCAACTAAAAAAAATGGCAAGGAAAAAAGACAACACACTGTAGACATGCATCGATGTCCACTAACCTGTAAGCAACTTGCCCTACTTGTCTTCATTGCTTTAAGACCTGATAGTGCCTGCTATATCGAATCACAGGACCTTAGTAAATGTTTATTAAATAAATCAAACCAAGTCCCTCAAAAACAAAAGCTTTAAAAACAGATTTCCCCACCTTGAAAAGCTTTAAAACAAAACAGAACAAAAAGCAAGTTAAGGCCAGGCGTGGTGGCTCACACCTGTAATCCCAGCACTTTGGGAGGCCAAGGCGGGCGGATCACGGGGTCAGGAGATAGAGACCAACCTGGCTAACACGGTGAAACCCTGTCTCTACTAAAAATACAAAAAATTAGTTGGGCGTGGTGGCAGGTGCCTGTAGTCCCAGCTACTCAGGAGGCTGAGGCAGGAGAATAGCATGAACTCAGGAGGCGGAGCTTGCAGTGAGCCGAGACTGCGCCACTGCACTCCAGCCTGGACAACAGAGCAAGACTCCAACTCAAAAAAAAAAAAGCAAGTTAACTCAAAGTAAGTAAAGGAGGGAAATAATAAAGAGCAGAAATGTATGTAACAGAAAATATACAATAAGGAAAATTAACAAAGCCAAAAGCTGGTTCCTTGAAATGATCAATAACACTGACAACCCCCTACCCAGGTAGATCCATCATGAAAAATAAGAGACAACACCAATCACTCATATCAGTAACGAAAAAGGTGTTGTTATCACTTTAGAATCTACAGATATTAAAAGGATAATAAGAAAATATGGTGCTAACAAATTTAACAACTTGGGTGAAATGAACAAATTTCTTGAAAACACAATTTAAAATCCACATAAGAAGCCAGGAAGGCCGGACGCGGTGGCTCGTGCCTGTAATCCCAGTACTTTGGGAGGCTGAGGCGGGTGAATCACCCCAGATCAGAAGTTCAAGACCAGCCTAGCCAACATGACGAAACCCCATGTCTAATAAAATATAAAAATTAGCTGGGCTTGGTGGCAGGTGCCTGTAATCCCAGCTACTCAGGAGGCTGAGGCAAGAAAATCGCTTGAAGCTGGGAGGCGGAGGTTACAGTGAGCTGTGATTGCACCACTGCACTCCAGCCTGGGCAACAAGCAAGACTCCATCTCAAAAAAAAAAAAAAAAAAAAAAAAAAAAAGAGGCTCAGGCACGGTGGCTCACATCTGTAATCCCAGCACTTTGGGAGGCCGAGATGGGTGGATCACTTGAGGCCAGGTGTTCCAGACCAGCCTGGCCAACACAGTGAAACCCCATCTATACTAAAAATAAAAATAATTAGCCAGGCATGGTGGTGTATGCCTGTAATCCCAGCTACTCAGGAGACTGAGGCATGAGAATTGCTTGAACCCGGGAGGCAGAGGTTGCAGTGAGCTGAGATCGTGCCACTGCACTCCAGCCTGAGCAACAGAGTGAGATACTGTCTCAAAAAAAAAAAAGAAAGAAAGAAAGAAAAAGAAAATCCATACAAGAAGAAATAAAGCATCTGAATAGCTTTTTCTAGTAAAAGAATTGAAATTACCAAGTATCTTCCCCAAAAAAAGAACCCAGAAGGTTTTAATAGCAAATTCTATCATAGATACAATGAAGAAATAAAATTGATCTTATAAAACTTTGTCAAACAAAAAAGAAAGAGAGATCATGGTCCAATTAATTCTATAAGGCCAGTATAGCCCTGGTACTAAAACCTTTTAAAAAAAAGAAAATAAAAATCATAGACCAATATTCCTCTTGAATGTAGACACAAAATCCTTAACAAAGCATTAACAATGGAATCCAACATATAATATTAGAATAGAATAATATGAAATATTAGCAATAGATTCCAATATAAAAAGGAAGATATATCATAACCAAGTAGCGTTTATTCCAAGAATGCAAGGTTGGCTTAACATCCAAATATTAACAAATGTAATTTGCCACTTTAACAGATGAATATGTGATGTATTAACAGAATAAAAGAGAACAATACATGATTGTTCCAATAGATGCAAAAAAATCATCAACACCCATTCATAATAAACAAAACTAGAAATAGCAGGAAATTTTCTCAAAATGATAAAGGGCATCTCATCTACAAAAAAGTACAACACAAACATCATACCTAAAGATAAAAGGTTTCCCCTGAGATTGTAAACAAGGCAATCACCACTCTATTTAATATTGTGGCTGTTCTAGACATTTTGATAAGGCAGAAAAACAAAAGCCATAAAGATCAGAAAGGAATAAATAAAACCATTCCTATTTGCAGATGATGACTGTGTCAGCAGAAAATCCCAGGGAATCTACATACCTACTACTGGAACTAAGAGTAATACACAAAAATATGTTTTATATATTAATACCAAAGAACTCAAATATAAAATTTCAAAAGCAATTCCATTTACAGAAGCACTAAAAAACATAAAATACTCAGGACTACATCTAATAAAAGATGTTCAAGCACTCTACACTGAACACTGTAAAAGATGACAGAGAGAAACTAAAGAAGACTTAGCTAGGTAGAGAGAGATACCAGGTCCATGGATCGGAAAACTCCATTTTAAGATAGTAATTCTCTCTAAATAGATCTAAAGATTCAAAGCAATCCCAATTAAAATTCCAGTAAGCTTTTCTGTAAAAGATGATAAAGTAATTTGAAAATCTATATAGACATGCAAAAGACCTGTAATAGCCAAAACAGATTTAAACAAAAAGAGCAAAATTGGAGGTCTAACAAGAACTAGCCCTACCTGACTTAAAGATTTACAGTAATCAAGACAGTTCTGTACAGTGATCAAGACAATTTTCTATCTACATGACTGGGTGCAATGGCTCATGCCTGTAATCCCAGCTCTTTGGGAGGCCAAGATGGGATGATCGCTTGAGCCCAGGAGTTCGAGGCAAGACAGCGAGACCCCATCTATGTTTTTTTTTAATCTTTTTTTCTTTTTTAAAAATAATTTTAAATAGAGACAAGGGTCTCACTATGTTGGCCAGGTTGGTCTTGAACTCTTGGCCTCAAGCAATACTCCCAATTGACCTCCCAAAGTGCTAGGATTACAGGCATGAGCCACCATGCCCAGCCCTGTCTCTATTTAAAAAAAAAAAAAAAAGTTTTGTATCCACATAAAGGAAGATAAATGTATCAATGAAACAGAATACAATATCTAGAAGTAAACCCATAAATATGTGGTCTATTGACTGAACAAAGGTGCAAAAACAATTCAATGGGGAAGGGAAAGTCTTTTCAATGTATGGTGCCTGATCAACCAGATATTTATATGGGAAAATATGAACATCATCTTTTACCTTATACCATATGCAAAAATTGACCTAAAAAAGATCATAAGCCTAAATGCAAAACCTAAAACTACGTAAATGCTAAGAAAAAAAAAATACAAGAAAAGATTTGTAAATGCTGGAGTTGGCAAAGGTTTCTTACAACACAAAACATCATGAAATATTAAAAAAACTGACAAATTGATTCATCAAAATTAAAAATGTTTGATCTTTGAAAGATGCCAGTGAGGGCCAGGCATGGTGGCTCATGCCTGTAATCCCATCCAGCACTTTGGGAGGCCGAGGCGGGTGGATCACTTGAGGCCAGGAGTTCGAAACCAGCCTGGCCAACATGGCATAACCCTGTCTCTACTAAAATTACAAAAATCAGGCCAGGCACCGTGGCTCACGCCTGTAATCCCAGCACTTTGGGAGGCCGAGGCAGGCGGATCATAAGGTCAGGAGATCGAGACCATCCTGGCTAACATGGTGAAACCCTGTCTCTACTAAAAATACAAAAAAATTAGCTGGGCGTGGTGGCAGACTCCTGTAGTCCCAGCTACTTGGGAGGCTGAGGCAGGATAATGGCGTGAACCCAGGAGATGGAGCTTGCAGTGAGCCAAGATTGCGCCACTGCACTCCAGCCTGGGCAACAGAGTGAGACTTCGTCTCAAAAAAAAAAAAAATCAGTCAGGTGTGGTGGTGCACACCTGTAATCCCAGCTACTTGGGAGGCTGAGGCACGAGAATCGCTTGAACCTGGGAGGCAGAGGTTGCAGTGAGCTGAGATCGCACCACTGGACTCCAGCCTGGACAACAGAGCGAGGAAAGACAAGAAAGATAGAAAGATGGAAGGAGAGGGAGGGAAGAGGAGGAGAGAGAGAGAGAGAGAAAAAGAAAGAGAGAGAGAGAGAGAGAGGAGAGAAGGAGGGAGGGAGGGAGTGAGGGAGGGAGGGAGGGATGGAAGGAAGGAAGGAAGGAAGGAGGGAGGGAGGGAGGGAGGGAGGAAGAGGGGAGGGGAAGGGAAGAGGAGAGGGGAGGGGAGGGAAGGGAAGGCAAAAAGGAAAGGAAAAAGGAAAAGGAAAGGAAAAGATGCCAATGAGGAAAGCAAAAAGCCAAGCCAAAGAACTTATATCCAGAATAAAGAACGTTTATTTATTTACTTACTTATTTTTTTTTTTTTTTGAGACAGAGTTTCACTCTTGTTGCCCAGGCTGGAGTGCAATGGCACAATCTCAGCTCACTGCACCCATACCTCCCGGGTTTAAGTGATTCTCCTCCCTCAGCCTCACGAGTAGCTAGGATTACAGGTGCTCACCACCAAGCCTGGCTAATTTTTTGTATTTTTAGTAGAAATGGGATTTCACTATGTTGGCCAGGCTGGTCTCGAACTCCTGACCTCGGGTGATTGACCCATATCAGCCTCCCAAAGTGCTAAGATTACAGGTATGAGCCACTGCGACCGGCCCAGAATAAAGAACCTTTAGAAGAGAAACCAATTTTTTTAAATGGCAAAATATTTGAACAGACACTTCACAAAAGAAAACATATGAACAGCCAATAAGCACAGGAAAGAGGCTCAATGTTATTAATCAGAGAAATGAAAAGTTAAGACCACAATGAGATACCATCACACACCCATTAGATTTGTAAAAATAAGAATATAGGCCTTGCCATATGTTGGCAAGGCTGTGGACCAACTAGAACCCTCCTACACTGTTTTTAAGAATGCAAAATGGCACAGTCAGTTGGGAAAACAGTTTAGCAGTTTCTTATAGAAGTAAATATACACTTATCTTATGAATCAATCATTCTACATCTAGGTATTTAACCAAGAGAAATTAAAACATATGTCTACCCAAATACTTGTACACAAATACTCATAGCCCCGTGGTTATAGCCAAAAACTTGAAACAACCTAAGTATCCATCAAAAGGTGAAGAGATAAACAAATTGTAGTACATCCATACAATGGAATACTAGTTAGCAATAAAAAGGATCTAACTATTGATACAGGTAACAACATGGAGGAATTTTTAAATAATTATGCTGAGTGAAAGTAGCCAGGCAAAAATGTAAACATATTGTGATTCCATCAATGTAAGATCTTAGAAAAATGTAAATTACTCTATAGTGACAGAAAGCAGATTGAGGCTATCCAGGGATAGGAGTGGAGAGCAGAATGACTTACAAAGGGGCACTAGGAATCTTTTGGAGGTAATGGAAATATTCATTATCTTGATTGTTTCACATATGTATGCGTATATGTAAACCAATCGAATTATACTCTTTCAATGTGTAGGTACTGTACTTCAATTATACCTCGGTAAAGCTGTAAGGAAAACACATTTTTTATTTCAGCACACAGGATTCCTACAGTCTGAAATTAATCTCTACCTCTTCAGAGACTGCCTTGGTGATTTGAGGTTTTTGTTCTGTTTTTAAAGAGATGGGGTATTTCTCTATCATCCAGGCTAGTCTCAAACAATCCTCCCACCTCAGCCTCCTGAGTAACTGGGATTACAGAAGCATGCCACAATGCCTGGTGTAAAAACCAGTGATTTGTTATTCTTCATCTAGCAATACTGAGAAGGGGCCAATCTAAACTGCAGTTGAAGAGGAAAGTGAGAGGGACAATTTAAAACTACATTCAGGGGCCGGGCGCGGTGGCTCATGCCTGTAATCCCAGCACTTTGGGAGGCCGAGGCGGGCGGATCACGAGGTCAGGAGATCAAGACCATCCTGGCTAATACGGTGAAACACCATCTCTACTAAAAATACAAAAAAATAAAATTAGCCGGGCGTGGTGGCGGGTGCCTGTAGTCCCAGCTACTGGGAGGCGGAGCTTGCAGTGAGCTGAGATTGCACCACTGCACTCCAGCTTGGGCGACAGAGCGAGACTCCGTCTCAAAAAAAAAACAAAGCAAAACTACATTCAGGGCCAATATATGTAAAATGTGTCACTGAACAAGGAAGTAGAGCTAACCTCCTATATCACTTGAAACAAAAAATCTATGTTTCTTCTCCATGAATAATTGAAAGAGAAGACTACTTACTCAAGGATATTTGCATAAAGGCTAGACTTAGGGAAAACAATGGGGTTCTCCCATATTCAACAGGTTAAAAGTAAATAAAGTTACTTTTAAAAGAGAAAACACAGTCAGACACAGTGGCTCATGCCTGTAATCCCAGCACTTTGGGAGGCCGAGGCAGGCAGATTACCTGAGGTCGGGAGTTCGACACCAGCCTGACCAACATGAAGAAACCCTGTCTCTACTAAAAATACAAAATTAGCCAGGAGTAGTGGTGCATGCCTGTAATCCTAGCTACTCGGGAGGCTTAAGGCAACAGAATCGCTTGAACCCAGGAGGCAGAGGTTGCGGTGAGCCGAGATCGCGCCATTGCACTCCAGCCCGGGCAACAAGAGTGAAACTCTGTCTCAAAAAAAAAAAAAAAGAAAAAGAAAAGAAAAAGAAAAAACACTATAAAATCTAAAGTAAAACTGAGCAGAATAGTTCTTCTCAAGCCTTGACAGTGTCCAAACACATTACGGGGCAGGGAGAGAAAAGGGAAAGGGCTCTCATGCTACCGCAAACCTCTGGTTTAGAAAATAGAAGCACCTGGCTCTCAGAAATTGAGTCCAAACATTCAACTCATAAACAGATCCTCCTCCTCTGATGCCATATTCATCAAGGGATTTTCTGGTTTTAATGTTTCCATATAGCTTTCCTTAGGGACAAAATACGTCAGTCAGAGTGAAGAGCTAACAGTTCTATTTCTCATTCTGAGTCAACAAGTTTCCACAGGATTCACACAGCAGTCTCCAGTGAGCTTTGTCAGGAGGAATCAATAGAAGGAAGTTTGGTGGGATAGGATGAGATGAGTAGTATAGTGGGCCCCTGAAGCTAGTCCCTGGAACAATGCCAGTTCATGACATATTAAAAATGATAAAGACAACAGAGTACATTTTTCATAAAGCTAAATTTATTTTCTATTATGAGATTATGCCCTTCTCAAATTTTTAATACTAAAATATCCTTCCTTATATGAAATTATAGTAATAGTAGATGATGTTCTTTTTATTGTTCTCACTTGGCAAAATATAAAGTTGGTAAGCCTATGTTCTCAAGTCTCAAAATATTTTTCAAATTGTAAATCACAAATTCTAGAAACTATTGGGCTGATAGGTAATGGATAATAAGTGTTCCACAAAGAAGTAACAGAGTGACTTCCAGATATCTAGGAGGCGGCCAGGGCACCACTAACAGAGCTCAAGGCCAAAATGTTTCAATAGTAAGAAAGAACAATAGGAAAATGGATAGCTTTGCATTTCAACACACCAACAATTATTTTATCTAATTCATTTACTGAGTGGCTATTAAATAAAACATTAAGTTCATTTCATAAGTTGAAAACTTTACAGTTGGAAATTCTTTTTCTGCCCTCACCAAAGGAAACAAAATAATCAAGATAAAAGATTAAGAAAATCTGCACAGTTTATTGAACACCTATGTGCCAGACATGCTAAACTTAAGAAAACCTCTAGAAACAAATAATTGGTCATTGTTCACACTGTTTCACTTTCAGATTCAACTTGCCCAAAAGAACTACACATCGAAGAGGACAATTTTTGAGGCAAAGGAATACACTCTTATAACACCAGGCTTAAACAAAATAAGGGAGAAAGGAGGTGTTCTTATCACAGAAGATCAAAACCAGAGCTTCCCATACCCCTGAAGTGCTGTAAAAGGGTTCTAGATGTGTAAGATAATTATCCCCTCAGCTCATGGGGACCTCCTCCCATGAGCAGCCTACTCTTGTTATATTCCGTGATGCCTCAGAGATGATAATTTTCTACATGTGCTACAATGTGAAATGCTGAGAAGCACTTTGGTTTAGATCAAAGCCAGTAGTTCCTGAATAAGTGCTAGAATGGTTCCATTAAGAATAATCTTGGGCCCGGGTGCAGTGACTCATGCCTGTAATCTCAGCACTTTGGGAGGCCTAGGCAGGTGGATCACCTGAGGTCAGGAGTTCGAAACCAGCCTTGCCAACGTGGTGAAACACTGTCTCTACTAAAAATACAAAAATTAGCAAGGTGTGGTGCGTGGGCCTGTAGTCCCAGCTATTCAGGAGGCTGAGGCAAGAGAACTGCTTGAACCTGGGAAGCAGAGGTTGCAGTGAGCCGAGATCGTGCCACTGCACTCCATCCTGGGCAACAGGGCGAGACTCCGTCTCAAAAAGAAGAAAAAAAAAAAAAGAATAATCTTGGCTGGGTGCAGCGGCTCATGCCTGTAATCCCAGCACTTTGGGAGGTTGAGGTGGGCAGATTGCTTGAGCCCACAAAATTGGGACCAGCCTGGGCAACACAGTAGAAACTCCACCTCTATGAAAAATGCAAAAAATCAGCCAGGCGTGGTAGTGCACTCCTGTATTCCCAGATACCCAGGAGGCTGCAGTGGGAGGATCACCTGAGCCCAGAAGGTGGAGGCTGCAGTGAGCTGTGATCAAACTACTGCACTCTAGCCTGGGCAACAGAGTAAGATCCTGTCTCACACACACAAAAAGAGAATGATCTGAGAAGTGTTAAAAATATGGATTCTTGAGTTCTACTTGTACACAATCTAATTCAGAAGATCTGCAGAGAAGCCTAGAAATGTGTATTTTAACCAAGTACACAGACAATTCCAATGAGCAATCAAATCTGAAAAACACAGGTCTGAATTATTCATACGAAGCCTAAAATATCATTATTCAATTTAGGGAAAATATTAAAATCAGTCAACAAAACTGGCTAATCCAGTAACACAATTATAAAATAGAAGAAATTATTGTGATCTTTCGAGAAGTGCAGGTTGTTTTTGCTGCCTATTCTTAATTTACTTGTAAAACTTTTCACATCTTTTATAGAAAAAAATAAACAAATTATCATGGTCACAATGTGGATCAGCTTGTTAGTGTAAAGATGAGATGTGGATTGGGAAGTCAGCAGTACAGAAACTTATATTAAAAGGTGGACAAGACTGAAGGAAAGTGAGCATGTGGCTTACTGAACAGATAAACAAATAGGAGGCTAGCCAAAAACTAGGCAGAATACAGCGAAAGCAAATCACAAACCAAAGAAAAGAGAGAGTGGTCAGCAAATCAATAGGTGGTTAATCAACTTCTTAAAACTTTAGGTTTACCATATTCTGTGTTGAGGCCCCATAATTTCACTTTATTAGCTTCATACTGGGCTTTCTTCTTTAACCGACAAGCTCTGTGAAAGGAAGGAGCAGTTAGTTCACTTTCTTTTTCTTAATTTTAATTTTATTATTTTTAATTACGGAGAAGGGGTCTCGCTATGTTGCCCAGGCTACTCTCCAACTCCTAGCTGCAAGTGATCCTCCCTTTTTGGCCTCCTAAAGTGCTGGGATTATAGGCATGAGGCACCATGCCCAGCCTGCTTTCTTTTTTAAGTGAATTTTCATCTTTCATTTTCTAATAGCAATCCAAAACTGCTGCCTACTGACATTTAACAAATAACTGAGTTACCAGAAAACACAACATAATCATTTATGCAAATTGATTTTTAAAAATTTAGCACACATTTAAAAATAAAGCTATATCAGCACACACCTATTAAAGTGGCTAAAAAACAAAAATAAAAACAAACAAAAACTGATAATACCAAAAGTTGTACAGGATGTGAAGCAAGTGGAACCCTCATGTGTTGCTAGCAGGAAAGTAAAACAGCACATATAGCTACTTTGGAGAATAGTTTGGCAGTTTCTTATAAGCATATATGCTTGGATATTTATCTAAGAGAAATGGAAATATATTCACACAAACATTTGTAAGTGAACATTGATGGTGGTTTTATTCAAAATTGCCAAAAACTGGAGGCAACCCAAATGCCCTTCAACTGGTGAATGGATAAACTGTAGTATATCCCCACCCAAAGGAATACAACTCAGCAACCAAAAGGAACAAATTATTACTCCAGGCAACAATATGGATGAATCTCAAATGTGTCATGTTGAGTGAAAGAATACAGATTCAGCTGGGCGCACTGGCTCACGCCTGTAATCCCAGCACTTTGGGAGGCCTGGGCAACATGGTGAAACCCCATCTCTACAAAAAATACAAAAATTAGCTGGGCATGGTGGGTCACATCTATAATCCCAGCTACTTAGGGGGCTGAGGCGGGAAGATCCCTTGAGCCCTGGAGGCAGAGGTTGCAGTGAGCTGAGATCAGGCCACTGCCTGTGTGACAGAGTGAGACTCTGTCTCAAAAAAAAAAAGGAAGACAGGTTCAATCAAAGGCTACATACATACAGTATATTCCATGTACATGACATTCTGGAAAAGGCAAAACTACGGAGACAGAAAACAGATCAGTAGTTTTGAGGGGCGATGGGTGCAGGAAGGGGTTTGCTTTTACAAAGAGACATAAGGAAACTTTTTAAGATGATGAAAATGTTCAATATCTTGATTGTGGTGGTGGTTGTATGATTGGATATGTTTGTCAAAACTCATAAAAGTATACATTAAAAGGTATACATTTTACTATAAGTTATAGCTCAATAACTCTGACTTACTAAAAAAGCAAACAAAAAATAAAGCTATGAAAAAATTTTTTATTGTTATACAACATAATGCACCAGAGTCCATTCATCTCTCCCCTCTTAAAAACTTTTTCCATAAAACAAAAATACCGTCTTCTACTTTCAAAAGAAAAATTATAATATTCTCATTGTAGTATTTATACAAGAAAAATACAATTTCTTTGTTGTCCTTCTATAAAAACTCACTTAGGGACTAACCTCACCTCCTAAACTTTCTTCACATGAGTGAACATTATTAGCATTTACCTGGAAGCCAGCTTATTTTTTTCCTTCCTTGACCTTGGTCGGGCTGTTAAGGGAAGCTCACTGACTGGAGTCAGGTCACTAATCACCTTATTCAGTTTCCGAAGTTCATTGCCTATCTGGAGGAGTTTTTTAGGATTTGGAGTCAGGTCTTCTACATCAGTTCTCCGTGACTTCTTTACTGCATATTTTCCTATAAACAGTTTAAAAGAAGTTTAAGTCAGATCACTTTAATTAACAAGAGACACGTTTTTCACGGCCACATTTTTAACCACTTCCCACCACTACCTTTTCTTTTCAGAAGTCTTGGCATGTTTCAGAAGTCTTAGCATGTTTAACAATCTATCCTAGAAGGGCTGGCCTCCTCTCCTTCCCATCTTGTGGCTGCAGGAAATGGGGGTGATATGGCAGAGTTCTAACTTTTTCCAAGTTCTTCCCTACCCTAGGCTTCTAGTTCCAGCATGACAGATTCTTCATTATTTGCATGGCATACTAAGCATCTCAAATCTCAGGATGAGTATGAGTTCAACTAAACACCAAAATCAGGACTAGGGTATAATACATAGTCGGAAGAGAGCTTGGAGATTTTACACAAACCAAGATGTTTCTGATGCTACGTCTGAAAACTGTCAGACATACACATTTTTGTATTGAACTTGAAAATCCAACAAGTAAGCATAACCTTGTTTAAAAGCTCTTCTTTTGTTGCTTTGATAAATAACATTATAGAAGACTCAAGGGGTCTTGGTCTATCACTCCAGGCAAAAGGGATGGCTCTGTCCTCTGAACTCCTACAACTTTCCTAGTATTCATATGCTACTTGGGATTATTGACTGGACTTAATGTTTCATTTCTAGTAGAAAACTTATCTGAAGGCAAAAGCTTGGTAATTATTTACTGAGAGACAATATAGTACACCTGGTTGCTAGTGGAAAAGGAAAATGAGACACAAACATACATCAGATGGAATTCTTGTCCTCAAAAATCCTTTGCAACTCACATTCGTACGATGAGTGAATAACCTGTTTACTGACCATCACACTTACTAGTAGTTCCCCTCCCCACTTTTTTCAGTAAAGACTTTGTATTAATTTTTTTTATTCAGAGCAGAAGAACTAGAAACTATGGATTAATTTAAAAATAACATTTGTGCAGAATAAATTCTACTTAATCACAGCTTCCTGAGTTCACAATAAAAAATTTGACCTACCTAAGACTGTCATTTTTAAAATTTTTTTAGAGACAGGATCTCACTCTATCGCCCAGGATGGAGTGCAGTAGCATAATCACAATTCACTGCAGACTCTAACTCCTGGACTCAAGTGATCCTCCCAAAGTGCTAGGATTACAACCATGAGCTGCAGCACACGGCCTGACCTACCTAAGATTATAAACTTCTGATTCCTGCTACAGGTATTCAACTCTTCTCTACAACTCCTTTTCTCCATAACCATCCTCCCTTTCTTTTCTTTCCTTGCCCTTTTATCCCCATTACCGTTTGAATTCCAGTCCCCCCATTTACATCTGGGGATTACACAAGAATGCAAGAGAGCCCGTTCACTTTCTCCTCAACCCTTCTGGTTATACCAACTGTGACAGGTCAGAAACCAGCAGCCTCCTAGTCATTTCCTGAATGGGGTAGGTAGATTAAGAAGGGACTAGAAATGAAATAATGTTTACACAGTCCTTCCTCTCCACTTAGGTGAGGACTCTTAACACTGGTAAAAGCTATTTGTGAGTGACGAAGAGTAGTCACACAAATGTAGCAGCTCTACAGTCCCCATCTCCAGTTTGCTAGGAAGGGCTGAATGCCTAGGTACACGGAGTAAACATTATGGATTAGTAGCTCAACTTGATTAAAGTGACACTAAATATCTGACTGCAATCCCCTCTTACCATGATGTAAGCCATTTTTCTGATACATATTACTTGGCAAAGTATCTCGGTTCCACTCAGATGGTCTCAGCATCCTCTCTTGCTGTGATGGTGTAAGTTGTTCACTATACTCCCAGAAGTATCTTCTTTTACCTCTCTTCCGTGAAGATATTGAAGTCACCTCCTTCAGGTCTTCTACAGAATCATTTTCATAGCCTTAAAAAAAGGTCCCGCAATTTTTAAGCTCCATAAATTTCAATAAATCAATCAGAACAAATGAAAAGACCCCTTCTATTTGTAACTTGGTATATTTCCTTGCATCTGAAAACATCATTGGCATGTCAAAGATAATAAACCAGGTCTATAAGAGAACTTTTAATATGTAAATCTCTAACTCATAAAACATTCCGAGATTAATAAACATAGATAACTACACTGTTCATCTTCCTTGGGTTTCTTTTTAGTTTTTATAAGTTAGTATACGATACTATTTTTATTATCTTCAAACAGGATTAAGAGAACAATTACAGGACAGCTATAGGAATATCAAAAGTACCATCAGATAATGGTACTTAGATACATAAACTATGATTTTTAAATGTCTTCCTTCTAATATTTGTATCTGAAACATCTCAGACAGAAAGCTATGTATACTTCTTTTTTTTTAAATATTTTTCTTTTATTTTAATTTTTAAAAAATTTTTTGTAGGCCAGGCGTGGTGGCTCACACCTGTAATCCCAGCACTTTGGGAGGCTGAGATAGGTAGATCACTTGAGGTCAGGAGTTTGAGACCAACCTGGCCAACATGGCAAAATCGTCTCTACTAAAAAACACAAAAATTAGCCAGGGCGTGGTGGTGCACGCCTGCAATCCCAGCTACTCGGGAGGCACAGACATGAGAATCACTTGAACTCAGGAGGCGGATGTTGCAGTGAGCCGAGATTGTGCCGCAGCACTCCAGCCTGGGCAACAGAATGAGACGCTCACTCTGTCTCCAAAAAAAAAAAAAAAAAAAAAAAAATTTTGTAGAGACAGAGGTCTCACTATGTTGCCAGGCTGGTCTCAAACTCCTGGGTTCACAAGCAGTCCTCTGGCCTCAGCCTCTGAAAGTGCTGGGATTACAGGCATGAGCCACCATGCCTAGCCCAGCTGTATACACTTCTATGATGGTGTTCTACTAGGCAGAATTCTATGTGGCAGCATTAGTTTTCTTCCTACCTGTCACACCACTTCTTTTGGAAAAGTATAAAAGATGACGGTTCTCACACTGGCTATCAGATAAAAAACTTATATGCCTATTCCAGTTAATATTTTATTGAAAGCTATTTGTATTAACGTCACTGTTTAAGAAGGGGGTATTTTCCTAATAGGAAGTTTCAGAAAATACTTAATTCTGAGTTGCTAGAACTGTTGGTCAGACCCAGTATTGAATGACCTATAAATCTAAAATACCCTCAGAGAATGGCCACCTCTGATGTACTCCAGATCATTAACGCTAGGTACATGAACAAGACGGAATGGGCTGTGCGAAGAATGTACACAATCCAAACCTAAGGTAACCAGGAAAACTTGGGCAGCATTGGCCATAAGTAAAAAGGTAATTTTTCCTTCCTGAAAACATAAGAAGGTGATGATATGTTTGCTTTGAGGAACTAAGTTTTCTCCAGACAAAGAATGAATCAGGAGCATGCTTCCATTTATATACTATTCTGGAAAAAGCAACCTATATGGACAGTGGTTGCCAGGGATTGGCAGTGGAGAAAAGGGATGACTATAAAAGAATATAAGGGGCCGGGTGCGGTGGCTCATGCCTGTAATCCCAGGACTTTGGGAGGCCAAGGTGGGCGGATCACCTGAGATCAGGAGTTCGAGACCAGCCTGGCCCACATGGCGAAACCTCATCTCTACTAAAAATACAAAAATTAGCCGGGCATGGTGGTGGGTGCCTGTAATCCCCGCTACTCAGGAAGCTGAGGCAGGAGAATCGCTTGAACCCAGGAGGCAGAGGTTGCAGTGAGCCAAGAGCGTGCCATTGCACCACAGCCTGGACAACAAGAGCAAGACTCCATCTCAATAAAATAAAATAAAATAAAATAAAATAAAATAGAAGAGGGAATTTTCGGGGGTGATCAAACTATTTGGTATTAGTGGTGATTACATGATTTGTCAAAACTCATAGAAGTGTACACTGTAAGAGGGGTGAATTTTACTGTGTGAAAATTATACCACAATAAACATGACTTTAAAAAAAAGAATCAATTTGGAAAGCAGAATGATTTCTGAGCAACAGTTAAGGCAAGCTTTTGTAGCACTGCTGGTATTAACAGCATTTTATTAGTGTACACGTGGTAGTTTAAAACAAAACAGCAAGCAGTGTGATGGTGACCCTTAGGCTCTTCTTTTTTTTTTGAGATGGAGTCTTGCTCCGTCGCCCAGGCTGGAGTGCAGTGGCACGATCTTGGCTCACTGCAAGCTCCGCCTCCCAGGTTCACACCATTCTCCTGCCTCAACTTCCTGAGTAGCTGGGACTACAGGCGCCCACCACCACGCCTGGCTAATTTTTTCTATTTTTTAGTAGAGACAGGGTTTCACCATGTTAGCCAGGATGGTTTCGATCTCCTGACCTCATGATCCACCCGCCACGGCCTCCCAAAGCGCTGGGATTACAGGTGTGAGCCACCGCACCTGGCCCCTTAGGCTCTTCTTAAAAAATGATGCACAAGTTGAGTGACACAATCATTTCTAGAAGTCTAATTTTTAAAAACTATATTAGAATAAAGCAATGGCTTTGGCCTATTTATTTGTGCTTATGTTTCTTTTCAAATGATAGGATTTATTTTGTTCTAGTTATCAACCTAGTTTTGGAAAAGATGCAAGGGCCATATGTTGCCAACAGAAATGGCCTTTAAAAAGGCCCTTGTGGCCAGGCACGGTGGCTCATGCCTGTAATCCCAGCACTTTGGGAGGCCGAGGCGGGCGGATCAGGAGGTCAGGAGATTGAGACTATCCTGGCTCACACGATGAAACCCCATCTCTACTAAAAATACAAAAATAAATAAATAAAAAGGCCCTCATGGCCAGGCACGGTGGCTCATGCCTGTAATCCCAGCACTTTGGGAGGCTGAGGTGGGTAGATCACGAGGTCAGGAATTCAAGACCAGCCTGTCCAACATGGCGAAACCATCTCTACTAAAAATACAAAAATCAGCTGGGTGTGGTGGCGCCCACCTGTAATCCCAGCTACTCAGGAGGCTGAGGCAGGAGAAGACTTGAACCTGGGAGGTGGAGTGCAGTGAGACGAGATCATACCACTGCACTCCAACCTGGGCAACAACAGCAAGATTCTGTCTCAATAAATAAATAAATAAATAAAAGGCCCTTGTTACACTAGGTAAGCAAAAATTACTGGCTCACAAGATTACCCTAGTTTGACTGTGAACACCTCAACACAGGCAGATGCACCAACCAAAACACTCCCACCTTCCTATCAATGTCAGTAATTGGGTGTTCCACACTTAAGCCTATCCCAGCCCAAAGCATAAGGGAAAAAATTTTATACACAGCTTCCTCAGCTGTGTGTGTACACACACACACACACACACACACACACACATATATACACACATACCATCCTCCTGGATACTTTATTTGATATACTCCCTTAGATAGTAACTACCTTTGCCTCTCTGCAAGGGGCCTGGATCTCTGGCAAATCACTGTCCCTAGTTAGGAAGGAGGTTGTTAGCTCCATTTATACGAACTAAAATGCTCATGGAGACTTGACATGATTTGGCACAGCTGGGACTAAGTCAGGCCCCACAACTCAAGGTGTCTCAGGGGCTTCCCACTTTTCTTGTGCCTAATTAAATGATCTGAATAGATTTTTTCCTGCATATATTTCATGTTAAGTTTAAAGAATCATGAAGATTTTTTTATTTCTTCTGTCCCACCCAAATTACAGTTTTATTACCTATAGGCATCCAGCCTTTTTCCCAGAAGTATTTAAAAGCCATCAGTTTTCTTTGACTTAATACAATAACATTTTCTAATAGCATACACCATAAATTCACCATCACAAAAATACACACACACACACACTCTCTCTCTCTCTCTCTCTCTCTCTCTCTGAATTTGTTGCCTAAAGCCATCCACCTTTCTTGGGACTGTGACTTGCTCTGTCACCCAGGCTGGAATGCAGCAGCATGATCACAACTCACTGCAGCCTCGACCTCCCCGGCTCAAGCAATCCTCCCACCTCAGCCTCCTGAGTAGCTAGGGCTACAGGCACATACCACTACACTGGGCTAATTTTTGTATTTTTTGTAGAGACAGGAGTCTCCCTATGTTGCCCAGGGTGGTCTCGAACTTGGGCTCAAGCAATCTTCCCATTTCAGCCTCCCAAAGTGCTGAGATTACGGGCATGAATTACCATGCTCAGCCACCATCCACCTTTCAATACAGAGACTATCAATGATCAAACAGAATGAAAAAAATTATGCCCCAAGATCACTGGTCTTGAATCTAGGGTCATTAAATATTTCTCAAACTAGATTCTGAAGAACACTGTTACCGTGAGATATGGTTTTACCCGAAGTGAATTCTGTAGTCAGGTAAGTTTTAAAATCTCTCATCCTGCATATCTCTCTTGCCAAATCACAGTACACAGACATGTTAAAAGATTAAGAAATCATAACAGTAAATAAACCCACTTAACACTAAATTCCATGAAGATAAAGATGTCTACTTTTTTCATCTCTGTATAGCCAGTACCTAATATACACAGTGCCTGCCACAAAAGTAGGCACTCAAAATTTTTTAAAACAAATTCATGATGTTGTTTAATGCAACATTTCCTATTAAGGCCTTTCCCTTTTCTTTTCATGTGATAGATCATCATACTAATCTAACTCATTGCTATCTGACATGATTACCAAAAAAAGTAACAAATACCACATTTACTGCCTAAAATTTCAATCACACATCTCTGGTTAGTACAGACTACTGTCAATAAGCTGGTAAAGTCAACTGTGAAGATGTTTAGTGAAAATTACAAAATAAATTCTCATTCTGTGAGCCCATTCTTAGCCTTACAATCATGTAATTTCATGACCCCAAACAGTTGTAGCCTGTCCACAGAAAAGGCTCTATTAAAATTTGGGAGCCAATCCAGAAAAGAGACTAAAACTCCATTTTGCACCTTTCCTGAAACTTTGTAGGCTCGTGAACTGTTGTAGCCAAGTGCCAAGAAACAGCATCAAGGGAGCTAGTCATCACAAAAGGACCTTTGTAAACTGTCAGCTATAAATTAAACCAATCAATCCACCCTAAACTAGCACTGAAGAAACTATAGCTATCCTTACTCTTTTGCTACAAAGAATTTCTTCCTGTTTCTCACCAGTAACTCACTTTTGCATCTTTAAAGTCACTTGTTTAGCTCTTCTAGGAAAAGGAGAAAATTTTACTAGCAAATGTGAATAAAGTCCAAATAATACCACAAAATTAACACAATTTTGTGGTGAAAGCATGCTGCTCATTAACATTTGTGAGAACTGTCCAAATAATATTAACCAAAAGGGTTTTACTTCAAGTCAACTGAAAGTGAATGAATTAAATGCCATCCACAAATTTGGGATAATTGTCAAATAGGTCCAAGAAGAGAACTTGACCCTGCCAAATGCCTGCTAATGTATAAAGCCACTGTCCTGTTATGTAAGAGCAACATGCTAATAAATAAGGCTTCTCCTACAAGGGTCAAGGGAAGAAAATGTGACATGTGACTAGTTCTGCCTCCCTGTGAGAGTCAAAGGGATGAGAAAATAAAAATGGCGATCAATTAACCATGTGATCTCCCTTCACAGACCTCCTTATCTCTCAACACATCCAGAAGGAATGAAGTCAAGAGATCAAGGATGAATTTAGAGTGGAGTTAAAGGTCAAAGAAAAGTATGGCCCCAAGCTCCAAAATGGTTCCCATGGACCCAAGCTAGCCCCAGCAGAACCTGGTTACAGGTCTACCCCAGCACCAAGCCAGCAGCTGCAGACCTAGGCTCAGGGCCCACCCATCCCTGGAGTCCTGGACTCCAGGCTCACACCCACAGTCCTAGTTGACAGGCCTGCCCCAAGAGACCCCCATGCCACGCTGGTGCCTGTGGAGTCAGGACCAAGTCCACTCCCACAGATACAGGTGCCAGGTAAGTTCTCGTGGATTCAGACTCAAAGCCCACCCCACTGCCGGTTCAGCTCCTATGGACCCAGGTTTCAGACTGACCCCAAATGATCCAGGCTCCAGGCCTGCTTCCACAGTACCAGGCACCAGGATGACCTCTACAGACCCAAGCCTCAGACCCACCTGGCTGCTGACTCCAGCAATAGGCCAGCCTACCCAAGGACTCCAGGAGCAAACTTGCCTGCAGAGCCCTTCAGCAAGCCCACCCAGAACCTCTAGATGACCTGACAAGTGAAGGGCTTTCCTTGGCAAAGCCAGTCTATAAAGACTGGAAGAGGAGTCCACATGTTTAAATGTATAGACACCAATTAAAGGCCACAAGGATCACAAATAATCAGGGACAAATGACACTAGCAAAGGAAGAAAATTAAGCACCAGCAACTGATCCAAAATAATGCAGATCTATGAACTTCCTAACAAAGAATTCAAAATAATTGTCTTAAAGAAGCTCAGTGAGCAACAAGAGAACATAGACAACCAAATGCAATCTAGAGCTGAAGAACACAAGGACTAAACTGAAATATTCCATAGGGCAATTCAACAGAAGACTTGATCAAACAGAAGAAAGAAGCAGTGAGCTCCAAGACAGGTCATTTGAAATTATCCAGTTAGAGGAACAAAAAGAAAAAGGAATGAAAAAGAATAAAGAAAGCCTACAGGATTTATAGGACACCATCAAGCAAAATGAAATGCACATTATAGGAATAGTGAAAAGAGTAAAGAAAGAGAAAGGGGCAGAAAGCTTATTTAAAGTAATAATGACAGGCCGGGCGCGGTGGCTCACACCTGTAATCCCAGCACTTTGGGAGGCCGATGGGGCAGATCACCTGAGGTCAGGAGTTCAAGACCAGCCTGACCAACATGGTGAAACCCCGTCTCTACTAAAAATACAAAAATTAGCTAGGTATGGTGGGTGTCGGTAATCCCAGCTACTCAGGAGGCTGAGGCAGGAGAATCACTTGAACCCAGGAGGCAGAGGTTGCAGTGAGTCAAGATGGTGCCACTGCACTCCAGCCTGGGCGACAGAGTGGCAAGACTTCGTCTTAAAAAAAAAAAAAAAACTTCACTAAGACACATTATAATCAAATTCTGGAAAGTCAAAGACAAACAGACTTTTGAAAGCAGCAAGAGAAAAGCAACTTGTCATATACAATGAAACTCTCATAAGACTGTCAGTGGTTTTCTCAGCAGAAACCTTGAAGGCTAGAAGAGAGTGAGATAACATATTCAAAGTGCTGAAAGAAAAAAAACCACTGGGCTGGGCATGGTGGCTCATGCAAGTAATTCCAGCACTCTGGGAGGCCAAGGCAGGTAAAATGCTTCAGCCCAGGAGTATAAGACCAGCCTGGGTAACATGGTAAAACCCCATCTCTACAAAAAAAATACAAAAATTAGCTGGGTGTGGTGGCATACACCTCAGCTACTTGGGAGGCTGAGGTGGAAGGATTGCTTGAGCCCAGGAGATTGAGGGTGCAGTAAGCTAGGATCACGCCATTGCACTCTAGCCTGAGCAAGAGTTAAGACCCTGTCTCAGAGAAAAAAACAAAAACAATACCCTACAAAGAACACCATATCCAGCAAGCCAGCTGTCCTTCACAAATGAAAAAAATAAATAAAAGCTTTCCTAAGTTGGGCATGATGATGCACATCAGTAGTTCCAGCTACTCAAGAGGACTGAACTGGGAAGATTGCTTAAGCTCAGGAGTTCAAGACCAGCCTGAGTAACACAGTGAGACCCTCTCTCTTAAGGGAAAACAAAAAAGACTCCCAGAAAACAAAAGCTGAGGGAGTTCATCACCAGTAGGACTGCTTCACAAGAAATGTTAATGGGAGTTCTTCAAGTTGAAATGAAAGGATGCTAACTAACAGCATGAAAACATATGGGTTGGGGGGGAGCGGTGTGGCTCACGCCTGTAATCCCAGCACTTTTCGAGGCTGAGGTAGGTGGATCACCTGAGGTCAGGAGTTTGAGACTAGCCGGGCCAACATGGTGAAACACTGTCTTTACTAAAAATACAAAAATTAGCAGGGCGTGGTGGTGGTCACCTGTAATCTCAGCTACTCAGGAGGCTGAGGCAGGAGAATCGCTTGAACCCGGGAGGTGGAGTTGCAGTGAGCTGAGATCACGCCACTGCACTCCAGCCTGGGCGAGAGAGTGAGACTCCATCTCCAAAAAAAAAAGAAAAGAAAAACATGAAAGTATAAAATTCACTGTGTAAAAATAAGAACAGTCATATTCAGAATGCTCTAATACTGTAACAGTGGTATGCAAAACACTTTTAATGCTAGTATAAAAGTTAAAAAGGCATTAAAAATAACTATATATAAAATAATTTTGGCTGTGCATGGTGACTCACACTACTAATCCCAGCACTTTGGAGGGCCGAGGTGGGCGGATCACTTGAGGTCAAGAGTTTGAGACCAGCCTGGCCAACATGATGAAACCCTGTCTCTACTAAAAAAAAAAAAAAAAAAAAAAAATTATATATATATACACACACACACACACACACACACACACACACACACACACAAAAGATTAGCCAGGTGTGGTGGCAGGTGCCTGTAATCCCAGCTACTTGGGAGGCTAAGGCAGGAGAATCATTCAAACCTGGGAGGAGGAGGTTGCAGTGAGCCAAGGTTGCAGTGAGCCAAGACTGTGCCACTGCACTCCAGCCTGGATGACAGAGCAAGACTCTGTCTCAAAAAAAAAAAAAAAAGCTATATATAAAATAATTTCTTAAGGGATACACAATATGAAAAGATGTTAACTGTAGTATCAATAAAAAGTGTAAAGTGTAGAGATTTTACATATAGCCGAAGTTAAAACTATTACCAGCTTAAAAAAGACTTGTGTTTTATGTAAGCCCCATGATAATCACAAAGAAAAATCTGTAGTATAGATAACACAAAAGATAAAGAAAAAGGAATCAAAGCATACCACTACAAAAAACCAGCAAATCACAGAGGAAGAGAGCAAGAGAGGAAGTAACAAAAGGACTATAAAACAGTCAGAAAACATTAACAAAATGGTTAACAGTAAATCCTTACCTATCAATACCCAGTAAAATGATATAGAGTGGCTGAATGAATAGAAAACCAAGAACCAACTCTATGTTGCCCACAAGAAAATCACTTTAGCTTTAAGGATGCATATAGCCAGGCATAGTGGCTCACACCTGTAATCCCAGCACTTTGAGAGGCCAAGGCAGGCAGGTCACTTGAGCCCAGAAGTTCAAGACCAGCCTAGGCAACATAGGGAGACCTCATCTCTACAAACAATACCAAAATTAGCTGGGTATGGGGGTGCATGCCTGTAGTCCTAACTACTCAGGAGACTGAGGTGGGAAGATTGCTTGAGTCTGGCAGGTCAAGGCTGTAGTGAGCAGTGATTGCACCACTGCACTCCAGCCTGGGCAACAGAATAAGAACCTGTCTCAAAAAAATAAAAAGGATGCATGTAAGCCATAAGTGAAGAAATGAAAAGAGATATTCCATGGAAATGGCAACCAAAAAGGACAGAGCTGGCTATACTTACATCAGACAAAATAGATGTTAAATCAAAAACTGTCACAAGAGGTGGCACACACCTATAGTCCCAGCTACTCAGGAGGCTGAAGCAGTGGTACTGCTGGAGCCCAAGTAGTTGACACTGCAGTGAGCTGTGATAGTACTGGTGCACACCAGCAGCCTGGGTAACAGAGTAAGATTCTGTCTCAAAAAAAAAAAAAAAAGTAAAAAAATAACAACTATCACAAGACAAAGAAGGTCTTTATATAATAATAAAGGGTTTGTTGATTTATCAAGAGGTTGTATACATAGTAAATGTATGTACTCCCAATATCAAAGCACCTAAGTAAATGAACCAAATATTAATAGAACTAAAGGAAAAAACAGACGGTAATATAGGGGACTTCAACACTCCATTTTCAACAATGGATAGATCATCAGAATATCAATTAAAAAAACAATGGATTTGAATAACACTTCAGACCAAATGGACCTAACAGACATATATAGAACATTCTGACAGCAGCAGAATATATACTCTTTTCAAGCACAGACAGAACATTCTCTAGTTTAGATCATATGTTAGGCCACAAAACAAGTCTTACTTAACAAATTTAAGAAGACTGAAATAATACCAAGTATGATATTTTGGCAACTGTATAACTAGAAATCAGAAGGAAATCAGAAGGAAATTGAGACCATCCTGGCTAACACAATGAAACCCCATCTCTACTAAAAAATACAAAAAATTAGCCAGGCGTAGTGGCGGGCGCCTGTAGTACCAGCTACTCAGGAGGCTGAGGCAGGAGAATGGCTGAACCCGGGAGGCGGAGCTTGCAGTGAGCAGAGATTGCGCCACTGCGCTCCAGCCTGGGTGACAGAGCGAGACTCCATGTCAAAAAAAAAAAAAAAAGAAGGAAAATTGGAAAATTGACAAATAGGTAGAAATTAAACAACAAACTCCTGAACAACCAATGGGTCAAAGAAATCAAAAGAGGAATAGAAAAATATGTTGAGACAAACAAAAATGGAAACACAACATATCAAAACTTACGGGATAAAGCAAAAGCAAATCCAAGAGGGAATCTTATGGTAATAAACAACTACGACAAAGAAAAAAAAAAGATCTCAAATAAACAACCAAACTTTACACCTCAAGGAAGTAGAAAAAGAAGAACTAACCCAAAGTTAGCAGAAGGAAGAAAATAACAAAGATCAGAGCAGAAATAAATGAATTAGACACTAAAAAACAATAGAAAAGATCAATGAAGAGTTTTTTGTTGAAATGAAAACAAAATTCACAATCTTTTAGCTAAATTAAGAAAAAAGACTCAAATCAATAAAATTATAAATGAAAGAGGAGAAATCAGATTTAATACCACAGAAATGCAAAGAATCATTAAGGACTACTATAAACAATTATACACTAACAAATTGAATAACCTAGAAGAAATGGATAACTTCCTAGAAACATACCAAGACTGAATCATGAAAAAAATAGAAAAGTTCAACAAACCAATAACAAGAAAGAACACTGAATCAGTAATCAGAAACTGTCGGCCAGGCACGAGGGCTCACATCTGTAATCCCAGCACTTTGGGAGGCCGAGGCGGGCAGATCAACTGAGGTCAGGAGTTCCAGACTAGCCTGGCCAACATGACGAAACTTCATCTCTACTAAAAATACAAAAATTAGCCAGGCATGGTGGTGAGTGCCTGTAGTCCCAACTGCTCAGGAGGCTGAGGCAGGAGAATCACTTAACCCTGGAGGCGAAAATTGCAGTGAGCCGAGTTCATGCCACTGCACTCCAGCCTGGGTGACAGAGCAAGACTGTCTCAAACAAACAAAAACTCTCAATGAACTAAAGCCAAGGGCCTGCTGACTTCACTAGTAAATTCTACCAAATATTGAAGGAAGAATTAATACCAATCCTTCTCTAATACTTCTAAAGAAATGTAGAGGAGAGAACATTTCCAAACTCATTTTATGAGGCCAGTATTACCATGATACCAAAACCAAACAAGAACACACGAGGTAAGAAAATCACAGGCCAGTACCCCTGATGGACATGGATGCAAAAATCCTCAACAAAATACTAGCAAGCCATGTTCAACAGCACACTAAAAGGATCATACATCATGATGAAGTGGGATTTATCTTTGAGATGCAAGGATGATTCAATATATGCAAATCAATCAATGATATGCCACATTAACAGACTGAAGGATAAAAACAATATAATCGTCTCAATAGATATGGAAAGAACATGTGACAACATTCAACATGCTTCAAGATCTGAAAGAATTTGCTTTAAAAAATCAACATGCTTTCATGATAAAATAAAATTTAACAAATTACATATAAAAGGAACGTACCTCAACATAATAAAGGCCATACACGACAAACCCATAGCTAACACCATACTCAGTGATGAAAACCTGAAAGCTTTTCCTCTAAGACCAGGAACAAGATAAGGATGCCCATTCTCTCAACTACTATTCCATGTATTGATAATACTGGAAGTCCTATCTAGAGAAATTATGCAAAAGGAAAGGAAAGGGAAGGGGAGGGGAGGGGGAAGGGGCAAGAGGGGAGAGGAGGGCAGGGGAGGGACTGGACACAGAAAGGGGAGGGGAGGGAGGAGAGGGGAGGAGAGGGGAGGGGAGGGAAGGGAAGGGAAGGGAAGGGAAAAGGAAAGAGAAAAGGAAGGGAGGGAAGGGAGGCAGGGGAAGAAAGAAAACAAAGAAGGAAAGGCATCCAAATAGGAAAAGAAATTGTCTCTGTTAGTAGATGACATGATCTTGTATCTAGAAAACCCTAAAGACTTCACCATAGGCTGGGCGCAGTGGCTCACGCCTGTAATCCCAGCACTTTGAGAGGCCAAGGCGGGCGGATCACAAGGTTAGGAGATCGAGACCATCCTGGCTAACACAGTGAAACCCCGCCTCTACTAAAAATACAAAAAAATTAGCCGGGTTTGGTGGCAGGCACCTGTAGTCCCAGCTACTCAGGAGGCTGAGGCAGGAGAATGGCATAACCCGGGAGGCGGAGTTTGCAGTGAGCCCAGATGGCGCCACTGCACTCCAGCCTGGGCAACAGAGCAAGACTCTGTCTCAAAAAAAGAAAAGACTTCACCATAGAACTGTTAGAACTAATAAACTAATTCAGTAAAGCTGCAGGATACAAAATCATTATTCAAAAATCACTTGTGTTTCTATATGCTAACAACTATCCAAAAAAGAAATTAGAAAAAAATCCCATTTACAACAGTATCACACTAAAAAAAAAAAACTTAGAAAAAAATTTAACCAAGAAAGTGAAAGATCTATACATTGAAAACTATACAACATTGGTGAAAGAAACTGAAGACACAAATAAATAGAAAGATATCCTATGTTTATGGATTGGAAGAATTAATACGGCCAAAATATCCATATCACCCAAAATGAACTACAAATTCAATGCAATCCTTAAACAAAGGGAAAAAGACCCTAAAACTCATATGAAATCACAAAAGATTCTGAATAGCCAAAGCTATCTTGGGTAAGAAAAACAAAACTGGAGGCATCATATTATCTGATTTCAAAATATATTACAAAGCTTTAGTAATTATAGGCCAGGCACGGTGGCTCATGCCTGTAATCCCAGCACTTTGGGAGGCCGAGGCTGGCAGATCACGAGGTCAGGAGATCGAGACCATCCTGGCTAAGACAGTGAAACCCCGTCTCTACTAAAAATACAAAAAAATTAGCTGGGCGTGGTGGCGGGCGCCTGTAGTCCCAGCTACTTGGGAGGCTGAGGGAGGAGAATGGCGTGAACCTGGGAGGCGGAGCTTGCAGTGAGCCAAGATCGGGCCACTGCACTCCAGCCTGAGCAACAGAACGAGACTCCATCTCAAAAAAAAAAAAAAAAAAAAAAAGCTATAGTAATTATAACAATATGGTACTGGCATAAAAACAGACATATATACCAATGAAACAGAGAGCCCAGAAATAAATTCCCACATTATGTCCAATTAATTAATTCTTGGCAAAGGTGCCAGAAACAACAATAAGTAAAGGATAGTCTCTTCAATAAATGGTTATGGGAAAACTGGATATTCAAAGGCAAAATAATGACACTGGAGACCCTTATCTCATACCATATTGAAAAATCAACTCGAAATGGATTAAAGACTTAAACATAAGAACTAAATAATAAAAATACTAGGAGAAAACATGAAAAAGGATTCTTGACATTGGTCTGGGCAATGATTTTTTAAATGTATAATTCTAAAAGCACTAGCAACAAAAGCAAAAATAAAACAAATGAGATTGCATCAAACCAAAAAGCTCCCACAGAGCAAAATAAACAATTAACAGAGTGAAGGGACTACCTATGAAATGAAAGAAAAATATCTGCAAACCATACATCTGATAAGGAGTTAATATCCAAAATATACAAGGAACCCAAACAATGTAATAGCAAGAAAACAATCCAATTAAAAAATGGGCAAAGGACCTGAATAAACATTTTTAAAAAGACATCCAAATGGCCAACAAGTATATGAAAACATGCTCAATACCACTAATCATCAGAGAAATACAAACGAAAGCCACAATGAGATATCACCTCATACCTGTCGGCATGGCTATTACCAAAAAGATAAATGAAAGCAAGTGTTATTGAGGATGTGGAAAAAAGAGAACTCTTGTAAACTATTAGTGGGAATGTAAATTGGTACAGTCATTATGGAAAACAGCATGGAAGTTCCTCAAAAAATTAAAAATAGAACGATCATATGATCCAGCAATCCCACTTCTGGGGATACAGCCAAAATAAATAAAGCCAGTATCTTGAAGAGATATCTGCATTCCTATGTTCATTGCAACAGTATTCACATAATCCAAGATAAGGAATCAACAAAGGGGCCAACAATGAACATATACATAAAGAAAATGTGAGAGTTATACGCACATGCCCACACACACAGGAATATTATTCAGCCTTAAAAAGAAAGGAAATCCTGTCTTTGTAATAACATGGATGAACCTGGAAGACATCATGCTAAGTTAAATAAGCCAGGCACAGAAAGACAAATACAGCATGATCTCATTTACATGCGAAATCTTAGAAAAAAAGTCAAACTCAGGATCAGAGAGTAAAAAGTAGAATGGAGGTTGCCAGGGGCTGGTGGGTGGGGGAAATGGGAAGATGTTGGCCAAAAGGTACAAAGTTTCAGTTATGCAGGATGAATAAGCTCTGGAGATCTAACATACAGCATTGTGACTACAGATAACAATACTGGGCTGGGTGTGGTGGCTCACGCCTGTAATTCCAGCACTTTGGAAGGCTGAGGCGGGCAGGTGGCTTGAGTTCACAAGTTCAAGACATGCCTGGGCAACATGGCAAAACCCCATCTCAACAAAAGATACAAAAATTAGCTGGGCATGATGGTGCACGCCTGTGGTCCTAGCTACTTGGAAGGCTGTGGTGGGAGGGTGGCTTGAGCCAGGGAAGCAGAGGTTGCAGTGAGCCAAGATTGTGCCACCGCACTCCAGCCTAGGCAATTGAGCCATATCTTGTTTCAAAACAACAACAACAACTGTATTGTGTAGGCCAAATTTGTTAAGAGAGTAGATCTTAAATGTTCTTACCACCCTACTATGTGAAGTGATGGGTATGTTAATTAGCCTGATTTTAGTAATCATTTCACAATGTATACATATGTAAAAACATGTTGTACACTTTAAACGTATACAATTTTTATTTGCCAAACATACCTCAATAAAGCTGGGGGGAAAAAGTCAAAGAAAAGCAAAACTACAATCAAAAGTCAGGTAGATAATATAGTCCTTGCTGCCTTGGTGATGGTAGGATTTACTGACTCCTTCTGATCTATATATTCCTTTAAGCACCAGCTGCTAAAGGCATTTCCTTCCCCACATTTGCCATTTCCCTTAATTACCCATCCTCTCTTTGTTTCACCCTTCCCCTCCCTGCTCCTAAATACGAGACTCAAAGCAACAGGACCAATCTGTCAAGACTTTAAGGACCACTTATGAAGAGCACTATGATCTTCCAAGTGCAGGGAGTTATATAAATTACCCCTACCTACAAAGTCAAGTCTCCTTGAAATATCTCAAAGCAGATTTTATTCACTTGCCAAGAGAAAAATTTTCCTGTATTGTAAAAAGACATTATTCTACCTAGACTATATAGAGTTGTACAGTAAACCAATGAAGAAGGCACAATCCCTTTTCTTCCATATTCAAGTACCTTTTACTTACCTGAAACTCCACCCAAATCAAAAAATGTTTGTGTCAAATGCATAAATCAAAGCATTTGTGTAATAGAAAGATTTCACCAAAGGAAAAATTCTTTTAGTAAGAATAATGTTTCACTAGTTACAATATAGGTATTATGCTTTAAACGCCTTTCAGAAAATTAAATATCTATGTTTATACTGCCTGAAATTCCAGCAATCATCATTATAACAAAAGGGCTCTCTTTGATAGTTTTTTTTTAAATAATAACTTAGTTTTCATGCAGAGTTAGTACCAACAATATTTTTGAAGAAGATAACTTTAGTTTAAATTTAAAGATCTTTACTTCTTTGTGCATTTTCAACCATGTGCCACTTGGCAATACTATTTTTATAAATAAACTGCACAAGCCAACAGCGCCAAAAGCCCAAGCATGTAAATGCTAAAGTGAACCAGTTCCCCCAGAGATTTCATTTTCTTTGTCCCTTTTATTTATATGCGCTGTATATAAATAAAGCAGAGTCTCCTTCATGCTCACCAAATTACAGCATGTATTTTTCTTAAATAGGAAAATACGATGTAAATTAAAATGTTAGCAGACACAAAGAAAATGCTTTTACATTATTCATAAATAGACTTTGTTGGGTATTGGAATGAGTAATATAAACCATCATCACTTGGTTCAACATTCTATATACTCCTAACTTATCTCAACTATAATAGAGAGACACATGCATAAACAGTAATATTTTTATTTATTATTTTTTGTTGTTATTGAGACAGACTTTCACTCCTGTTGCCCAGGCTGGAGTGCAATGGTGCGATGTCAGCTAACCGCAACCTCAGCCTCCTGGGTTCAAGTGATTCTCCCGCCTCAACCTCTGGAGTAGCTGGGATTACAGATGCGTGCCACCACATCTGATTTTTGTATTTTTAGTAGAGACAGGGTTTCGCTGTGTTGGCCGGGCTGGTCTTTAACTCCTGACCTCAGGTGATCCGCCCACCTCGGCCTCCCAAAGTGCTGGGATTACTAACGTGAGCCACTGCGCCTGGCCCTAAACAGGAATATTTTTTAAACCAATAAATTATTGGTGTCTTTGCATAAATGCTCAAGAGAGTGACAAAACAGGTCACTTAACATAAGATACATTAAGAATAAGTCCTCAGCTGGGCACAGTGGCAAGCTCTCATCTCTATTTTAATTTTAAAAATAAGAAATAAAATAATAAAAAATAAGCCCTCAAGGAATCAGCTTATGAATCCCTATGTGAGCAAAAGTGATCATTTTAGAGCTATTTGAATAGAAAAACCAATTACATATCCAATCCAAGGTTTAAGTCATTTAATTCCCAAACTAAAATAAAGAAATTATCCAAACAAAACAGAAACAAAAACCTTTCTATTTCAAAATAGTAATACAAAGGTCAGTCTGGTAAGCTTGCAAGCATTATAATACCTGGTTCAGAGAAAGTATCACTAATATCATCATCCTTGTCATCTTCATAATCCTCTTCCTCTTCTTCCTCCTCCTCATTTTCAGACAGTTCATGCTCACTGCCGAATCCTTCATCATGGTCCTCATCATCAACATCCTCCTCGTCCTCCTCATCTTCTTCAGGACTGCATTTAGTTGGCTGTTCACCCAAGTTGTCGGAGACAAAAAGAGAATAATTGTGCTCTTCTTTTTTCTGGGATGAATCTGAGACTGATGTACTGGCAGAAAGACTGCTGCTCTCTCCTGCTGCAAGTGACCCAGGACCTTCCTGGGGCAGGGGACTTAGTAATAGTTCCTGGGTTTCTTTAAAAGGCAAAGCGGGAGTGGCATGACCTTGAAGAGGCTCCATCCCTTTTTTCTCTTGTCTCTTTGCCACTGCACCACAGTAGCAGGTGTTCTCCTTTGCTGCATCTGTGTGAATCTGGCTCAACAAGGGCCGGCTCTGTTGCACTGGGTTGATCTTTACCTTTGCCTTTTTTACATAGTCTTTACATTCAACATGAAAGTTCACCTTTTCATTATGATACATGTTGGTCTTCACCATGATTTGTGTGCTTGAAGTGGGTTTACTTGCTTTTTGGACACAGTCTGACAAAGGGACCTCAGCCTGCAGAGTCTTAGAAGAACACACAGGAGCAGCTGCTCTGCTTGTGATCTTTTTACCAGGGAATGAAGAGGGTAAGGGATTTTGTTTGACACTGAAAAGTGAATCGGGGTAATAAAGGGAATCAGAAACAGACTGTGAGTCCTCACTATTAAGTTGAGCTAAAGTTGGAGTTTTACTTATAACCTCTTCATCTTGGTAAGGACTAGAAAAGTCATCAAGACCCAAGTAATCCACTTCTTTTGTTCCCCAGATGTCACAGCTGGTTAGTTTGGTATATTTCGTTAGGTCTTCACAGTATGTATCCCACTGTTCCCAGTTTGAGGTTAAAGCACCCTCATTATCCAGGACATCTGTGAAAGACTCCAGATTTTCAATGTCTTTGCAGTCCTCCAAAGAAAGAAAGTTGTCTCTAGGATTCTGTTGGTAGTTCATCTCTCTATCCTGAGAAAGGTTTTAAAAAAGAAATTGCACATCATATTTCAGAAGGAAATATTCACCTCCATATGTCAAACTGATAAATCAATACTTGACTTTTGGTCTGTTTTAACATAAAGGCTACTGACAGGACGCTTTATCATTTCATATAATGTCATCATTTCCTTAGGCAAGAAAAAGTAGAATGAAAATAAAACAAACAAAAATCAATTAAAAATTAAATTTAAAAAAGACGGAAAGTGTGTCCCTTGAGAGGCTCAGGTATGATCCAAATATCAAGGGCTCTTGAGTTTACCATAAACATTCTGCCTGAAAAAAGTTTACATTTCCTTATCTTAGAAGGATTTTGGGATCTCCTTAGTGGTGGTAGGGTGGGGGCAGGGGGAGACACTTCAACTAAAAAGCAAACAATGTGATAAGTGAGAGAGAAGAATTTAAAATATTAACAATGAAAATAATAAAGACACCCTCATTACAGAAGAGGATATCTTTTTAGTGGGAACTTAAATATAGAGGCAAAGAGCAATCCAAAGAGAGTTGGAATTCAACCACAGAATGGTAAGATCTTTTGCAAGACCTTATAACAACACTTGGGCAGGCAGAGTAAAATACTCCTCACGAATTTTAGAGATGATTTTTTTTTCTTTTTTTTTTTTTTTAAAGTAGAGACAGGGCTTTACCATGTTGACCAGGCTGGTCTCAAACTCCTGACCTCAAGTGATCTGCCCACCTTGCCCTCCCAAATTGCTGGGATTACAGGCATGTGCCACTGGAGATGTCAATTTCAAATATCAGTTAAGACTCTGCAGCCATTGAAATGAATGCAGCATAGCTCTAATGTACAAATATGAAAGACTGCCCACCATATATTTTTATTTTTAAAAGAGCAAGTTACAGAAAACTGTTATCTATATTATCCAATTAAAAAGTATATACAAAAAAACTATATACATATGTTTACATATGCATGGAAAAGAACCTGTTAGTTACGTTTTGGTAAAAGGTTTGGAAGGTGGAGGCACAGAAAGAAAATGAGGACGTTTTGAGTCTTCCAGAGTTATTTTTTTTCTTTAATTTTTGGGGTGTGTGTGTGTGTGTGTGTGTTGTCTGTGTATGGGTTTTTTTTTTTGTTTTTTTTTTTTTTGAGATGGAGTCTCACTCTGTCACCCAGACTGGAGTGCAGTGGCGCGATCTTGGCTCACTGCAACCTCCTCCTCCAGATTTAAGAAATTCTCTGCCTCAGCCTCCTGAATTGCTGAGATTACAGGCACGTGCCACCATGCCCAGCTAATTTTTTTGTATTTTTAGTAGAGATGAGGTTTCACCATCTTGGTCAGGCTGGTCTTGAACTCCTGACCTTGTGATCCACCTGCCTCAGCCTCCCAAAGTGCTGGGATTACAGGCATGACCACTGCGCCCGGCCTGTCTGTGTATGTTTTAACAGCTTTACTGAAGTATAATTTCACATACCATAAAACCAACCTATATTAAGTAGACAATTCAATAATTTTTAGTAGATTTATGCATTTGAGCACTCAGTTTTCCAGTTTTTATATATTTTTGTGTTATTTCAATTTTATGTAATTAAAACTGTTTTTAAAATGTTTTTCTTCTGAATTTTAAGTGTCTATTTACCTCAAGAATAAATGATTAAGTATATGCAGATCCTGTTTGGAATTGTTATTTTTGTGCCACATTCTTTATGTCATTCACATGCCTTGCTCAATGTTTTCCAGCTGAAAAGCCCATTATCTTTATCAAAAACTAGATTTGAAGATATTTAGATAATCTTTTACCATTTTTGATGCATTCATTTTTTTTTTTTTTTTTTGAGACGGGGTCTTGCTCTTGTTGCCCAGGCTGGAGTGCAGTGGTGCAATCTCCGCTCACTGCAACCTCCGTCTCCCAGGTTCAAGCAATTCTCCTGCCTCAGCCTCCTGAGTAGCTGGGATTACAGGCACCCACCACCACACCCAGCTAATTTTAGATTGCGCCATTGCACTCCAGCCTGGGCAACAGGAGCGAAACTCTGTCTCAAAAAAAAAAAAAAAAAAAAAAAAAAAAAGAATGTATTTGATGAAGCAATATTGGCTGCCCTGGAGCCTCCAGAATGGAAGAAGAGCTGCAGGTGTGTGTGGCTATGACCATCTCTCCAGAGCCCTTTCTGCACAGCTGCTGTCGGCATCATACTAAAAGCAATGTTTAAGGCCGGGCACGGTGGCTCACACCTGTAATCCCAGCACTCCGAGGTGGGTGGATCACGAGGTCAGGAGTTCGAGACCAGCCTGACCAATATGGTGAAACCCCATCTCTACTAAAAATACAAAAAATTAGCCGGGTGTGGTGGTGCATGCCTGTAATCCCAGCTACTCGGGAGGCTGAGGCAGGAGAATCGCTTGAGCCTGGGAGGCGGAGGTTGCAGTGAGCCGAGACTGTGCCACTGCACTCCAGCCTGGGCTACAGAGCGAGACTCCGTCCCAAATAAATAGATAAATAAATAAATAAAAGCAATGTTTAAATCAAACTAAAGATTAAAAATTAAAATTCAGGCAGGTGATCCACCCGCCTCGGCCTCTCAAAGTGCTGGGATTACAGGCATGAGCCACCATACCCAGAAGCATCCTTTTTCTTTTTGAGACTCCAGTCTGCCAGACTGGAATGCTATGGGGCGATCTTGGCTCACCACAACCTCTGACTCCCTGGTTCAAGCAATTCTCCTGCCTCAGCCTCCCGAGTAGCTAGGACTACAGGTGCGCACTACCATGCCCAGCTAATTTTTGTATTTTTAGCAGAGACGGAATTTCACCATGTTGGCCAGGATGGTCTCAATCTCCTGACCTCATGATCCGCCCGCCTTGGCCTCCCAAAGTGCTGGGATTACAGGCGTGAGCCACCATGCCCAGCCAACAGCTGCATACTTTTAAAATTACTAGATGTAGGCCAGGTGCGATGGCTCATGCCTGTAATCCCAGCATTTTGGGAAGCCGAGGCGGGCAGATCACCTGAGGTCGGGAGCTCAAGACCTGTCTGGCTGACATGGTGAAACCCCGTCTGCACTAAAAATACAAAAATTAGGCTGGGCGCAGTGACTCATGCCTGTAATCCCAGGACTTTGGGAGGCCGAGGCAGGTGGATAGCCTGAGGTCAGGAGTTCGAGACCAGCCTGGCCAACGTGGTGACACCCTGTCCCTACTAAAAATGCAAAAATTAGCTGGGCATGGTGCCAGGTGGCTGTAATCCCAGCTACTTGGGAGGCTGAGGTAGAAGAATAGCTTAAACCCAGGAGATGGAGGTTGCAGTGAGCCGAGATCGCACCACTGCACTCCAGCCTGGGCAACAGAGCCAGACTCTGTCTCAAAAAAAAAAAAAAAACAAAATTAGTTGGATGTGGTGACACACACCTGTAATCCTAGCTACTTGGGAGGCTGAGGCAGAAGAATCATTTGAACCTGGGAGGTGGAGATTGCAGTGAGCCAAGATCACACCACTGCACTATAGCCTGAGAAACAGAGTGAGACTCCGTCTCAAAAAAATAAAAATAAAAATAAATAAATAAAATTATCCTAGGTATAATCATAAGAATCAAACTTGGCCCAAGCACATCTTTTTTTTTCAGGCATTTATAAACAAAAAACTCTCCCACAAACTTTTACCCCAAATCAATCAAGACCAAAACCAAGAAAATGTTGCTTACCAGTTCATACATGAAATCTGGATCCGAACTGTTTGCTAAGAGATCTGTGCTCATCAGAGTTTGTTCCGAAAAGGTGTGGCTTCGAAAGGCATCCCCGAAAGGCGGATCCATTCCGCTTACACTAGGCTACAACAGAGTGATTTTTATTTTAGAAAGTTAAAGACTACTTTGAGACCAATTTATCACATATGAGCCCCAACCCCACCCCCACTAAGTAACTTATTCTTTTCAGAAAACATTTCTATACTTTTTTTCTACTGTATAGTATATTTAAGAGCTTTGGCTAACACTGAACTGTAGACTTATATTAGGAAAATACCTAAAAATAGAAAAAATAGAGTGCTGCCAATGCCCCAGTGGAGAAGCTGAGGTCAACATCAGATTTGAAATATTTAAAGTGGATACAAAACTATTTCAGCAATGCAGACAATTAAATATGTTGTGGGTGATGGTGCTGTTGGCAAAACATGTCTCCTGATATCCTACACGACAAACAAATTTCCATCGGAATAACGTACTGTTTTTGACAACTATGCAGTCACAGTTATGATTGGTAGAGAACCATACACTCTTGGATTTTTGATACTGCAGGGCAAAGGATTATGACAGATTATGACCGCTGAGTTATCCACAAACAGATGTATTTCTAGTCTGTTTTTCAGTGGTCTCTCCATCTTCATTTGAAAATGTGAAAAAAAGTGGGTGCCTAACTGTCCCAAAGACTCCTTTCTTGCTTGTTGGGACCCAAACTGATCTCAGAGATGACCCCTCTACTATTGAGAAACTTGCCAAGAACAAACAGAAGCCTATCACTCCAGAGACTGCTAAAAAGCTGACCCATGACCTGAAGGCCATCAGGTATGTGGAGTGTTCTACACTCACACAGAAAGGCCTAAAGAATGTATCTGATGGCCGGGTGCGGTGGCTCACGCCTGTAATCCCAGCACTTTGGGAGGCTCAGGTGGGCAGGTCACCTGAGGTCAGGAGTTCAAGACCAGCCTGGCCAAGATGGTGAAGCCCTGTCTCTACTAAAAACACAAAAATTAGCCGGGCGTGCTGGCAGGCACCTGTAATCCCAGCTACTCAGGAGGCTGAGGTAGGAGAATCGCTTGAACCTGGGAGGCGAAGGTTGCAGTAAGCTGAGATCTCGCCATTGCACTCCAGCCTGGGCAACAAGAGCGAAACTCCGTCTCCAAAAAGAAAAAAAAAAAAAGAATGTATTTGACGATACAATATTGGCTGCCCTGGAGCCTCCAGGATCGAAGAAGAGCCGCAGGTGTGTGCTGCTATGAACATCTCTCCAGAGCCCTTTCTGCATAGCTGGTGTTGACATCATACTAAAAGCAGTGTTTAAATCAAACTAAAGATTAAAAATTAAAATTCAGGCTGGGGGCAGTGACTCAAGCCTGTAATCCCAGCATTTTGGGAAGCCAAGGCAGGCGGATCACCTGAGGTCAGGAGTTCGAGACCAGGCTGGCCAATATGGCAAAACCCTGTCTCTACTAAAAATACGAAAATTAGTCAGGTGTGGTGGTACGTACCTGTAATCCCATATATTCAGGAGGCTGAGGCAGGAGAATCGCTTGAACCCAGGAGGTGGAGGCTGCAGTAAGCCGAAATTGTGCCATTGCACTCCAGTCTGGGCAACAAGAGCGAAACTCCATCTCAAAAAATAAAAAATAGGCCAGGCGCAGTGGCTCACACATGTAATCCCAGCACTTTGGGAAGCCAAGGCAGGTGGATCACGAGGTCAGGAGATCGAGACCATCCTGGCTAACACAGTGAAACCCCGTCTCTACTAAAAATACAAAGACAAAATTAGCCGGGTGTGGTGGCGGGCACCTGCAGTCCTAGCTACTCCGGAGACTGAGGCAAGAGAACGGCATGAACCCGGGAGGTGGAGCTTGCAGTGAGCCGAGATCGTGCCACTGCACTCCAGCCTGGGCAACTGAGTGAGACTCTGTCTCAAAAATACATAAATAAAAATAAAAAAGAAAAAAAATCATTTTTGCAATAATGACAAATGCCGCGTACCTACCCACATGCACTTGTGTGGGACAAGGCCCACAGGTATGGTCCCCCCTTCCCCCTCCCAGTACTAGTTAATTTTGAGTAATTGTGTATCGTCAGAAAAGTGATTAGTACCAGTTTTTGTTTTGTTGTTTTAAAACTTTATTATTATTTGTTTAAAAGCAAGGCATGCTTATGGATGACTCTGTAACAAACTAATTGGAATTGTTGAAGCTGTTCCCTGGTTCCACCCTGGAGAGTAATCTGGGACATCTTGGTGTGTTGTTGTTGTTGTTGTTTTTCCTCCTCTTTTTTTGAGGGGAGTGTGCAGTTTGTTTTTCAGTCTTGTTTTTTTAATTCATTAACCAGTAGATAGCCCTTAAGGGGAGGAGGAAGGATCCACTTCCTAGATCTAGTTTAGAAAACATGTTCCCCATCTGGTGCTCTCAGGAAGGAGTATAGTAAATGCCTCATTTAATAACATACTCCTTTTTGAAAGTTGCCTTTTCTTTCCACCCTTGAGTAGATCCAGTATTTGATGAAACTCATGAAAGTGGGTGAAGCCTGTCTTGCCCCTCTGTTTTCTAGGCCACACTGTATGTGACTGTGACTTTCACAGACATCTGTCTGCCATTTGCTGATTTTTTGGGAAGTTAATTTCTAACTTCTTTCACTGATACATGAAGAAAAGTATTGCACCTTTGAAATACACCAAATAAATTGAGTTTGTAATTTAAAAAAATGTTTTCCCTGTCAAAAAAAATTGAAAAAATATAGAGCAGCAATTAATATCTTCTAGAAAGTAAAGCTTATTTAGCCACCAGTCACCATACAGCACCTATCGAGTACTTTCACTTAGCTGTATAACATTTCTTCAAATCCTTGTCTAACAACACTATTTTAACTATCAGTAGAGAATTCCCTGTCTTTTCCTAGGGTCTGCAGATACAGCAAATCACTCTCACTCTGTGCTGCTGAGTCCCATGTCTTATTTTCCAAAGCAAGCTGGAAGACAATTTGGGCATCACTGTCTAGTACAACCAATGCCTGCAGGAAGGTAATGGAAACAGAATCAACTAAATACCCAAAAATCTCCTTGGTAAGACCAGTAACTTGGGCATGAACTCTGTAGCCTTAATCCTGATTCCTGAAAAGGGCACAGTCCATTCCATAATAAGTAAAGGGGAAAAAAAAGACTTGGGACCCAGCATTAATTCTCCTTCTTGTTTTTTCTCTATCTTCTTTTTACATTTTAACATCTATACAAATCCCGCCAGAGTCAAGTCTGGGCTCACCCTCCTAAAGTGGGTCAAATAATAGAAAGGCCTCAATTTGAAATCTAACTGAGATGAAGAAAGAGAATGAGAAAGAATAAAAAATTTCTTTTATTTATTTATTTTTTTTTGGAGAGACAGAGTCTCGCTCTGTTGGCATGATCTCAGCTCACTGCAACCTCCACCTCCAGTGTTCAAGCGATTCTCCTGCCTCAGCTTCCCAAGTAGCTGGGACTACAGGCAGGCACCACCACGTCCAGCTAATTTTTATATTTTTTAGTAGAGATGGGGTTTCACTATATGTTGGCCAGGCTGGTCTAACTCCTGACCTCAAGTGATCAGCCTGTCTCAGCCTCCCAAAGTGCTGGGATTACAGGTGCAAGCCACTGCACCCGGTTTTTTTTTTTTTTTTTTTTTTTTTTTTTTTTTTTTTTGAGACAGAGTCTCGCTCCGTCGCTCAGGCTGGAGTGCAGTGGCGTGATCTTGGCTCACTGCAACCTCCCCCCGCAGGGTTCATGCGATTCTCCCGCCTCAGCCTTCTGAGTAGCTGGGACTACAGGTACGCACCACCACGCCTGGCCTAATTTTTGTATTTTTAGTAGAGACAGGGTTTCACCATGTTGGTCAGGCTGGTTTCAAACTCCTGACCTCAAGTGATCCGCCCACCTTGGCCTCCCAAAGTTCTGGGATTACAGATATGAGCCACTGCCAACTGGCCAAAAATTTCTCTTTTTTAGTATTTTCTTTTTTTTTTTTGCAAGTTTCTGCAGAAATGTTTTTAAATGGTATTAATCTATTTGCTTATTCTTTTCATATACTTTCTATCTTTCACAAACCGGACTTTTCATAGACCCTCTCATCGTATTTTTCTTCATTGGTACATCCCATCTTATTTTTTTTTCTTTCTCTTATCTTCCCCCTACTTTTCCAGCCTGCAGAACCTTTCTTCCTAGAAAAAGTTAGCTTGAGAAAATAAGTTTAAAATTTAAGCCCCAAATTCAAGTACTCAATAAATATAAAACTAAACCTCGGCCAGGCACGGTGGCTCACGCCTGTAATCCCAGCACTTTGGGAGGCCAAGGCGGGTGGATCACGAGGTCAGGAGATCGGGACCATCCTGGCTGACACGGTGAAACCCCGTCTCCACTAAAAATACAAAAAATTAGCCAGGCGTGGTGGCAGGCGCCTGTAGTCCCAGCTACTTGGGAGGCTGAGGCAGGAGAATGGCGTGAACCCGGGAGGTGGAGCTTGCAGTGAGCCAAGATTGCACCACTGCACTCCAGCCTGGGCAACAGAGTGAGACTCCAGCTCAAAAAAAAAAAAAAAAAAAAAAAAAAAACTAAACCTTGAATGGGCAACCACTCTAAAAGGGTATATGCAGTCCATCTGTCACAGAGGTTGGGGTGGCGGTAGGCAGCTGTTCTTTTTTGTTTGTTTTTTGAGACAGAGCTTGCTCTGTCCCCAGGCTGGAGTGCAATGGCATGATCTTTGCACTCCCAGGTTCAAGCAATTCTCCTGTCTCAGCCTCCCAAGTGGCTGGGATTACAGGTGTGTGCCACCACACTCAGCTAGTTTTTGTATTTTTAGTAAAGACAGGGTTTCACAATGTTCGCCAGGCTGGTCTTGATCTCCTGACCTGTGATCCGCCTGTCTCGGCCTCCCAAAGTGCTGGGATTACAGGCGTGAGCCACTGTGCCTAGCCGGCCGCTGGTCTTTTCAATATCTATTACCAAGTCCCCTTTCTTTACCTCTTCTGCCTGTCTCCGAGTCACCAGACAATCCCAGCAAATTGTTGATTCCCTGTGCTCAAGGGATAGCTCAGTATGGCAACACAAAAAGCCACCCAAGAGTCCCTGCCCACTCATTACTTCTAGGTTTCTCCCCAGCACTGAAACAAACAGGGGAGGGGCAAGAGCTAAACACTGGAGAAGAAAAGGAGGAGTTTAGATAAGCAGAATGGGGACTAACAGGGCTTCACTGATTGTCTCACTGATTGCCTAAAACCAAAACTGATCAATTCAGAGTAGCTGCCATAATATAAACAGATACAATCATTCTTAGATATATTTTGTGGGGAGATATTTACATGTGCACACATAGGTATGTGTGTGTGTCTATGAGAAAGAGAGAGATGAGAGGGGTTGGGGGAGGCAGCCTGAAGTCTCTCACTATTTCCTCTTAATTACTTCTAAATTCAGCTAGCATAAATGAAAGGTAAGAATTGGGAAATAGGAATAGTGAGGAGATAGAAACGGGATTGCTGTGGCAGACTAATTTTCAAGGGAGTTGGTTTTGCCCCATAAAGCCAGCAGATCTGTCCACCTTCTACCTATTTATCATACTACCTATGTAGAACTCATTAAACTTCAAGTGATAGCAAAGTAAGAAATAGAAGCCAATGGAAGGAAGAACATGTACTCAAAACTAGCTGAGATCAGAAATGAGATATCACAAAAAGGTAGTATGCAAAGTTGTGTTAAGATTCATTTAAGAGTCAAAGGTATTGACTTTCTGTAGTGGGAAAATAAAAAACTTTGCACCTACTCTGTATGATTTACCTGAGGCATTTCCAAGCCCAGATCCTGTGAATCCGATTCCAAACTTCTTTTTTTTCTTGTTTGTAAATTCCTTTCCAGCTTTACTTTCAATTCCAAGATCGAAGATGATTTCCACAATAAACAGCAGGTTTCCCCAGAGTGCTTCCAATTCAATTGCTTGGATCACTGCTTTTTTTTAAAATAATTCTGTGCGATGCTGTCTGTCAAACAACACAAAGTAACTTCACTGAATTCCAGGAAAAACAAGTTGATGTTTCAAAAAAAAAGTTGACTTTTGAAAAATAATATTAGCAGAGAATACTGTACTTTAAATGAGTAAGTCTTATGGTTGAGTTATCAAGGATTTGGTCATATCTTAATACTTACTATTCTGAAATTTACCATTCCTCCTCTTATATTTTTCTAAAATAGAGCTGGTCAATAACCAATTGGCAACATTAAAAAAAAAAAACACAAAATTAACATAGGCTTATTTTTTCTGTGATCTGAAAGATGTAATATATTGATTTTTAAAGTCAAGCTCTCATTCATTTTATGTTCTTTATGAGAAAACATATCTCAAAATTTAATTCCATCTATTGTATAATCATTACTGCTAAATTAATCTACATTTTATCTCTCTCATAAGTCAACAGAAGAGTAATGAATACATAATAGTCAGCAATGGAACTTAACATATCCTCTACATTAAATAAAATCACATTTGTAATGGTATATGCCAACATTATTCTTTCAGTTATAAGTATAAGCTCTCATTGAAGAAAGAATCATTCCAGCAAGTTTTTAACAGGTGTATGTTTGAGGGAAAACGGGCCTGAGGACTGCTTTGCAGAGTGGTTTCAAGGGTTAAGTAAAACAATGACTACAAATCATCTGGCACAGGATTTTGACAGGGTACAGACTTAAATGTTAGTGTTTTTTCCCTTCTCCATGAAGACTTTAACCAGGAGGAACTAAACAGTTATACTCGCTTCATTTTCCTGTCCAAGATCAGTGGGTCTCAAAGTATGATCCAAGGATCAGCAGTACTACATCAGCAACAACCTAAAAATTTGTTTAAAATGAAGAATCAAAACAGAACCTCTAGGAGTGGGTACCAGCAATGTTTTTTAATACGCCCTCCAGGTGATTGTGGTCCTCTCTAAAGTTTGAGAACCACTGTCCTATCCTTGATCTAATTCAGTCCAGAAGCAGTGTCACTTCTTATATTGGTAAACAGTCAATTTACACTGAATTTGCCTTCTGAAGTCAGCACATTGTCTGGGCTAGAGGGTTACAGTGGTACATTGTATTAATTTCCTTTTTTTTTTTTTTTTTTAAAAAAGACAGAGTCTCACTCTGTCACCCAGGCTGGAATGCAGTGGCCCAATCTTGGCTCACTGCAACCTCAACCTCCTGGGTTCCAGTGATTCTCCTGCCTCAGCCTCCCAAGTAGCTGAGATTACAGGCAAGCAACACCACACCCAGGGACTCAATCATTGTTCTACTTAATTAGATTAATAAACTGACTATAATTCACATTTTCTGGATCTTTGCTGCACTCTCCCCTCCAGTGGGCTGTCGTTCCCAGCTCACTGGTCTAACCTAGGAAACAATGTCAAGTGCCCACCTAGAAACAGTTAACTATGCTTTTCAATTCAGTGCTACAGTATAACTAGATTGCTCCCTGTTCCTGCCAAAGGCCTGTTCTTGTGCAGTCTCTCCTTATGTGACCTCATGCCGTCGTCCTACAACTGGTATGTAGTCATAATCATTGCCCTAATTCTCTCCCCTGATTCCTATGAGAAAGAAGGTCAGTCACTTTTTCTAGACCTATGACTTAGGCCTCCCTAAAGGCATCTAATTCAAGTCATGTGTTCAATAAAGTGGATCAGTATAATCTTGGCATAAAACCTGGATTTGGGAGAAAAGTTTGATACCCTTTAAAATCTGAAAAATTAACCTTACTAGCAATAGGGTCGGCTGGGCGCAGTGGCTCACACCTGTAACCCCAGCACTTTGGGAGGCTAAGGCAGGTGGATCACTTGAGGTCAGGAGTTCAAGACCAGCCTGGCCAACATGGCAAAACTCCATCTCTACTAAAAATACTCACCAGCACTTTGGGAGGCTGAGGCAGGAGAATGGTGTGAACCCGGGAGGCAGAGTTTGCAGTGAGCCGAGATCGCACCACTGCTCTCCAGCCTGGGCCACAGAGCAAGACCCCGTCTCAAAAAAAAAAAAAGAAAAAGAAAAACTTCACATCAAGAAATATATAAACCTCTTTGTAAATGAGAGTATTTTACGAATAATAAATATATATTTATTATACATTAATAATAATAAATACATAAACCTTTTTGTAAATGAGAGTATTTTATGAATAAGGAGATGTTGTATATGATGGCCAGAATCCCTGCAGCTCTTGTTTTATATGGAACTGGCTTAAGCCCCCTTTTAGTAACTTAAGGAAACTGGTTCCTCACAACAGTAAGTAGCTCTTCCGAATCATCTAACATTCATCACAGTAAATGTTAAAACATTTTTGACACACCAATTAAGATGAGTATTATCCAAAAAGTGGAAAATAACAAATATTGGCAAGGATATAGAGAAATCAGAGCCCTTGTGCATTTGCTGGTAGGATTGCAGCTGGTGTGGGAAACGGTTTGGTATTTCTTCAAAAAGCGAAATCCAATTACCATATGATCTAGCAATTCCACTCCTAGGTATATACCTAAAAGAGTTAAAAGCAGGGCCTCAAACAGATATGTCTACACTTATGTTCATGGCAGCATTATGCACAAAAGCCAAAAGGTAAACACAACTCAAGTGTCCACAAACAGATGAATGGATCAACAAAATATGGCAAATACAACAGAATATTATTCAGCCATGAAAATGAATGAAATCCTGATACACACTACAACAAGAATGAACCTTAAAAACATTATGGTAAGTAAAATAGACACAAAAGGACAAATATTATATGATTAGGCTTTATGAGGTGCTTAGAACAGAGAAAGAGAGTAAAATGGAGGTTACTAAGGGCTGGGATAGTTTTTATTTAATAAGTGTACATAGTTTCTGTTTGGGATGATAAAAGTGTTCTGGAGGCTGGGGGTGGTAGCTCACACCTGTAATCCCAGCACTTTTGAGAGGCTGAGGCAGGTGGGTCACTTGAGGTCAGGAATTCAAGACCAGCCTGGCCAACATGGTGAAACCCTGTCTCTACTAAAAATACAAAAATTAGCCAGGCATGGTGGCTCACGGCTGTAGTCCCAGCTACTTGGGAGGCTGAGGCAGGAGAATCGCTTGAACCTGGGAGGCAGAGGCTGCAGTAAGCTGAGATCATGCCACTGCAGTAAGCCTGGGCAACAGAGTGAAACTCGGTCTCAAAAAAAAGTGTTCAGGAATAGACAGTGGTGATGGTTACACAACACTTCTCAATGTACTTAATGCCATAAAATTGTACAGCTAAAGATGATTAAAATAGTAAATTTTATGTATATTTTACCACAAAAAATTTTTTTTACGTTTTTTAGGTAAGAAATGCCTGAATACAGGCCAGGCACAGTGGCCCATCCTGTAATTCTAGCACTTTGGGAAGCCAAGGCAGGCGAATTAGTCGAGTTCAGGAGTTCGAGACTAGCCTGGCCAATATGGTGAAACCCCGTCTCTACTAAAAATACAAAAAATTAGCTGGACATGGTGGCGGGCGCCTGTAATCCCAGTTACTTAGGAGGCTGAGGCAGGAGAATCGCTTGAACCTGGGAGGCAGAGGTTATAGTGAGCCGAGATTGTGCCACTGCACTGTAGCCTGGGCTACAGAGTGAGACACTGTCTCAAAAAAAAAAAAAAGCCAATAAATTTATACTGCTATGTAGTTAATATACTATGGTCTACTTTGATCCTTCCTAATCTTTGCTGGTTCATGCTCATTTCTTTCATGTGACCAGAGGTCTTGTTCCTCTCTCTGTTGTCTTTAAACTGTTCCAGATCCACAATTCTAAGAGGCAGAAACTGTTCTAAACACTCTCTTTTTTTTTTTTTTTTTTTGAGACTGACTGTGTCCCCCAGGCTGGAATGCAGTGGTGCAATCTCAGCTCACTGCAACCTCCACCTCCTGGATTCAAGCGATTGCTGTGCCTCAGCCTCCTGAGTAGCTGGGATTACAGGCATGCAGCACCACCACGCCTGGCTAATTTTTTTGTATTTTTAGTAAAGACCGGTTTTCACCATGTTGGCCAGGCTGGTCTCAAACTCCTGACCTCAGGTGATCCACCCATCTTGTCCTCCTAAAGTGTTGGGATTACAGGTGCGAGACACTGATGCCTGGCCATGACCTCTAATTTAAATAAATCATTTCTCCTAAGACTTAATCCTCAGTAAAGTTGAAAGAGGAAGAAAGGAAAGAAAGGAAGACAGGCAAGGAAGATGCTACGGTTTGAATGTCCCCTCCAAAACATGTTTGAAATTTAAATGCCATCCTAACAGTATTGGAAGGTGGACCCTTTAAGAGGTAGGTATCAATGACATTATCACTGGACACAGGAGTGGGCTCTTGATAGAAAAAATGAATTCAGCTCAACTTCCTCTGTCTCACGTGCTCTCATCCTCTCACCTTTTACTATGGGATGACCCTCAACAGATGCCAGTGTCATGTTCTTGGACTTTCCAGTCTTCAGAATCATGAGCCAAATAAATCTCTTTTCTTTTACTTAATTACTTTTTTTTTTTTTTTTTTTTTTGTAGAGATGGGGTCTTATTATGTTGCCCAGGTTGGTCTCGAATTCATGGGCTCAAGCGATCCTCCTGCCTCGGCCTCCCAAAATGCTGGGATTTGAAGCATAAGCCACCACGCCCAGCGATAAATCTCTTTTCTTTAAAATTATCCATTATCCAATCTGTGGTTACAGCAACAGAAAATAGACTAAGACAAGAGGTAAAGGAAAGGAGGCAGGGAAGTAGGCAGGAGGGCAGGAAAGAATGAAGGAAAGGGAAACGAAGAGAGGCAGGGGAAGGAAGGGGTGTGGACAGGGAGGTGGGAAAGGAAGGGAAGTGAGGAAGGGAGGCAAGGAGGCAACGAAACAGGGAGGCAGGAAGGACAGGCAACCTCGGTGACTGAAAAGCTTATACAATGTGTATACCCCACGTGACTCCCTTGTTTGGCAAGAAAGACAACTTATCAGATGGCCCAAGCTCTTTAGCAAACTAGGACCCATCTGCCTCATATTCTATCCATCCTGCTATACTTCATAGGTCCCACTCAACAATTCCTTTCCTTTCCTTTTGAAAACTACTCTACTCTGCAAGAGTAGAACAAAACAGTCCTTCAGATGCTTACTAAGTCAAGCCACTACCTGTTTCACGGTACAGTTGAAATCAGACATCCCAAAGTCTCCAAAACATTTAAGCAGCAGAGGTTGCCTATGCAAGGAATACACTGGGGGAAAGGTGGGGCTCAAGTTCTCCCTTTATTATGTAATATGAAACCTGTAACCAAAACTGCAGGTGAATCACTATATTTTACCCTTTGATAGCAGTTCTCTAGACTCCAAAATTTAGAAACAGGCAAGTAAAATTCAAAACAGATTATTATAGTTTGTCATGATTATTAGCAAAACATGCCCATTATTTATTTTCCAAATTCTGCTGCTGCTAGTCTTTAAGGAAGGACAATGGGAAAAGAGGAAAGTAAGGAAGAAAGTGTATCTTTTCCCTCAGATTGGGTGAAAAAAGATCATTTTCCTAGCCAAAGCAGTACTTATAATGACCTTGTAAGAATCTGTGATCCTTTTGCCATACCACCTTGCAAACTCTGTATACCTGATCAATGTAATAGTCTTTTATCCTCACATTCGGAGAGTTTTTAAAATATGGGAGGTGGCCAGGCACGGTGGCTCATGCCTGTAATCCCAACACTTTGGGAGGATGAGGCAGGCAGATCACGTGAGGTCAGGAGTTCGAGACCAGCCTGGCCAACATGGCGAAACCCCCTCTACTAAAAATACAAAAATTAGCCAGGCGTGGTGGTGCACACTTGCCGTCCCAGCTACTTGGGCAGCTGAGACAGGAGAATCACTTGAACCCCAGAGGTGGAGGTTGCAGTGAGCTGAGATCATGCCACTGCATTCCAGCCTGGGCAACAGAGTGAGACTCTGTCTCAAAAAATAAAAAAATAAAAATAAATAAAAATTTTAAAAAATAAAAAATAAAATATGGGAGGTGAATTAGGTCTGCCACAAAAAATGTAATTAAACAAAATAAAACCACCTTTTACTGAAAATCTTAAAAAGCAAAGAGGATATACTAAATCTCAAAAGTGATCTCTTCTTAGAATGCCATGTTAGAGGAAGACAGAAGAACTCTCAGTTACAATTTTGTTCAATTCCTTTCCAAAGGCTCCTATCCAACTTTAATCTTTGGGTTACAGGGACAACATATGGGAGCTTAGTCAAAGCTCTTTGGGAACCAATAAGGAAGAAGCCTTTTTTTTTTTTTTTTGAGACAGACTTTCACTCTTGTTGCCTAGGCTGGAGTGCAATGGTGTGATCTCAGCTCACTGCAACCTCCACCTCCAGGGTTCAAGCCATTCTCCTGCCTCAGCCTCCCAAGTAGTGGGATTACAGGCATGTGCCACAACACCCGGCTAATTTTGTATTTTTAGTAGAGGTGGGTTTTCACCATGTTGGTCACGTTGGTCTCAAACTCCTGAACTCCGGTGATCTACCCGCCTCAGCCTCCCAAAGGGATGGGATTGCAGGCATGAGCCACCGCAACCGGCCAAAAAGAAAACTATTTATTTATTTATTTATTTATTTATTTTTATTTTTTATTTTTTAGACGGAGTCTCGCTCTGTCACCAGGCTGGAGCGCAGTGGCGCAATCTCGGCTCACTACAACCTCCGCCTCCCAGGTTCAAGCAATTCTCCTGCCTCAGCTTCCCGAGTAGCTGGGACTACAGGCGCCCACCACCACGCCCAGCTAATTTTTTGTATCTTTAGTAGAGACGGTGTTTCACCATATTAGCCAGGATGGTCTCGATCTCCTGACCTCGTGATCCGCCCGCCTCGGCCTCCCAAAGTGCTGGGATTACAGGCGTAAGCCACTGCGCCCGGCCCTAAAAAGACTATTAAAGCAAGTTTCTGGATTAATCTGAGTTGAATGGGAAGGACTACTTTTTATTTCTGAAAACTATCAATTGCAAGGTATTGGAGGCTTTCTGCAGCCTTGGTATCTGTCAATTAAGTTGTTCAGAGCACAAGAATAAGAGCATGGAACAATTTTAGACAGAACCAGAGAATGCATTTCTAATCCCAGCCAACTTTGATTACCACTGGGGACAAAATATTCAGTTTGTATGTATCTGTGTAGCTGTTTACAGATTAAAGTACATTTCTAAACCCTGTCATTTAATAAAACAACTTGGTGAAGTAACAAGGACCAGTATTTTGATAAAACATCTAGGTAATATAGTCTTGGTATCAGGATAACCACTATCCCCCAGTCCCTGTCCAACCCTTTTTACATCAATAAATAAAAAGTACAGCAAGGGTAAGAGATTTGTCCAAGGTCATTCAGTAAATGGATGCCTCCAAGCAAACCTATTGTTACAAAGACTATCTCTACTCTTTGGGCCTCAGAGATCATTTCTAAAAGACTCGCAAATCTACATTTTGAACCTAAACATGTGCATGCGTGAGCTCTATCATCTGAGATGTGGATATCTCCATGTTCACATTCCATCACTGCAGATACAACATGCCATCTCCCCATCCAAACATTCCTATTCTGTCAATACTATCACTCTCTGACTTTCAGGGATAGAAGGCTGATTTCAGCCTTCACTCTTTAAATTCTCCTCCCCTACTCATTTTGTTGAATCATACCAATTCTTTTTAACAAAGATGTACAGATCACTTACCTTGTACTGAGCACAAATGCATCTGTTTGACTTTGCCCTTCCCTCTTTTTCAACCCTTACTTGGTCCTCATCATCTTATATTTACCATTCTAATATTTACCCTACAGTCTTCCTGTCTCTATCCTCCTCTCCCTCTCTTGAGTTCTTATGCCCCATTTTAAAATTATTCTTATGCCAATAATCCTAGCACTTTGGGAAGCCGAGGCAGGAGGATTAATTGAGGCCAGGAGTTTGAGACTGGTCTTGGAAACATTGTGAGACCCTGTCTCTACAAAAAAAAAAAAAAAAAGTAAAAATCAGCCAGGCAGCTAGGTACAGTGACTCACGCCTGTAATCCCAGCACTTTAGGAGGCCAAGGCAGGCAGATCACGAGGTCAGGAGATGGAGACCATCCTGGCTAACACGGTGAAACCTCGTCTCTACTAATAAACAAAAAAAATTAGCCGGGCGTGGTGGCCAGTGCCTGTAGTCACAGCTACTCAGGAGGCTGAGGCAGGAGAATGGCATGAACCCGGGAGGCAGAGCTTGCAGTGAGCCCAGATTGCGCCACTGCACTCCAGCCTGGGCGACAGAGCAAGACACTGTCTTAAAAAAAAAAAGGGATAAAAAAATTAGGCATGGTGGCACATGCCTATAGTCCTAGCTACTCAGGAGGCTGAGTCAAGAGGATGGCTTGAGCTCAGGAGTTCAAGACTGTAGTGAGCTATGATTGTGCCACTGCACTTCAGCCTGGGCAACAGTGTGAGACTCTGTCTCTTAAAAAAAAAGGAAAAATTTTAAATTTAATAATTATTAAAAATTAATGAAAATTATTAAAATAATTTTTTGAGACAGGGTCTTGCTCTGTCACCTACACTGGAGTGATGTGGAGTGATCTCAGCTCACTGCAACTTCCACCTTCCAGGCTCAAGCAGCCCTCCCACTTCTGCCTCCCAAGTAGCTGGGAATACAGGCACATGCCACCATGCCTGGCTAATTATTGCATTTTTTTTTTAGAGAGGGTTTCAACATGTTACCCAGGCTGGTCTCGAACTCCTGGGCTCAAGCAATCGCCTGCCTTGGCCTCCCAAAGTGCTGGAATTACAGGCATGAGCCACCATGCCCAGCCTAAAATAATTATTAATATAAGATAAAATTATTCTTTCTAACCTACCACACGTCATATTAACACTGTGCTCCAAAGTCATCAGCAACTCCCATACATTTCTTGGATAATGTCCAAACTACTCAGACCTTAGGCCAGACACAAGTGGCTCATACCTGTAATCCCAGCACTTTGGGAGGCTGAGGCAGGAGGATCACTTGAGCCTAGGAGTTTGAGAGAAGCCTGGCCCACAAAGTGAGACCTAGTCTCTTAAAAAAACAAAAACAAGGCCGGGCACGGTGGCTCATGCCTGTAATCCCTGCACTTTGGGAGGCCAAGATGGGTGGATCACCTGAGGTCAGGAGTGTGAGACCAGCCTGGCCAACATGATGAAACCCCATCTCTACTAAAAAGAAAAATTAGCTGGGCGTGGTGGCTCACACCTGTAATCCCAGCTATTCAGAAGGCTGACGAAGGAGAATCGTTTGAACCCAGGAGGCGGAGGTTGCAGTGATGCGAGATCATGGCGCTGCACTCCAGCTTGGGCAACAAAAGCAAAACTCCATCTCAAACAAACAAACAAAAATACTCATACACAATGACACTATCTTTCCAACTCTGTCTTCCACTACTCTTAAGTCTAATATTAGACTGATTTTACCATTTCCCCTAATCCTCAAGATAGTTACAATCCCACTTTACTCCACTAAGAACTTCCAGTAGTGAGACTGACCTTCATGTCTTAGCTCATATTTTTCATCTTCTCTCCTATTCCCTTGCTTCCACTACCAGACTGTGACATCTTTGAGAATGACCATCATATCTCACATCTATTTCACTACAGTGCCAAATGCAATGCCCTTCCGAGCAGTCATCCACACAAGAGATGGCTGAAAATGAATGGGAAAATCCCCTAAGACCACATGTCCTTCTGGATAAGGAATCAAAGGTGTGGTGCTCTTCACAATGAGGACATTACAAAAAAGTCAATTATTCAATATATATTTATTGAGCATCGTTTATGTGCTCCAAAGCATCTTAGTTTGTTAAATTGAGTCTTGAACCACTGTAGTATCATATAGTAAAAATATGAAAAATTGTACTCCTGAATTTTTTTTAATTTCCAAGAAGAGTGATATTTAAATTTTAGTCCATTTTAAAGACCTGATGTAATTATTATCTAGGGAAGAGAGGACAGAGGAAGAAGTAGAATTAAATTTAATTTAAATCAACTGAATTCAGGCACTGGACCGATGCATGTTATATTGTTCTCTCCCTCGTCATTATTTTATTTTAATATTTTAAACTACAAAGCAGGAAGATAAACTCACCATAGTAAAACAAAATATTTTATGCAGGATGTTAAAGATTTTAGTTTTAAAGAATCACTTTGTTTTCTAAGCTGTTCTGCAGAAATCTATAAAATGTTAAAAAGAGAACAGTACAATTAATGGCAGCGGCATAAAAACAGGCAGTGGTGCAAGTGAGAATGCACTGGAGCACACAGCAGGATTCCAGTGACACCACACATTCTTCACACACTGTAACAACTTTGATGCTGTTGTTAGCAAGGATTTGAACTCTTCTTCAAAATTTACTGTAGGGGCAAGGTACAGTGGTTCACTGCCTATAATCCCAGCACTTTGGGAGGCCAAGGTAGACAGACCACTTGAGATCAGGAGTTCAAGACCAGCCTGGCCAACATGGCGAAACCATCTCTACTGAAAAGACAAAAATTAGTTAGGCGTGGTGGCACACACCTGTAGTCCCAGCTGCTCAGGAGGCTGAGGCATGAGAATCGCTTGAACTCGGGATTACAGTAAGCCGAGATCACGCCACTGCATTCCAGCCTAGACTACAAGAGAGATTCCGTCTCAAAAAAAAAAAAAATTGTTTCCTTCCTCCTTTCTCAGATTTGGCACCTTTTCAAAAGCAGCATGAAATATACTAGAGATATATTCAAATTCCTTCCTACTGTGAAGCAGGCTATACCACCAGCATAAACTACATAATAGCCAGTACAGAGGTTATTTGAACATGGTTTTGCAGTCATCTCTTTTAACACTGAGAAAAGCTCGGTGCCACTTTGGCTCTAACATTCCTAAAAAGCTTGCTTTATGAGGAACAAACTCTAGGTAAAAGGTTATGCATTGTGAGTGAATATTTTGAATTTCATGGCCAGGCATGGTGGCTCACGCCTGTAATCCCTGCACTTTGGGAGGCCAAGCTGGGTGGATCACTTGAGGCCAGGAGTTCGAGACCAGCCTGGCCAACATGGTGAAACCCCATCTCTACTAACAATACAAAAATTAGCTGGGTGTGGTGGCGCACATGTAATCCCAGGTATTCAGGAGGCTGAGATGGGGGAATTGCTTGAACCCGGGAGGTAGAGATTGCGGCACTGCACTCCAGCCTGGGTAACTGAGTGAGACTCTGTCTCAAAAAAAAAAGAAATATATTTAAAAAAAAGAATTTCATTCCAGACTCTCATCTGCCTTACTTTATGTATAAATGCAAGAATTCCCCATTATTTTGTGGGGATATTGTGATTCACAATAAAATAACATATAAAGTATCTAGCCCTAGCACAAAACAGACACTCAATAAATGGTGGCTATTTTTATTCTCAGATCTATTCCTTGGTATGTGATACTCCTGGGATGTTGCTGCTATTAAGGTATAAAACCAAACTCAACTCAGAATCCTTTTCTTTTTTTTTGTTTTTTGAGACGGAGTCTCCCTCTGTCGCCCAGGCTGGAGTGCAGTGGCGTGATCTCAGCTCACTGCAACCTCCACCTCCCAGGTTCAAGCAATTCTCCTGCCTCAGCCTCCTGAGTAGCTGGGACTACAGGTGCACGCCACCACGCTCAGCTAATTTTTTTTTTTTTTTCAGTACTGATGGGGTTTCACCATGTTGCCCAGGCTGGTCTCGAACTCCTGAGCTCAGGCAATTCGCCTGCCTCGGCCTCCCAAAGTGCTGGGATTACAGGCGTGAGCCACCGCGCCTGGCCCACTCAAAATCCTAAATTGTCTAAATTCCACATTCCACCAAGCTAGAACCAGGGTGAATATGGGATACTCAGGCAACACACGACACTTAACACCCTTGCCCCCAGGTTTATGAGGGTGTATGTCAATTATGCTGGTTTAATCAGCAAAAGAATCTCTGGACTCACAAAGTCATTCATAAAGCTGCAAACTAGTCATCTCTATACACAATAAAGAAATGGCAGATAAAGGGGAAAAGGCCTCTTTAGAAAGATTATTGCTCTTTATTGTTCAAACAATTACATATAATTTATCACTTTTTCATAGTTCATTATACTGGCTTCACCAAATGGCTCTGGACAATCTGAGCCATATGAAACAGAGTCATATAAAATTTGTATGTATATCTGTAACACCTTGCATAGTTTCTAATAAAGAGACACACAGAGTTTATACCATACTTGTCTCAAAAGTGTTGAGATAAATCAAACAAGTGAGGCAGATTATTCCAACTGCTGAGAAAACATAGCACTGAATATAATCAGCAGCTATCAGAGAAGGAGAAGTACATAGAGTAACCTGAACCTAGTTCCACTCCTCCATCAGGCAGTCAGTATTCTTAATATCCTTCCAATCAGACAAAAGAATAAAATTTACAGTAACTCGTTAGTTTTTAACTTGGGAATTTTGACAACCAGCAAGTTATTATGCTAATAAAACTAAGGTAAAAAGGACCTAACAAGTGCACTCTACTGGGAGGATATACATTTTAAAACAGAAGACAAAATTAACTGAAGATTTTTTTTTTTTGAGGTGGAGTCTCGCTCTGTCGCCCAGGCTGGAGTGCAGTGGAGCGATCTTGGCTCACTGCAAGCTCCACCTTCTGGGTTCACACCATTCTCCTGCCTCAGCCTCCCGAGTAGCTGGGACTACAGGTGCCCGCCACCACACCCGGCTTATTTTTTGTATTTTTAGTAGAGATGGGGTTTCACTGCGTTAGCCAAGATGGTCTCGATCTCCTGACCTCTTCTTGATCCACCCGCCTCAGCCTCCCAAAGTGCTGGGATTACAGGTGTGAGCCACGGCACCCGGCCAATTAACTGAAGATTTAAAGCCAAGGTCTCAAACTGTACTGCAGTGAGAAATCAACGCCCACAAATCAGTTGTGTTCAGTTGCAAATCAGTTGCATTAGTGTTTTTTAAATTGTAACTACCAGTATTTAAATTTCACATGAAATTTCATATAAAATTTGATGTCTGATCTCAAATACCACTCTTTTGGGGGAAAAAATTAGATCTGACATTGGGTATACATTCCCAGAAAGATGATCACTTGAACTAAAAAGAGGTATCCTCTTTAAATTGGCCTGTGCTCTCTAGCTTGCTTGAATCTCCACCCAGTCCCATTTTACAGATTATGAATCTAAGCTGAAAGATGCTCAAAACCACAGAACTAGCAAAATGCCTATTTATGAATGTTGGGTGTTCAGTCTTGACAGCTCTGCAACTCAACTTCCAAATAAAATGTAATGAATGTTAAAAGAGATATCTAAAAGACTTGTACATGAATATTTAAAGCCATTTTATTTATAATAGCCTAAAATCTGGAAGCAATGCAAATGTCTACCCACTGATAAACAGATAAATTGTGGTATGTCCATACAATGACAAAGGCTCAGGCCGAGCACGGTGGCTCAGGCTGAGAAAGGTGGCTCACACCTGTAATCCCAGTACTTTGGGAGGCTAAGGCAGGAGGACTGCTTGCAACCAAAAGTTCCAGACGAGCCTGGGAAACATGACAAAACCCCATCTCTGCAAAAAATCAAAAATTAATCAGGCATGATGATGGCACCTGTAGTCCCAGACACTCGTGAGGCTGAGGAAGGAGGATCACTCTAGCCCAGGAGGTCAAGGATACAATGAGCCATTATCACGCCACTGCACTCAGCCTGGGCAACAGAATGAGACCCTGTCTCAAAAAAAAAAAAAAAAAAAAAAAAAGATTCAATGAATATACGACACAATATGAGTATCTCAAAATCAATGTTAACTAAAAGAAGTCAGACTCAAAAGACAACACATTCTACCAAAAGATTTATATGAAATTTCAGAGAAGACAAAACAATAGTGATACAAAGCAAATCAGTGACTGGAGCCAAGGGCGAGTGCAGGAGAACTGAACAAAAGGGGCATGAGGAACTTTCTGTGGTGATAAAAATGTTAGAGATATAACAGTGGTTAGACGACAGCATGTGTTTGTCAAAACTCAAAATTGGTTGAATTTTCTTTTACATAAATTATAATTCAATAAAGCTGAATTTTAAAAAGAGGTGTTTACAAAATAATAGACAACTACCGAGAATACTACTACCTGGGAAAGTTTGGAAAAGCTTTAGGAAAAAGGTGAATTGGACTTTGTTATCAAACAATTTGTAGGTGCATAAGAAATAGAAAACAGGGCACATAGGCAGTCACATTCTACACTGTGGCCTTTGAAGAAGTAGCATCTTTGAATACAAAGGAAAATGTTTCATAAAAAGAAATTCACAGAAATGGATAATTAGTCTTTGAACAGGTATCAAAAGCTAGTTGATCTTACAAGATTTCCCAAGAGGGAATCAGCTTATTTTGCTATTTACATGTAAAATAAGCAGATAGTGCGCAAGAATTTATTTTGTTTTGCTTTTAAATAAAAGATAATGAGAGGTGGCACACGCCTGCAGCCTGAGCTACTCAGGAGGCTGAGATGGGATTGTTTGACACCGGGAGTTTGAGGCCAGCTTGGGCAACACAGCAAAACCCCATCTCAAAAAAAATAAAAAATAAAATAAAGCAAATAAAAAGGAAAGGTAGGGGCAAAGAGAAACCCAAAGGGGCCAGGTGCGGTTGGTCACGCCTGTAATCGCACATTTTGGGACGCCAAGGTGGGTGGGTGGCTTGAGCCCTGGAGTTTAAGACCAGCCTGGGCAATGTGGGGAAACCCTGTCTCTACAAAAAAAATTAGCTGGGCATGGTGGCACACACCTGTAGTCTCAGCTACTCGTGAGGCTGAGGTGGGAGGATCACTTGAGCCCCAGGTCAAGGCTGCAGTGAACCATGACTGTGCCACTGCACCATCCTGTCTTTAAAAAAAAAAAAAAAGAAGAAGAAGAAAAAGGAAAAGAAAAGGAAAGAAATATAACCCAAAGGGAATAAAGAGAGAGAGGGAGGGAGGGTGGGAGGTGAAATAAACGCAAGAGACAAATAGAGTCAGAATGAAAGGTACTTTAGTACCAACACATTAGAAAAGGTGGGACTAAAAGAAAAATGGAACACTAGGGGAAAAAACCAATCAACCAAAGTCAGAGGTACAGGGAGCTACAGGGAAAAGAGACTGGAGACCTGACAGCATAGAACAGACTGAAGAGAATTAGAGGACAAAGTGAAAGCAAAAAAAGCTATTTCCTCCTAAATCTTACACATCAGTTTCCTCCTCTTCCATTCTCCCTCCCACCTCTGCCTTAGCTCAAACCATCTCATACCCAACCCCACACTACACATCTTTTATACTTCAGCTGTACTAGAATGCCTCCTTCACTAATCTTCAAAACTAAGTTCAAACACCACTTTTTCAATGAATATTCAACTTTCCCCAGGCAGAGTTAGCAGTCCTTCTTCCATATTTCAGAACATTTTGTTCTGAAAAACCATCGTAACATTGGGCTGCAATGTGTGTCTCCTCTCCTAGTCTATGGGCAACTCTAGTAGAGGATTCAAAGGTAAAGATGAAAACCTTACTAAAAAGCAGTTCAAAAACTGTACAGCTAGGTACAGTGGCTCACACCTGTAACCCCAACACTTTGGGAGGCTGAGGCAGGAGGGTCACTTGAGTTCAGGAGTTCAAGACCAGCCTGGGAAACATAGTAAAACTCTCTCTCTACAAATAATTTTTTAAATTAGCCAGGTGGGCCAGGCGCAGTGGCTCACACCTGTAATCCCAGCACTTTGGGAGGCCAAGGCAGGCAGATCACCTGGGGTGGGGAGTTCAAGACCAGCCTGACCAACATGGAGAAACCTCGACTCTACTAAAAATACAAAATTAGCTGGGCATGGTGGCACATCCCTGTAATCCCAGCTACTTGGAAGGCTGAGGCAGGAGAATCGCTTGAACCCGGGAGGTGGAGGTTGCAGTAAGCCGAGATTGTGCCATTGCACTCCGCCTGGGCGACAGAGCGAGACTCTGTCTCAAAAAAAAAAAAAAAAAAAAAAAATTAACCAGGTGTGGTGGTGCGCACCTGTAGTCCCAGATAGTCAGGAGGCTCAGGAGGCTGAGGCAGGAGGACTGCTTGAGCCTGGAAAGTCAAGGCTGCAGTGAGCCGTGATCGTGCCCCTGCACTTCAGCCTGGGTGACAGAGCAAGACCTGTCTCAAACAACAACAACAAAAACTGCATGAGTCCACCTCATTTATACCATACCACTAGGATGCTAGAAGCCTTGCTGTTTTAAGGAATTCTACAATGAATCTTTTCAAAAGTACACCCACCCTACCCCTAATTCCTCCCCATATCAACGTTTTATTTTTGTAATGCTTTAAATTTCTCAGTAAATGACTAACCTATAATAGAAAAGGCAGCAATTCCATCAGCAGCCAAAAAAGAAACTGCTTTTATAAAAGGAGCACCTCAAACCCTCAGGACAAAATATTATACTGAAGAAAACATATGTACAACAAGAATCTAAAAAAAAACTGGAGGACAAAAAAAACAGCAAGCTTTACTATCACACTAGTCTTTAAGAAAAAAAACTTTAGGCCAGTGCATTGGCTCACGCCTGTAATCCCAGCACTTTGGGAGGCCAAGGCAGGCAGATCGCTTGAGGTCAGGAGTTCAAGACCAGCCTGGCCAACATGGTGAAACTCTGTCTCTACTAAAAATATAAAAATTAGCCGGGCATGGTGGCAGGTGCCTGTAGTCCCAGCTACTTGGGAGGCTGAGGCAGGAGAATTGCTTGAACCCAGGATGCGAAGGTCGCAGGGGCAGAGATTACACCACTGCACTCCAGCCTGGGTGACAGAGCAAGACTCGCCTCAAAAAAAAAAAGTCAAAAAGAACAAAAATTCTTTTTAATCAAGAAATTAAAAATTAAGAAAAAGAAATCAGCAGGCCAGGTGTGGTGGCTCACGCCTGTAATCCCAGCACTTTGAGAGGCCAAGGCAGGTGGATCACCTGAGGTCAGGAGTTCAAGACCAGCCTGGCCAACATGGCGAAACCCCACCTCTACTAAAAATACAAAAAATTAGCTGAGTGTGGTGACGTGCTCCTGTAATACCAGCTACTCAGGAGGCTGAGACAGGAAAATCGCTTGAACCCAGGAGGCAGAGGTTGCAGTGAGCCGAGATGGCGCCACTGCACTCCAGCGTGGGCAACAGCGTGAGACTCTGTCTCAAAAAAAATAGAGAAGAAGAAATCAGGAAATTTGTGAGGCTTTCATAGGAAATTCTCAAAATCAGTAATACCCAAAAGATATAAAAGTGGTTTTGGTGTTGAAAGGACAGAGTGTAGGATGATTTATGTTGCCAAGAGTTAAGTACGGAAAGCAGTAGTTTAGAAAGCTGTTTAGGAAGGAGAGTTACAATATAGATTTTGGAGGAAAGGTCATAAATTGGTGAAATGCATATAAGGCTTGGCTGGTGATACTACTGCCGCACCCTGCGTCAAACTCGATCCAAATCCTAGCCTACCCCACAGAGGTGAGTCAGACTTATTAGCAAGAATGATTTTACAGGCTGGGCGCGGTGGCTCACACCTGTAATCCCAGCACTTTGGGAGGCCGAGGCGGGCGGATCACGAGGTCAGGAGATCGAGACCATCCCGGCTAAAACGGTGAAACCCCGTCTCTACTAAAAATACAAAAAATTAGCCGGGCGTAGTGGCGGGCGCCTGTAGTCCCAGCTACTTGGGAGGCTGAGGCAGGAGAATGGCGTGAACCCGGGAGGCAGAGCTTGCAGTGAGGCGAGATCCCACCACTGCACTCCAGCCTGGGCGACAGAGCAAGACTCCGTCTCAAAAAAAAAAAAAAAAAAGAATGATTTTACAGTGCCCTCCTTAAAAAAAGACCCTACTATGTAGATGAAAAATTATCCCAAACCTGTATGAAATAAGAGATTCCATCCACATTTGCCAAATAGGACAAATCCAAAGAACAAAGCACAACTTTTTTTTTTTAATACCTGCAAGGAATATTCAACAAGTCTAACTAATGGAGTTCATCTGAAAACAAATTAACAAAGGAACTAAAGAGATTTTTAAACATCATCAAAATAGCTTCTCTAAAAACTTTCTTAAAAGAACGGATCAATTTTAGAATGAAGGCTTTTTGTTTGAACAGACGGTGATTAATTCCTCCTTTCTAACTAAGAAAAGCCCAACATCTCTAATAGTAGACTTTATTACTTTCCAGATAAGCAGTTCTCAGCAATGCATGCATTCATTTAAACAGTTCAAGAGCACTAAAAGGTATCAGGCACAGTGTGAGGCAGTGAATATATAGAAATAAAACACAGACTCTGACCTCAAGGAGCTCATAGTTTAATGGGAAGACAAATAAGCCAGGAGAAAATCGAATCCAGATTTGAGAAGTGGTTTCAAGCAGACCGAAATATTAGCATATTCAAAGTACAAGACTTTAAGAATACAGTAACTAAAAATTTCCCAGTATCCCCTTGTGAGATGGAAAACATCATTAATCCCTACCACTACAAATTAATAAACTGAGATTATCTGTAGTCATCCAGGCAGACCCTAGGTTAGCTAGATCTAGAAACAAGATTGCAGGCCACATGTTTCTCAGTTCATAAAGGTCAATATATTCTCTTTTCTAAACTTTTACGCTTCCACTTGAAATCCAGTTCAAGTCAACAAAAATGGTGAAATATTACATTAAAAATAAAGCAAAAGTTATCAAAAAAATTTAGTATTTCCCAGTTATATTTTTAGATTACGGCATCTCTGCTTCACTAGGCACTTAGCACGACTTGACATTTTCCCTGGAAAAAGAGAGGAGGTAACCTGTATCTTTTTGGGCCTGGAAAAAGCATCCTACTCTCTTTAATTCTTCAAGCATCTCAGGCAATGAGCACTCAATGTCTTAACTTCTAAATTAACTGCATATTTGAATATAAGAACTACATGTGTTGACTATTCACGTGACTATCATCTCTTGAAACAGCTATACAGCTTTGTTAAGGATTATATGCTAAATGTGCTTTGAAACTTCAAGAGGACCATATCCTGAATATATCTTAGGGCCAAAGTTTTTTCAATCAGACTGCATCTCTAAAATCAACAGGATTTATACCAATATTTGCTTTAAACAGCTTTTCAAGAAAACATTTATATGTAAACGAAGGAAAAATACAAAATACAATGTTGCCATATGCTCTTGTACTAAAAATTCTCTTCAAGGCAGGAGACTGTACAATCTGCAAATGCTCAAATGTACCTAAAGTGTCTATTTGTATATTCTGAAATACCTTAACATCTAAGTACTTAAAACTCAGTGACTGGGCCAGATGTGGTGGTTCACGCCTGTAATCCCAGCACGTTGGGAGGCTGAGGCGGGCAGATCAGGAGGTCAGGAGATTGAGACCAGCCTGGCCAACACAGTGAAACCCCGTCTCTACTAAAAATACAAAACTTGGCTGGGCACGGTGGCAGGCGCCTGTAATCCCAGCTACTCAGAAGGCTGAGGCAGGAGAATCGCTTAAACCCGGGAGGCGGAGGTTGCAGTGAGCCGAGATCGTGCCACTGCACTCCAGCAGGGGGGACAGAACTAGACTCTGTCTCAAAAAACGAACAAACAAAAAACCTCAATGACTGATGTCTTACAACAGGGGCTGACAAACTATAGCCGTGGAAGCACAAATAGAGGCACAGCCTGACCTTGTAAATAAAGTTTTATTGGAATAGAGCCCAAAAATATGTAGAACATATTTTCTACAGCTGTTTCCATGCTACAGATTCAAAGTTGAGTAGTTGTGGCAGAGACTGGAAGGCTGAAAAAGCCTAAATATTAACTATTTGATCCTGTTCCAAAAAAAAAAAAAAAGTCTGTCAACCCTTGTCTTAAAATAATCAGAACCAATTATCTGACAAATTTATGTCTCGTCTAAGAGTTTACCTATCCCGAAATGAGCTACTGAATATGGTGAAAGTGTCAGTGAATTGTTCCTCAAAAAAATCCAAGTTCAACCCTACTTGGAAACAAGCGACTGCTAATTCATTTCAAAATCACATAACTAGAGGGGGCACGGTGGCTCATACCTGTAATCCCAGCTCTTTGGGAGGCCAATGCGGGCGGATCATTTAAGATTAGGAGTTCAAGACCAGCCTGGCCAACTTGGTGAAACCTTGTCTCTACTGAAAATACAAAAATTAGCTGAGCATAGCGGTGCACGCCTGTAATCCTAGCTACTCGGGAGGCTGGGGCAGGATAATCGCTTGAACCCAGGAAACGGAGGTTGCAGTGCGCCAGGATCACGCCACCGGACTCCAACCTGGGCAACGCAGTTAGACTCCGTCTCAAAAAAAAAAAAAAACATATATATATATATGTATTTTTTAAATAAATATATAGATGCCGATCTTGACTGAAAATTAAGCTTTAAAAGCAAACAGTGATTTCAGTTCTCTTTATCTTTTAAAAACTGAGTTATATTAACAGAATCAACACACAAACTTACTGTACTTCACTGTCACTTGTATTTAACCACCACCAGGAACCATGCTAGTTATTCCTTTACTTCTTACACTAGTATCCCAGAACCCACACACATCCACCCTGTAAACTAAGTAGACACCCTGTAAACTAAGTAGAACATTGTCTATATAAAAGCTTGCTTTCACCTGCCATGACAGAGAATGATGGTAAATGGAGCATCCAGACTCTCTTCGGGAGCTATTTAGCCTCTTCTATGCTTATGAATATAAAAAACCCAAAGCTGATATACCAGTCATATGAAGGAATTATACCCAAATAAGTTCTATTGCATCTATTTGCCATTCTTAGAATAAGAGAGCATTATATAAGCAATGCTGATTGACTTTATCAACCGATGCAACAGTGAAAACTGCCTGGAATATTCTAAGTATCAATGAAAAGTGTTTATTTTTATTTTCACTATACTTCTCTGTTAAACTAATTAGGGCATTGTAAGGGCTAGGGTTCCAAAAGCAACACAATGCCACCTGATAAAATAAGAATTGATAGGCCAGGCGCGGTGGCTCACGCCTGTAATCCCAGCACTTTGGGAGGCCAAGGCAGGCAGATCACCTTAGGTCAGGAGTTCAAGACCAGTCTGGCCAACATGGTGAAACCCCGTCTCTACTAAAAATACAAAATTAGCCGGGCGTGGTGGTGGGCGCCTGTAATCCCAGCTACTCAGGAGGCTCAGGCAGGAGAATTGCTTGAACCCGGGAGGCGGAGATTGCAGTGAGCCGAGATCTTCCCACTGCACTCCAGCCTGGGCGACAAGGGCGAAACTCCGTCTCAAAAAAAAAAAAAAAAGAAAAAAAAGAAAAAGAAGAACTGATAAATAAGCTAATACCCTTATTTACTGCAAAAGTTATACGTAAGAATTCAAGTTTATCAAATAATCAGGGATTACGTTTTTATGTATCATTATTAACAGAACTGAGTCAGTCATGCCAAAGTACTACAAAAATTGATGAATCAGGCCGGGCGCAGTAGCTCACACCTGTAATCCCAGAACTTTGGAAGCTGAGGTGGGTGGATCACCTAAAGCCAGAAGTTCGAGACCAGCCTGACCAGCACGTGGTGAAACCCCGTCTCTATTAAAAACACAAAAAATTAGCCAGGCATGGTGGCACGCGCCTGTAGTCGCAGCTACTCGGGAGGCTGAGGCAGGAGAATTGCTAGAACCCGGCAGGCGGAGGTTGCAGTGAGCCGAGATCGTGCCATTGCACTCCAGCCTGGGCGACAGACGGAGACTCCGTCTTAAAAAAAAAAAAAAAAAAAAAAAAAAAGAGGCTGGGCGCGGTGGCTCACGCCTGTAATCCCAGCACTTTGGGAGGCCGAGGGGGGCGGATCACGAAGTCAGGAGATCGAGACCGTCCTGGCTAACATGGTGAAACCCCGTCTCTACTAAAAATACAAAAAAAATTAGCCGGGCGTGATGGCGGGCGCCTGTAGTCCCAGCTACTCCGGAGGCTGAGGCAGGAGAATGGCGTGAACCCGGGAGGCGGAGCTTGCAGTGAGTCGAGATCTGGCCACTGCTCTCCAGCCTGGGCGACAGAGCGAGACTCCGTCTCAAATTAAAAAAAAAAAAAAAATTGATGAATCAGTTACCAATTATTCTTTTTCTCCAACTAATAAAATAGAAGATAATGCAAATTCTTAATACAGCTAACTCTGATTAGCCCCTGCATGATCTATCTAAGGCATGTTCTTACGCCTAAGTACTTAACCAAAGATGCCATCAAGAGCTTGGTACCCTTGACAATACCAACGTAGCCACAGGTTGTAATCCGATGTAAACACAAACCTAAATTAAGCATTTAACAAGGCCAAAAGGATGCCAAAATAACCATAATACAATTAGATTAAAATAAGTTATTTTCGAATTATTCATACCATTTTTCCCTGCCTCTGGTGTATATCCTATTTTGGATTAAAAGATTAAAGATATTTAAAAGTACAATCAAGTGACAACTAGTTTACGACAGATCACAAGATTTACACCCAAGTCTTGTTTTCTGCTTTAAAAAAAAAAAAAGAAATTCCAGGCCTTGATCCTATTTTTCACCTGCAGGGTATTCGCAAGAAAAGTCCCAAAGAACCTTCGAAACTAAATAACTTCCTGTGGGCTCAGTTTTCTCAAGAAGCTGATTAATGTGGACTACCAACTTATGTTAGCAAGAGGGGCAAATTACTACTAAGACTAGGACAAGCACGGGGCCTAATCTTTAAAAGGCATCCTGATGAGAAAAAAAAAAAAAAAGAAACCCCGCCCAGCCCTCAACTTGCTCGGCTTTTCTAGTCCCGTTTTCTTTTACAAAACTTCCCCTTCACTGCCTGTCTCTTATCTGAGGCCTGGTACAGAAATTCAGACCGCTATTTATCCAAGTACCTCCTTAAGGTAGTCTTAAGGCTCAAGCCAGCTCAGAAACGGCAGAAAGACTTGCTTTCTTGGGTTAAAGGAGGGCGATTACAGGGTTTGGCGGCCAGGTCTGTCAGGAAGCATAGGGCCGAGAAAGAGGGAGAATCCAGAGACTGAGCTCCATCTAGTCCCAGGAACCACCCCCAGGGGAGGCTTGACTGCCCTCGGTACTTCCCTGCCTCCTCAGCTCGTGTGAGGAGAAAGGCGGGTCGAGGTCAGGCTCCCCTGAGCTACTTCCTGGTCCGATCGGACTCGCCTTCGGACACCCGAAACACCCCCGGCCCGGCTCCCTCGCCCTTTGCCCTGTCTCCTCCCCTCTCAGTGACCCACCACCACTGGTCCCCTCCCATCTAACATGGCTGCCCCGCCCGGCCCACCTCCGGCACAGCCTAACCAATTAGTGGCCCCCCCGCGGCACCGCCTCCCCCACGCCCATTGGTGCAGAAGTCTCCATCCGCCCGCTCCATTGGACGCCAGAGCCTGCCACTCAGCTCTGAGGGCTCCGCCCCTCAGCCGCTTCAAGCTGCTTTGAGAAGACATATAAACAAATCCCGGGAGGGAGGCCCCTCGCCCGTCGCCTCTGAGGCGGGGACAGAAGGGGGAGCGGCTACCCCCGAGACGCCCTGCTCGGACCCCCCTAGCCCCAGCCCGCGCCTCTTCGTCTCCTGCCAGCCTGGCTCCAACCTCCGCGGCCCCGGCCCTTCCTCACACGCCCCTCTCTCCCCTCCTCCCCCGCCAGTCTCGCCTCCCCTCCCCTCCCGGGCCCCTCCCACCCGCTCTCTTCTCTGACAGGCCGACTGCCGGCAGCAGCGGCCCCGGGCTCGGAGGCAGCGGGGAAGGGCCGGGCGGCCCGGCAGGACGGACGCCCGGCGCTGCCCATCCCCGGCCTAGCCTACTGCCCGCCCGCGAGTCCCATCTACCGCCGCCCCGCGCTTTTATGTAACCGTCCCGGGCCGGGGGTGGGGGAGGGGAGCGGAGCCCCCGTGACCTGCAGGCGGTGGCCCAAGGCCCGCGCGCCCTAGCACTCGGCCGTGGTCCCGGCCCCCGCCCCGCGCCGGCCCGGCCCAGAGCCCCAGCGCTGCTGCCTCCTAGGCAAGCGGCCCTCCGCCCCCCGTTCCGCTCTTCCCCCAGCCCAGGCCCCTGGGGGTTCCGAGCAGCGGGTGGCGGCGCTCACCTGTGGGTGTAGGGGCGGCTCAGGGACTGGGTCCGGTTCCGCTGCAGGGGCCACGGCCCCTCTCCATGCTGCCTCGGGTTTGTTTTGTTTATGTCCTTCCTGACGGGTTCCCGGAAATCGCGTGACTCGCCCCCCTCACGTGGGCCGCGGCGAGGAGGAGGAGGGAGGCGGGGGCCCGCCGGCCTCGGGCCAATCGCGAGGCGTTCCACAGCCCGGCCAATCAGGGGCTGAGTCCGGCCGGGCACCCCTGTCACGTGTCGCCGGAGGGGCGGGTTGCCGGGAAAAACCAGGAAGAGAGGGCGGAGCGGGGGCTCGGTGCCGGCCTCTGCAGTGTGGGCGTGGGCCGTCTGCGATACCCGGCAGCACGCCCAGGATGGGAGAGGATGTTCCTTTTTACAAAGGCTTCAAATCTAGCGTTTTATCAGATCTCAGAACTGCGCTGTGAGGCATGAGGTGTCCTTTTGCCCATTTTGTAGTTTAAGTTCACTGAAACTTGAAGTGGCTAACTTGATTAGTAGGGGGATTGTATCGATGTCATGGGTGATGGACCTTCTCCCCATCTGAACGTCTTAATTAAGTGAGAGACAAACCTTGCCTTTTGTCGTTCGTTCATTCATTCACCGACTCAATATTTATTTAGCACGGATTCCGAGGCACAGGGATCAATCAGACTGCGTGCACCTTTGAAGAGAGAGACCCGTATACGACTGTACAACCAGAATGCCACTACTACAGAAGCGCCTAGACAAACAAACCTCCGTGACACATGGTCGTTTTCTTGCACTTACTGATCCTCTTAATAACAACAGCGTCCCTTTATTGAACGAGTGCTATATGGTGGGCTTATCATCTCAATTAGTTTTCCCTGCAAGCACATGCAGTAGTAATATATCCATTTTTCAGACAGGAAAATTAAGACTGAGAGGAGTTAAGTTACTTGCCCGAGGTCAGGCAGCTAGTAAGTGAGCTAGCTAGGGCTGGAGCCCTTGTCTTTTATCACAGCCTATTCTTCCAGATGCTTTTTATACATCTTAAAGGCACGGAATTGATCTGAACACACAACAGAAATTTGATTTTAGTAAGCACAGGGAAAGGAAGACGGGAATAAAGACACCTGCCCAGGTTTCTGTTAGGAGGAATCGCCTTTGAAAATGTGACTCCCTTTTGCACAGATTTAGAGAAGTAGTATAGTGTCATTGTCAAAACCATGGACTTTGGAATCAAAAAGACCCACAGATCATAATCATCAGGAGAGCAGGGACTGGGCAGTGTTTATCCTGTAACTTCCATGCCCGGCACATAGACAGTCATTACATACTGGTTGAATGAATAGTCTGGATTTGAATCCTTGTTTCACCACGTGTAAAGCAACACAAATTAACCTCTGTGAAGCTCAATTTCCTCCTCTGTTAGTACCTTCTGGGGTTGATGTGAGAACTAAGTGAAATAATTCATATAAAGCACTTATCATAGTGCCTGGCATATAGTAAGCACTCAATCAATAGTTGAATTATTAAATTGTTTAAGGGCATCATTTGGAAGATGTACTGTAGACTAAATAGCAAGTACAGATAACTTTAGACTTTAGCAGGTTAACAGCCACTAAAATAATACTTCTGTACACAAAATGAATAGATAACTATATGTAGATACCTAACAGGAAACTAAAAGCATAAATCTCTCCTCTGTAGCCGCCACAATACCAACCACATAGTAGGGCCTCCATGCCCAATGAAGGAATGAGTATTTCCCCTACTGCAAAGTGAGTACCAGGATTATAATTTTTTTAAATCTAACACATACCACATTCTAATTTTCCACATCAGCTGGAATTTAAAATTGAAAAAGAGGAAAACTAGCTGGGAAGTTTGAGGCAGGTTACCCCGACTCGTTCACATGAGATTCATGCATCAAATCTCCCCGGCATACATGACAGACCATCCTCTCTTGTAACACTATATTTGAAAAAGCTCCAGCAGATGGTTAGACCTTCCATTGTTACACTGCTATCTGGACACGGGCACGTTCATCTCCTCTACTGGGCAGTTCCTTGGGGTCAGGGGGCAGCCAGGTTTATCTCCTAGCGTGAGGCTCCGCCCACTGAAGGTGTTTACTAGTGAGTTACATTGGATTCCCACATTTCCCTCTTCCGTCGTCTTGGAAAGGATGAGGTTTTGGCTAAAGGAGACCTTTCCATCAAGGTTTGTTAATGACTATATCCTGCTCCAAAATGAATGAAATCACTGGCTCTGAATTGATTTGTGTTTCTCTGGGTTTTATCCTGCCAGATTCTGTCACAGTCAAAGTTGGCAGGAAGTTGGAACTCTGTAACATCATTGGCTTCTTGTTCTAGCCACAAAGTAGTAACCAACTGGCATCGCCACTTCCAAAGTGTTTAACCTGGTTCCTGCGGAATAATTTACATTCTGGAATAGCATGAGTCAGCAAAACACGCTTTACACAAATATGATACAATGGGGGAAACAAACCAAGAACTCCTTTTAATTCTTTTTTTTTTTTTTTTTTTTTTTTTTTGAGACAGAGTCTCGCTCTTTCGCCCAGGCTGGACTGCAGTGGCGCTATCTCGGCTCACTGCACGCTCTGCCTCTCGGGTTCACTCTATTCTCCTGCCTCAGCCTCCTGAGTAGCTGGGACCACAGGTGCCCGCCAACACGCCCAGCTAATTTTTTGTGTTTTTAATAGAGACGGGGTTTCACCGTGTTAGCCAGGATGGTCTCCATCTCCTAACCTCGTGATCCGCCTGCCTCGGCCTCCCAAAGTGCTGGGATTACGGGCGTGAGCCACTGCGCCCGGCCAAATTCTTAAAATAATTTTTTTATTTTCGATTACCTAACATATATAGATGGTACAAAATTCAAAAGGCACAAGAAAGTATTCAGTGAATATCAAGTCTCTGTCCTGTTGCTGTTTCTTGGCTACTCATTTTCCCTTCCAGAGGCAACCACAGTTACCCACATTCTGTGTCTTCTTCCAGAGATATCCTTTGTATGTGCAGGCATTTTACCTACTTTAAACCTTCATGTGTTTGGAACACTGTTCTTGGAGCCAAGACCCCTATTTGAGCTTTACCACTAACTATAAGATCCAAGGTGACCTCTCTGAGTTCCAGTTTCTTCACCACAAGGGATCAAAAGTAAAACTGGGTATTCTCTATGATCTTTTTAACTTCAACACTGAGCGCACATCCTGAAAGAATTAAAATGGTTGGCACAGGTCCTAACTTTCCATATGACCTGTAGGTCATAACTTTGCGCTGTGTGTAAATCTTCATTACAGTAGATTGAGCTCTGCCTGCTGCTCACATAGACATCTTTTAAGAGAGTGTTATCATTTCAAGTCTAAATGTTTTCTTTCCGGACCCCTCTAGGCCTGTGTGATTTGTTAAATAAGACTTCACAGCTTTAGAAGTGAGATTAATTAACTCAAAGCTGGAAGATCTCCAGGAAAAGCTGTGTCCTTCTGACACTAAAAACTGATTTTCTTTCTGAGAAGACTGGAGTGAATTGAAAAGAGATACTGATTGATGGTTAGCAATTGGCCTCTATCCTTCATTCATCTTACCAAAAATATTATTTGGGGCTGGGCATGGCGGCTCATGCCTGTAAACCCAGTACTTTGGGAGGCCGAGGCGGATGGATCACTTGAGGTCAAGAGTTCAAGACCAGCCTGACCGACATAGTGAAACCCCGTCTCTACTAAAAATACAAAAATTAGCCGGGCGTGATGGCAGGTGTCTGTAATCCCAGCTACTCGGGAGGCTGAGGCAGAAGAATCGCTTGAACCTGGGAGGCAGAGGTTGCAGTGAGCTGAGATCACACGCCATTGCACTCCAGCCTGGGCAACAAGAGCAAAACTCACCAAAGGAAAACTCCGTCTCAAAAAAAAAGAAAAAAAAATTATTTGGGCTGGTCCAAAGGCAATGAATTATCTCAATTGTTCATAGTTAGTTACAGGTGGAACTCCTTGTTCTGCTCTTTTGCCTGACTACTGCACTTGACTAATGTTAAAAAAATGAAATAAAATAATTCTTTGGGGGAAGAAGAAAGGTCAGTTCTTCCCACTTCCTGATCTCTCAAGAGGATGCAGTGTTCTTCGTGTGACAGCTCTGAGCCTTGGTTTCTTACTTCCACAGAAAGCACTACAATTGGTCCCAAATATCCTTCTCTAGTCTCCCATTTATTTACCCTGATTCCTCATTCCACCCCATTTCGCATACCTAGCACCAGTCCTGCCGTAGGATAGGAGCCTGCTTGTGTTCTGAATGGACAGATTAATATCTAAATTCTGTTCAACCTCCATGGCTCAAGATCTCACCTCTTTCATGGAATCTATTTCTACCATGTCTATTTCTGCCCTCCTTAATCTCCTTTCCTCTACCGCCGAACTAAGCACTTAATGTACTTACTGCTTTGTATTATTCATATCGTGTGTTGATATTATTTCTTCAATAAAATCACATGGGCATAAACACAAATCCTTGAGTTATGAAGAAAGAATGCAAAGCACTTCATTAGATAACCATCTTCCAGCCTGTGTTTAGTGATGGGCGGGGGTTAGGAATAGGAAAGGGAGAGAAATAAACTGACATCTGTGGAGTGCCTAATGTGTGCACTGAAGATACAATCCTTGCCCTGGAGGAACTCAGAACCTAGTGGAGGAGACTGACCCCACAATCCAACCAGAGTTCATCAGAAGGGAGCCGTTAGAGGGTTGTTAAGAGCAGGACACATATGCATTTCAGCACCACCTTTTTGCTAGAAAAACTTACTTGGATAAGTAACTAACCTGTCTGTTCCTTAATTCTGTAATAACTTGCCTCACAGTTATTGATTCTGAGGATTAAATGCAGGACCTGATGCATAATAGATACCCCCAGCTGGGCATGGTGGCTCACGCCTGTAATCACAGCATTTTGGGAGACTGAGGCAGAAGGATTCCTTGACCCAGGCGTTTAAGACCAGCCTGAGCAACATGGGGAAACCCTGTCTGTATTTAAAATAAAATTTAGACCGGGCACAGTGGCTCACGCCAGTAATCCCAGCGATTTGGGAGGCTGAGGCGGGCAGATCACAAGTTCGAGTTTGAGACCAGCCTGGCCAACATGGTGAAATCCCCGTCTCTATTAAAAATAGAAAAATTTTGCTGGGCGTGGTGGCAGGCGCCTGTAGTCCCAGCTACTTGGGAGGCTGAGGGAGGAGAATTGCTGGAACCCGGGAGGTGGAGGTTGCAGTGAGCCGAGACTGCACCACTGCACTCCAGCCTGGGCAACAGAGTGAGACTCAGTCTCAATCAATAAATAAATAAATTTTAAAAATAGATGCCCCCCACCTTCTCCACTTTCCAGGGAGGAATGTGCCTGGAAGCTTCTTAGTAGAGAACCAGCAGAGAAGGGAAAGTAGCATGGCAAAGAGAAGGCAGCCAGCGACTCAGAGGGCTTTGGGATTCCGTTGTCTTCCAAGGCAGCATTCCTCTCAAAATTGTTTTGACTGTTTCACTAAGACTGGAAACTCCTAGGACAACTAATAGCTGCTATGGCTTTTTTGTTTTGTTTTATCTTGTCAGTGCTGAGCTGAACATACACTGGTAGTATCAGCAACTCTAACTGATAGCAAACCAGGAAGCTAAGGAGTGAGAACAACCTAGCATTTGTTGTAGAAAATACTCCCAAATGATAGGTACAGTAAGGCATTCTGTTGATGAGGTCAGAAGTAGGACGATAAAAACAGAAAGTGGAGGAACAGATCGATGAGAAGATCAAGACCTGTAGCCTTGAGAATAATTTGTTGAAATACAAACGGAGGCGTGGACCAAAGAAGCCAATCCGATGAACACAGTGAAGCTGGATTCCCAAGTGAAGGAAGTCAGCTGTTCAGAGAGGCTGCTGAAGTTCAGAGAATTGATGATGAAGTTAGGGCATCCTATTATCCAAAGTATTTTTTTAACCCACAAATCCACAAAGTCATAGATTTCCCTCACGTGACAGCAAAACTTGGGACTATGGCCAACAGTTTTTTTTGAGTTTTCATCTTGTTTTCACAAGGTCCAGAATCCAAGATGAAAAGTATAACATAAATGGGTACAACATTCTGGAACCGCAACAGTGGGACATAAAGCACATCAACAGACCTGAATGCAAGCTGTAGCTCCTGTCCTATGTTAAGAGAGGCAGTACCAGGAGGAAGGACCAAGTCTCCTTCTCATTACTCGGTCCCCATAACTCAGGATCTACCAACGGATAAAGCCAGACGGATTCTGGCCACAGGTGAGCTGGCTACAGCCCTTTCCTGATGCCATGACGACCCATCAGCATGACAGCCAGTCTTAGGCTGGGTGTGGTGGCTCACACCTGTAATCCCAACATTTTGGAAGGCTGAGGCAGGAGGATCCCTTGAGACCAGACGTTCAAGACCAGCCTGGGCAACATAACGAGACCTTGTCTCTACAAAAAATTTAAAAATTAGTGGGGTGTGGTGGCACATGCCTGTAGTCCCAGCTACTCGGGAGGCCGAGGTGGGAAGACCGCTTGAGCCCAGGAGGTTGGGGTTGCAGTGAGCTATAATCACACCACTGCACTCCAGCCTGAGCAATAGTCTCAAAAAAATAGCCGGGCGCAGTGGCTCACGCCTGTAATCCCAGCACTTTAGGAGGCTGAGGCGGGCGGATCACCTGAGGTCGGGAGTTCGAAACTAGTCTGACCAACATGAGGAAACTCCGTCACTACTAAAAAATATAAAATTAGCCGGGGGTGGTGGCACATGCCTGTAATCTCAGCTACTCGGGAGGCTGAGGCAGGAGAATCACTTGAACCCGGGAGGCGGAGGTTGCGGTGAGCCAAGATGGCATCATTGCACTTCAGCCTGGGCTACAAGAGTGAAACTCTGTCTCAAAAAATAAATGAATAAATAAATAATATAAAGAGGGGGCCTCTTGTCTACTCACCCGGTCACCTCGCCCCAGCTTGGCGAAAGAAGAAACCATCTTTGGGAAAATTGGGAGTAATGGTGGGACTTGAAGTAGGGATTAGGACAAAGTAGAGGGTGGTTCTCCCCTCCTCCTAACAAAGGGTGTATTGACACAGGTTCAGGCTCCTGTGAACACCATGGGAGAAGGGAGGACCCAGTACGTGGGTTTTTTGTCTCCTCTCTGGGTGAGGAACAGAGGGGTTGGGAGTATTAAGAAGGCAGGAAATGTGTAATACTGCTTTCTGCCCTGCCCCAATCCAATTAAAATCTGGTGAAGCATAAGGCAACTAATATAACTAAAACTGTCCCCACGGGGTTGACAAGAATTGTGTGCCAGATTCTGAACAGAAATATAATTAAGCAATCATCAGGCTGCCCTCTGGCCCCACTTCCTTGTTGCTAAAAGTCATGGAGCATGGCAGGGCTCAGTAGCTCATGCCTGTAATCCCAACACTTTGGGAGGCAGAGGTGGGCGGATCACCTGAGGTCAGGAGTTCAAAACCAGCCTGTCCAACATGGTGAAACCCCATCTCTACTAAAAATACAAAAATTAGGTGGGCGTGGTGGCGCATGCCTGTAGTCCCAGCTACTTGGGAGGCTGAGGCAGGAGAATTGCTTGAACTCGGGAGGTAGAGGTTGCAGTGAGCCGAGATTGTGCCACTGCGCTCCAGCCTGGGCAACAGAGTGGGACTCCATCTCAAAAAAAAAAAAAAAGTCATGGAGCACTAGACACTGACCATTTGCATCCCTGTTGTTGCTACAGGTAGGACTTCTGACATCAGGGCCATAAGACCGCTTAAGAATTGATTTCCAGCCGGCCGTGGTGGCTCATACCTGTAATCACACTTTGGGAGGCTGAGATGGGCAGATCATGAGGTCAGGAGTATGAGATCAGCCTGGCCAATATGGTGAAACCCGGTATCTACTAAAAATTCAAAAATTAACTGGGCTTGGAGGCAGGTGCCTGTAATCCCAGCTACTCCGGAGGCTGAGGCAGGAGAATCACTTGAATCCAGGAGGCAGAGTTTGCAGCGAGCTAAGATCGTGCCACTGCACTCCAGCCTGGGCAACTCTGTCTTTAAAAAAAAAAAAAAATTGATTTCCATCCCCATTGTTCCTATAGACAGGATCTCTGACATTAGAATCATAAGACTTTTGTTTAAGGCTCACTTAAGATGTTTTCCAGACCCCAACTCCAGCTCCCAGTTTGAAGACCCCCACAGAGGAACGGGATCAGCATGACAACCCAGCTTCTTCAGCTCTCTGTCCCATGACTTCAGTCTGCACTCTTCAACCCATCAGCCATCTCCACACTTTGGCCCACTCCAAAACCCTTAAAAACCCTAGCCCCAAACTCCTCAGGGAAATGGATTTAAACAAGGGTCCTCTCCTTGTTTCATGACCCTATGATTAAACCTGTTTGTCTGCTGCAACCTGGTGTCACGATGTATTTATTGACTTGCTGTGTGCATCAGGTAGTGAACCTATAACAGTTGAGATGGGAGAGTTCCCTGAACCCCTTCGGGGGACTTGTGACAGGGGCGTGGCTTGCTTACTCAAACCCCTTGCTGGAGGGAGAGCACACAGGTGAGCGGGTGCTGGGGCCAGGGCGAGCGCTTTTGGACTCAGGCCCCATGGTAGCCTCTAGGGGTGTGTTACAATTAATGCTCTTTTAGCCCTTGCCGTCCGTGGACAGTTAAGTGTTAACCAGCTCAGTGGAGAGTCAGGGTGACAGCCTTTTACACCCTGCCCTCTTGGCACCTGGGTTCTTGTCCAGCATCCAGGAAGAATCAGGTCACACAGACTTGAAGGATGGTGAATGTGGAGGTTTTATTGAGAGATGAAGGTGGCTCTCAGCGGGATGGGGAGGAGGAAAGTGGATAGAGTGGGAAGGAGTTTGGCTGCAGACTAAGCAGCTGACCAGCTGCCTCTTTGACGTTCAGATGCTTCTTCTCTTCTCTCCTCTGCCGCACTGTTCTGCTTTTCTGCCAGTGGAGTTTGGGGTTCTTATGGGTACAGGATGGGGGGTCTGGCAGGCCAGGGTGGTTTTGGAAAAAGCAACATTTAGATGGGAAAACAGGGATGTGAAGTTCTCATTTAGGGCCCCAGGCCCGGGGTTGTGGGTGGGCCTTTGCCAGAGAACCGCTCTCTTCTACCCAGTATTTCCCTGCCTCCTGTCCTTATCACAGTTACATAATGTCCTTAGGCGCTGGCACACAATAAGCACTAGGTAAAAGATGGCTATTGTTGGGCCGGGCACAGTGGCTCATGCCTGTAATCCCAGCGCTTTGGGAGGCCGAGGCAGGTAGATCATGAGGTCAGGAGTTCGAGACCAGCCTGACCAGCATGGTGAAACCCTGTCTCTACTAAAAATACAAAAAATTAGCTGGGCATGGTGGCACGGTGGCACGCACCTGCAGTCCCAGCTACTCAGGAGGCTGAGGCAGGATAATTGCTTGAACCAGGCAGGCGGAGGTTGCACTGAGACAAGATCATGCCATTGCACTCCAGCCTGGGTGACGTTGTTATTGTTAATAACCACGGCTCTGAACTTGGCTTCGGGTCTGACGAAAGTCATAGACTTGCTCTCCAGGAAAACACACACGAATATACACACCCCTAATTGTGCAGGTGCTTTCAGGGGGTTTACAGATAGGTGTGGATCCCAATTAGGACCTGCTGATTGACTAGAGAGTCTCCTTATAATATGCAGTACTAGCTGCATAATTTGTGGGGCTAAGTGCAAAATGAAAATGCAGGGACCTTGTTCAAAAATTACTAAGAATTTCAAGGCTGGGCGCTGTGGCTCAGGCATGTAATCCCAGCACTTTGTGGGGACAAGGCAGGCAGATCACCTGAGGTCAGTAGTTCGAGACCAGCCTGACCAACATGGAGAAACCCCATCTCTATTAAAAATACAAAATTAGGCCAGGCACAGTGGCTCACGCCTGTAATCCCAGCACTTTGGGAGGCCGAGGTGGGCGGATCACAAGGTCAGGAGATCGAGACCATCCTGGCTAACACGGTGAAACCCCGTCTCTACTAAAAATACAAAATTTTAGCCAGGCATGGTGGCGGGCGCCTGTAGTCCCAGCTACTCGGGAGGCTGAGGCAGGAGAATGGCGTGAACCCGAGAGGTGGAGCTGGCAGTGAGCCGAGACCACGCCACTGCACTCCAGCCTGGGTGACAGAGTGAGATGCCATCTCAAAAAAAAAAAAAAAATACAAAATTAGCCAGGCATGGTGGCGCATGCCTGTAATCCCAGCTACTTGGGAGGCTGAGGCAGGAGAATCACTTGAACCCAGGAGGCGGAGGTTGCGGTGAGCTGAGATTGCACCGTTGCACTCCAGCCTGGGCAACAAGAGCCAAACTCCATCCCCCCGCCCCCACCACCACAAAAAAAAATTGCTAAGAATTTCAATACAAGAGCAGAGCATCAAACCCAGTGCAGGGGCCTTCTAAGCAAGGGGCCCTGTGTGACTGCCCCATGAAATTCACCCTCTAAGATGTTAGAGGTCCAGGTCAGACAGTTTTACCATCCTTTAAGAAAACTCAATACCTAGAGACTGGAATTAAAAAAAAAAAAAAAGGTGATCTCTCACAAGACTTTTTTTTCCAAGCCAACTTGCAGTGAATGAACATTTACTGAACAGCTTTTTGTGCAAGATGGTAGGGATCAAACTCGAACAAACAAGGGATCCTGCCCAGTAAAGCTTCTGCAGCCCCTGGGAAAGACAGAGTTATGTACAACTGTGATAACGGAGATAAGCAAAGGTTGCTGTGGGAAGCAAACAGCGCACACCTCTGGAGGGAAGGAGGCGGGGCACTGCCTCCAGGACATGCCCCTGGAGCTGAGCTGAGAGGGGTGAAACTTTCCAGGCAGAGGCAGGTGAGATGAGGCGATGCTTTCTCAGGGACCTGCACCGTCTATCCACATGCAATGTAACACTGGAAAATCCCATTCCGACCCCATGCTTCAGAAACGCTGGCAGAGAGCATGAAGTGCTCACCCTCCCTGGGACTTGCAGGTGCCGGCCCCCTTGGGCAACTCAGGAAAATCAAGGAAGGCCCCTTTATTGCATGAGGGCATTGAAGTGTCACCGGAAAAAAAAAAAACACAAAGAACTACCTTTGGGTCTGATAGTCTGCCCCAAAGGCAGGGGATTAGCAATTCCAACCCTGTCTTGTGGGGAGCTGTGGAGAGAGGGGAGCTGGAATCCCAGGGATGGCAGGAAATTCATTCTGAGGACATTCAGAACCACAAGACCCTGCCCGTTCCCAGGTAGTAGGTTTAGGATTCTCCAAATGGCCTCTGGCCTCATTTTCAGAAAGCTATTGGCTTCTTAATGGAAGGTATTAGAAGAACCATGTGACCTTTTGGGGCTAGGAACAACCATAGGCACTGAAAGGTTGAAGGTGTGGCCAAGAAACTAAGGCTACAAGACCGTCATCGATGGGTAAAGTGAGGAATTTTACCTCAGAAAAATGGAGCCTCAGTGACAGCCCTGAACCCTAAAGTCGGACTCCCCTGGGTTTAAACCCCATTTCCTCTAATTAACACTGTTAAATAAACCATTATAGGAGGCCATTGTTTTGGAATAAGCTCCTGCATTAGGCCCCGACAGACCAGGCTAAAAATCAAAATGGAGGGCCGGGCACGGTGGCTGACGCCTGTAATCCCAGCACTTTGGGAGGCTGAGGCAGGCGGATCACCTGAGGTCAGGAGTTCGAGACCAGCCCCAACATGGCGAAACCCCGTCTCTACTCAAAATACAAAATTAGCCGGGCGTGGTGGTGCATGCCTGTAATCTCAGCTACTCAGGAGGCCGAGGCAGGAGAATTGCTTGAAACTGGGAGGCGGAGGTTGCAGTGAGCCGAGATTGCGCCATTGCACTCCAGCCTGGGCAACAAGAGCGAAACTCCATCTCAAAAAATAAAAATAAAAAATAAAAATGGAGTCAGCCATGTTAAAGTTCCAGATCACCAAACCTGAAGAGTTTTCTGACCTTGCAAGAAATCAAGAGAGACAGACAACAACCAATTTCCCAAGAAGACCAGTTCCAATCTTCAATCAGTATGATAAGGGAAGTTCCTCTGCCTTAATCCTTTTTTTTTTTTTGAGACAGAGTCTCGCTCTGTCACCCAGGCTGGAGTGCCGTGGCGCGATCTCTGCTCACTGCAAGCTCCACCTCCCGGGTTCACGCCATTCTTCTGCCTCAGCCTCCTGAGTAGCTGGGACTACAGGCGCCCACCATCACACCCGGCTAATTTTTTTATATTTTTAGTAGAGACGGGGTTTCATCGTGTTAACCAGGATGGTCTCGATCTCCTGACCTCGTGATCCACCCGCCTCGGCCTCCCAAAGTGCTGGGATTACAGGCGTGAGCCACCGCGCCCGGCTGCCTTAATCCTTAAACCAAAAAGGTATCCTGAAGTAAACCAATGTTACTAACCAGTGACATTCCTATTGTTCTGTCTAAAAGTAACTAATATGCTCTGTTCCTTCCTTCTGCTTTCTCCAGCCCCTCTCTGTGTGTATAAAGCCAAGCTCTTCTGCTCAGCTCTTTGGGACTTACTGTTTTATGGAATGAAGTGTTGCCTGATTCTAGAATTGCAAATAAAGCCAATTGAAATCTTTAAACTAGTTTGTTATAATTTGGTTTTTTGACAACAGCTTGGAACATTGGGCCTCAATTTCTTCATCTATAAAATGAAGATAATAAATGTATTTAATAGGTTTTTGTGAGGATTAAATGAGTTAAAATATGTGAAACATTAAGAATAATATCTGTGGTCTGGGTGTGGTGGCTCACGCCTGTAATCCTAGCACTTTGGGAGGCCAAGGCGGGTGGATCACTTGAGGTCAGGAGTTCGAGACCAGCTTGACCAACATGGTGAAACCCCATCTCTACTAAAAATACAAAAATTAGCTGGGCATGGTGGTGCATGCCTGTAATCTCAACTACCTGGGAGGCTGAGGCAGGAGAATCACTTGAACCCCAGAGGTGGAAGTTGCAGTGAGCCGCGATCACACCATTGCACTCCAGCCTGGGTGACAAGAGCAGAACTACATCTCAAAAAAAAAAAAAAAAAAAAGGCCAGGCACGGTGGCTCACACCTGTAATCCCAGCACTTTGGGGAGGCTGACGCATGTGGATCACCTGAGGTTAGGAGTTCGAGACCAGCTTGACCAGCATGGTGAAACTCCATCTCTACTAAAAATACAAAAAATTAGCCAGGCGTGGTGACGCACATCGTAATCCCAGCTACTCGGGAGGCTGAGACAGGAGAATTGCTTGAACCCAGGAGTCGGAGGTTGCAGTGAGCCAAGCTCGTGCCACTGCACTCCAGCCTGGGCAACAGAGCGAGACTCTGTCTCAAAAAAAAAAAAAAAGTTAACATCCGTATGTGGAACTGCTATGTGTTAGGTATTATTGTTAGCCACAGGACTGATAATAATGATGAAAAAGTAGGAAAAAAAAAAACAGCTGTAAGCGGCTCCTAGAATCTCAGAAATGGGCAGCTTGGCTGTCAGGTGAGTGAGGGCTGGTTGGAGTCCCTGTAAACATACCAGCTGAAGGGCAGCCAAGCTGTTGGAATGAGAGTAGGTTTGATGTACTGTTGATCTGTTTATCCAGCTATAAAAGAGGTACAATATGTGTCCCACTTACTTCCTAGGATAATGTAATGTAAAATACTTAATAAGCTGGGGGTGAGGGTGGTGCCGACAGCTATCCAAACCAGGGCCATTTACAATGGCTGCCCCTTACAGAGTCCTCCTCTTCCCTTGTCCACCCTTAAGAGTGGGTGCCCCTCAGGCCTGCAGCTTAGACAGCCTCTCCTCTCACTCTACACACATTCTTCCTGGCCCTTATCCACACCCACAGCTTCCATTATCTCTGCATTGGTGCCCACATTCTAACCTCCAGCCTGGTCCTTCTTAACCTCCAGGCCCAAATAACAATTGCCCACTGGGGGTGTCCCTGCATGGACACCTCAGGTCCCTGCAACTCTTTGTCCACAGCTGGACTCCACTGTGTCCCTAAGCTTGAAACCATCTTTGCAAAGATTATGATCGTGACAGAAATCCAGCATTGCTGACTCCATCTTGCTTCTAACCTCACCAGCTGACCATCTTTGCTCATTCCTGTGTATAGGGCAAGAAAACTATGGGAGGAATTTAGTTTATAGTTTAACTTTAAACAAAGATAACGAACCTCTTCATCACACAGGGACTAAACTGCCTTCATAAAACTAACAGATTAACCACAAGGTCAGAATTATGGTCCAGGAGTCATGTAGCTGGAGGTCACAAGATTTGTAACCCCCTCAATTGTTCCTATAGATAACGTCACTATCGTAGAACCTACGGCTGGTGTTTGAGGTATCTTTCAGACCTTGTATTTTGATGGACCAGCTGGCGCCACTAGGATGGGCAACCCATAACCCAGAAACTGACCCAACTGGTCTTGTGACCCCCGACCCAGGAACTGACTTAGTGCAAGAAGACAACTTCAACCCTTTATAATTTCATCCCCTACTCAGTCAGCACTACCCATTCCCTAGCCACCTGCCCACCCAGCTTTCCTTTAAAAACTGTAGCCTCAGAGGGCCAAGCACGGTGGCTCACGCCTGTAATCCCAGCACTTTGGGAGGCTGAGGTGGGTGGATCACGAGGTCAGGAGATCGAGACTATCCTGGCTAACACGGTGAAACCCCATCTCTACTAAAAATACAAAAAAATTAGCTGGGAGTGGTGGCGGGCGCCTGTAGTCCCAGCTACTTGGGAGGCTGAGGCAGGACAATGGTGTGAACCCGGGAGCAGTGAGCTGAGATCGCACCACTGCACTCCAGCCTGGGTGACAGAGCAAGACTCCGTCTCAAAAACAAAACAAAACAAAACAAAAAAACTCTAGCCTCAGCAGGGCGCAGTGGCTGACACCTGTAATCCCAGCACTTTGGGAGGCCAAGGTGGGCGGATCGCGAGGTCAAGAGATCAAGACCATCCTGGCCAACATGGTGAAACCCTGTCTCTACTAAAAGTACAAAAATTAGCTGTGTGTGGTGGTGCGCACCTGTAGTCTCAGCTACGCGGGAGGCTGAGGCAGGAGAATCGCTTGAACCCAGGAAGCAGCGGTTGCAGTGAGCTGAGATCGCACCATGCACTCCAGCCTGGTGACAGAGTGAGAATCTGTCTCAAAAATAAAATTAAAATAAATAAAATAAAATAACTCTAGCCTCTGAATTCTCGGGGAGGCAGATTTGAGAATGATTTCCAGTCCTTCTGCTTGGCTGGCATTTTGATTATTAAATTCTTTTTCGGCCGGGTGCTGTGGCTCACGCCTGTAATCCCAGCACTTTGGGAGGCCGAGGCAGGCAGATCACAAGGTCAGGAGATCGAGACCATCCTGGCTAATGGGGTGAAACCCCGTCTCTACTAAAAATACAAAAAAGTCAGGCGTGGTGGCAGGCGCCTGTAGTTCCAGCTACTCAGGAGGCTGAGGCGGGAGAATGGCATGAACCCAGGAGGCAGAGCTTGCAGTGAGCGGAGCTTGCACCACTGCACTCCAGCCTGGGCGACAGAGCGAGTCTCCATCTCAAAAAAAAAAAAAAAATTATTTCTCTGCTGCAACACTTCGGCTGTTCTCAGTGCATTGGCATTTCTGGGCAGCAGGCAAGAAGAACCCATCAGGCTATAACAAGTTTGTTGTATCCCCTGTGCCTCCATCCTAGTAAAGGGCTCCATCACTCAGTCAGAACCTGGTGTAATTCTCAGCTCCTCCCTGTCCCTTACTGCCCCCACATAACTAATCACTCAACGGAAGTTTATGTGTATTAACTAATAATTATGGCCCCATTGTAGCTCCTTCTCCTAATTCATTTCCATTACCACACTCCAGGACACTTATCTCTCCTGGACTCCTGCAACAATTTCACAGGTCTACTGGAAATACCGCAGACACTCCTCTCTGCTAAACTCTTTTTTAATTTTTTAAAAATTTTTTTGAGATGGAGTCTCACTCTGTCCTCCAGGCTAGAGTGCAATGGCATGATCTCGGCTCACTACAACCTCTGTCTCCCAGATACAAGCGATTCTCCTACCTCAGCCTCCCGAGTAGCTGGGATTACGGGTGCATACCACCATGGCTGGCTAATTTTTGCATTTTTAGTAGAGACGGGGTTTGGCCATATTGGCCAAGCTGGTCTCAAACTCCTGACCTCAGGTGATCCTCCCGTCTCGGCCTTCCAAAAGTGCTGGGATTACAGGTGTGAGCCACTGTGCCCGATCCTCTCTGCTAAGCTCTTACTCATCCTTGGGGTTTACCCTTAAAGGTCATTTCCTACAATAACCTTTCCTCCCACCACCAGTTTAATGTTTCTAGTGCTTATTCTTACCTAGCAACCGGTACTTCCCTAAGACACAGCACCTTGCTTCCATGGGGTCCACCCACCAGAAGCACCAGCAGCACCTGGGAGCTTGTTGGAAATACAGAATCATTGCTCCCATCTTGATTTAATCAGAATCTGTTAAAACACAATCCCCAGGCAATCTGGACGTTACCATTTGAGAAGCACTGGTGTAGCATAAATAACCATTCATTATTACTGTTTAATTCTCTTCCCTGCTAAACTCTAGGCTGCAGGAGGTCAGGTTGCTGAGTCTTTTTGCTCAAGCAGCTAACATCAGGACAAAAAACAGGAGCTGAAAATACCTGTGCAACCTGGTTGAATCTGGCTGAACTACTTTTTCAACCTGTTGTTGAAAAGCATCTGCAGCTTGGACAAAGTCACACTTAGCTTCTTAACTCACCCTTCCTCAAATACAGGCTTACTTTGACAAAATATCTACTCTGCTTGTTCTGTTTTGGAGTGGCAACCCACAGTAGTACCACACTGTGGACGGTGTAAAGAAACCATGGAAACCATGTCAACATCCTGACAGAAACTGAAATGGAATCTTGATTGGATTCATGGGGGCGGCAGTATTAGCTGCTGAGCATCCTCAGCTACTGGAATATCCCCTTCTTTTGGAGCTGGCTTGGGGGCAGCGGGATTTGGGAAAAGAGGGCCAATACATTTCATTGAGATGGGAGTCTAACTGAAGCAGGGACAGCCTGAAAGAAAGCTTTGCTTGGAGCAGCTGGGCATAGAAGAACAGTGGGGCTTTTTCTAAGCGGTGTGGGACCCCAGAGCATTAATACCCTAGGCTTCCACTTTTCTATGTGGGAAGAATCAAAATCAATGCTCCCTTTTCATTTCCCCATGCTGTCACTGTGAGCACCTATACAAAAGGAGGTTAGAGTTTTATACACGGAATGATCAGTGCTCTGTCCTGCACAATGAAAACAATCACAATTTCTGTGTGAGCTCACTGATTTTCATTGATTCATAATAGCTTCAATGTTTTAATAAATCTAGCTGACTGCATTTCCCCTGACCCTGAATAACTTTTTTAAAAAGTGTGTGTGTGCACTAAATTATATTTGAAGGAAGTACTAACACTTCTGACAATGATGCCCTCAAAAATATCTTTTTTTTTTTCTGATTATAAAAGTAATACATGCTGTTTATGGAAAAGTTGGAAGACACAATATTGTAAAAGAAATAATCACTTTTGACATCTTGGTCTGTTTCCTACCAGGCTTTTTTCTATGTATAGCTGTTTAAAATCCTGTTTTATTTTTTTTCTTGTAACATAATATTCTGGCCATTATCTTTTGCTATTAAATTAACTTCCATTGTTTCTTTTTACTACACTATTACATTTTCATTGGAAAAAATGCTGAAAAGGAAAAAGAAAAATAAGATGACTTGTAATTACCATCTAGAGGCAAGCAACGCTAGTAATTTTGTTCTCTTTTCTGTCTCTTTTCTAGGCATGTATTTTGAAAACAAAATTGATTTTACTTCATTTGGATGCAGCAACATGATTTAAACAGCTCCTTACGTCGGCATTAGGTTATTTCTAGTCAACTGTACTGAGATAGGTATTATTTACAATGTTTTATGTTGCGCTTTCCTTTGAAAATTATGAATTTTCTGCAATTGATTTCATCCACTCAACTCTTGAGAGAAAGTTGAAATAAAAGGGCCAGGGGAAAAGTAACACATAACATTTGCTTTAGTCTCCATCTCCATTTTGTTGTTGTTGTTTGTGAGATGGAGTCTCACTGTGTTGCCCAGACTGGAGTGCAGCGGTGCAGTCTTGGCTCACTGCAGCCTCCGCCTTCCAGGTTTGAGTGATTCTCCTGCCTCAGCCTCCCTAGTAGCTGGGATTACGGGCACCCGCCACCATAGTGGGCTTTTTTTTTTTTTTTTTTTGAGACAGAGTTTCACTCTTGTTGCTCAGGCTGGAGTGCAATGACACCATTTCGGCTCACTGCAACCTCTGCCTCCTGGGTTCAAGCGATTCTCCTGCCTCAGCCTCCTGAGTAGCTGGGTCTACAGGCATGTGCCACCACGCCCGGCTAATTTTGTATTTTTAGTAGAGACGGGGTTTCTCCATGTTGCTCAGGCTGGTCTCAAACTCCTGACCTCAGATGATCTGCCCTCCTTGGCCTCCCAAAGTGCTGGGATTACAGGCATGAGCCACCGTGCCCGGCCAATTTTTGTATTTTTAGTAGAGATGGGGTTTCACCATGTTGGCCAGGCTGGTCTTGAACTCCCAACCTCAGGTGATCTGCCTGCCTTGGCCTCCCAAAGTGCTGGGATTATAGGTGTGAGCCATCGCGCCTGGCCTCCCTCTCCATTTTAAACACATATATTCTCCCAAACCAAAAAGAATTTTTGCATAGAGGATGGAGTATGAAACTGTTCTAAAATGTGTAGACATATATTTTTAAACATAATTTATGTTAATAAAGGAGCAATTGACTCTTGCCAAATTTTTCATGATTCTTGGCAACAATTTTAAATCATTTCTCAAATTCTAAATTTACTTCAGCATGACCAAACACCTACCGTTGCTTAAAAAAAAAAAAAAAGGCTAAACAAGAAGGTGCTACTTTTGAAGCAACATCAAAGGAAAGATAAAATATTATTAAGTTGGGGTAGTGACACACGTCTAGACATCATTATATGTTTAAAGAAAACAACAAAAACAGTGCTAAAAGAAACCAATCAATCCTCACACTTCATCTTCAAAATCATGCCAGAAATACTTCTATCCTGGTATAAGAGTTGGTAGAACCTGGAAGGGCAGGAAGGGTGTGGTCCAGCCACTTAGGCTCTGGCTCTGAACTCAGGCCTGGGGGCCTAATAAGGGTGCCTTTTATTTTTCTGTAAACCTCTACCTCCAAGTACAAATGACTAATCAAAAGTGTAACCATAGGCCAGGCACAGTGGCTCACGCCTGTAATCCCAGCACTTTGGGAGGTCGAGGGTGGGCGGATCACCTGAGGTCAGGAGTTCAAGACCACCCTGACCAACATGGTGAAACCCCGTCTCTACCAAAAATACAAAAAATTAGCCAGGCGTGGAGGCAGCCTACTGTAATCCCAGCTACTTGGGAGGCTGAGGCAGAACTGCTTGAACCTGGGAGGTGGAGGCTGCAGTGAGCTGAGATCGTGCCATTGCACTCCAGCCTGGGCAACAAGAGCGAAACTCTGTCTCAAACAAAACAAAACACAAAGAACCCAAAGTGTAACCCTACGTAGAAAAAAAAAATCACTTGGCTGTCCCTCTGGGTCCTATCTGAATAGAAAAGTACTGTCAGTGTACCCTGGGGATTTGGTCATTTATTTGGAAAATACTCTTGATGTATTATTATAATTCACAAATCACCTTCCCCGCCAAAATCTCATTTGGTAACAACTTCGTATAGTAGAAAAGGTATGCATTATCCCTATTTTACAGATGAAAACACTGAGAGTCAGAAATTAAATGATTTGCCCCGTTACACAGCTAGCGAGTGATGGGAGTAAGATGGCAAACCTAGGACCTCTGCTAATCTAGTGATTGTCCCAGGAGGCCACATGACGTTCGCCTGGAAGGGCTCTGGAGCGCAGGAACATTTTCGGTATCCTCTGAACGGGCTAAATGGAGGTCCTTCCAGTCTGGGCCCTGACAAACACTGGATGGAGTGTGGCAACGGTCAGGAAAATATGATTCACCAACATCCATCTCCGATGCCTAATCATGTTGTTAACAAACAGTTCTGCTATTAAGGGTGAGGTGACGAGAGAACATGTGCCTGGGTTTAGGTATTAATGGCACTGAACCTTCTCAAGAATTTAATAAATGAAACAACTAGGGCTCAAGGGTGAAGTGACTTCCTGAGCAAAGGGAATTTACCGAGTTTCCTCTCATAAAACCTGAGCTGATTTCGTCATTCCCACATTTCAACAATAGTATGATGGCAGGGCGCGGTGGCTCACACCTGTAATCCCAGCACTTTCGGAGACCAAGGTGGGCGGATCACGAGGTCAGGAGACCAGCCTGACCAACATGGTGAAACCCTGTCTCTACTAAAAATACAAAAATTAGTCGGGCGCGGTGGCAGGTGCCTGTAATCTCAGCTACTCAGGAGGCTGAGGCAGGAGAATTGCTTGAACCCGGGAGGCAGAGGTTGCAGTGAGCTGAGATCGCACCACTGCACTCCAGCCTGGGCGACAGAGTGAGACTCTGTCTCAAGAAAAAAAGAAAGAAAACATGGATCTTACTCCCCTGTCTAGCTCTGACCAACTGCATTAAGCTGGGCGAGAAATTCTCCCTGTCTGGGCTCAGCTTCCTTATCCATAAAATGATGGGGTTAGCCTATATCACCATAGCCCCCTTCAACTTCAAATCATCAATGTTTCATGTATTCCATGAAATTAGCTAATGTGGCCCTCCTGCTGGAAACGTAAAGCATGGAGTTGCCTAACAGACTGCGCAAAACAAAAGTAAAGAATGAAAAGAAACGAGAGCAGGAGAGTCACTTCAACTTGAAACTCACTTTGGTCATAAGAATAGCAAAGTAATGAGTTCAGACAGTTTGGGAGGAATAGAAAGTAGAAACTGCAAAACAGGAAATCCATTCTTGGCTGGCTGTCAAAAAGCCATGAGCTGGTGAAAATTTAGGTTCATTTTAATTTTTAATTTCTTAAAAGTAATAAAGCTCTCAAATTAGTGTATCGAGATGCCTGCTACTGAAATACAAAATTACTGTCTCCTGCCCCTGGCTTTTTAATCACTCTTGACTTCTTTAGTCCTATGTCTGAGGCTGTGATGGTTCCATCTCAGGAGCATTTGCTGCCTTGTTCTGCAGCTGGCAGGTAACCTTGAACTGCTCACCATGGTACCATCTTTAAGGACAATGCTCCAACACAACCTTATATTACAGTTCTATGTATACTAACCTTATCTCTCCAAATAGCTTGTGAACTTGCAGGGACTCCAAATTTACACATCTTTGATCCCTCCAGTGCCTTGGCTGCAGTAGGCACTCAAATAGTTACTGAACGATTAAGAAACGCACTTACCAGTCTTTTCAGGCATCTCAAGCTACATGGCAGGGTTTATATACTCAACCTAAGTTTAGACTACAAAATCATTTTTTAAAAAGGCATTATGTAGCGATAGAAAAGCTTATAAAAATGAACTTTACAAACACCGAGCCCAGATTTCCATAGAAAGGAGGAAAATATTTATTCCAAAAGATGGCAGAAAGAAGAAATTCATCCTGAAAGTATAGTTTGGTGCGATTCTGTTGAGATGGCTCTTCCCTCTGAACGTGCTCTCCTACTGACCACCCCACTGGAGTCTTGTTTGTCTTGCAGCAGTTTCTAAACACTTCACTGATTCCCACGTGAGAAGGCAGGAGCCATCTTCAAATCCACAGATTCCAAGGAGAGAGTAACGTATCTCTCAGAAGAACAGCATCTTCTATCTCAGAAGAGTACATAATCGTTTTGTGGAGTCGGCACAGTTCAGGTTATGGAGGCACGTAATTCACCAAAGTGCAAAAAAGGCAAAGGAAAACACGCTGCATTGTAGAATAAGGCATTCAAATGTGCTGTTAACGTTTAAGGCAGCTAATGGCCAAAACAGGCAAGTCAAGAAAAGTGGTCTGGTTTGGAGGTGATTTTGCATCTAGAAGGCATTCTCTTCTCGTGACCTGCAAAACAAAACCATTCTGGTAACTGGTCCTCATACATTCCTCAGGAAGGCAAAAAGTTAACATCGAGAAAGTTAACCAAGCCAACACTTTAAAATGCACAGATGCTCAACAAAATATGAAACACAGGATAATCAACTTGGTGCAAGTTTGGCCAGGTTTTGCAGGGCTGTGGCAAAAGGTCCAGTAACCAAGGACACTGCTGAAATGAGGAGCACAAGTAACACTCTATGTTACAGAAAGCAGGAAGAATGAAGCTGACTGAGATTGATTGTGCTGGAATCTAATGAATTCACCGCAGTTTCAAGAGTCTGTATTTTTCCCTTCCCTCTTATAGCATGGAGGGG